>NC_000014.9:50520803-50823834 GCF_000001405.40 Homo sapiens
CTATCGGCAAAGTCATCTTTTTTTTTTTTTTTTTTTGAGATGGAGTTTCACTCTTGTTGCCCAGGCTGGAGTGCAGTGGCGCGATCTTTGCCCACCGCAACCTCCACCTCCCAGTTCAAGTGATTCTCCCACTTCCAGCCTCCCAAGTAGTTGGGAATACAGGCTTCCACCACCACACCCAGCTAATTTTTGTATTTTTCGTAGACAGGGTTTCAACATGTTGGCCAGGCTGGTCTCAAACTCCTGACCTCAGGTGATCCACCCACCTTGGCCTTCCAAAGTGCTGGGATTATAGGTGTGAGCCACCACACCCGGGCAAAGTCATTTTGATAGTAAAGGTAAATCAAGCCTGGGCTCTGAATGGAAACATGAGGGTCAGAGTAATGACCAAGTGATAACCAGGAAGAAGTGCATCTGAAAACTGGTGCTGAGACCTAAAGTTTTACGTATTGAAATCAGTCCATAAATCCCTCATTTCTCAGTAGAGGGGTAAGGCTTCTAAGCCTCATCTGACCATAATATGTATAGTGCCTACAGCATGGCAGACAATGTGTTAAGGACTATGTGTAGAGTAGTGAATTTAAAGATGCAGTCCTAAGGTGGCTTGGAATAATGGAAAGAGCAGAGACTGGAATCAGAAGATCTAGATTCAAGTCCTTACAGTGCCATCTACTAACAGTAAGATTGAGGGTAACAGTAAGTTTCTTCTTGGGTAAAATAGGGATGATAGCACATCTGTTCCACCTACTTCACTAGATTATCGTGTGAAACAAATCACACACTGATCATGAGAGTGTTATACAAACATTAGTCATTCTTAGTCATTTTAATCCAATTTCATTTTCATAAATATGTTGGAAGGCGGGGGCCAGTATGACTCACTAGCCCAAACACCTCCAAGGACAGATCTGACTATCAGCTGGGCTTCCCACATCATCATCTCAAAATCTCCATGAGAGATTATATTTAACAGAAATAAAATTATATTAGGCCTAAATTCATCTTGTCCTTCTCAGAGAGTCATCTACCCTCTCAAACTTGACTAGTACTTCACGTCACTGGAAAGCAATAGCCTTCTAATAAAACTCTCCATATACAAATACTCAAAATAGTCCAATACCACCAAGTGAATTCATTTATCTTAGTCAAAGTTCTCAAACTGACAACAAAGCCCCAAAAACACAAGTATTGCTTGTTAATAGAGTTCATGTTTTTCTTTCTGTGTTCTTGGTCTGAAACCACAATGTTAGTTTACAAGTGAAACCCTTTTAAATTTTGAAAGCAAAACTAAAAAAAGAAATCTAAGTCAATCTGTATTCTATCCCATTTGTCTTCATAAAATACACTGGAAATGAAGATCAAAGTGAAAATGCTAAACCTATGTAAACAAAGAACTAGAATACTAGATGAATAAGCCCAAGGTTGCAGCTGTATCCACAAGTCAATCTGGGGACTACACTAGTGATGCATTGCTATACTTGCACTAGTGACGGCACTGTTTTATGTCTATCTTCACCAAGTTGAAAGTACTTTTTACTTCTTTTACAGTTTTCATAACATGTATTTTGCTCCCAGGTATGGTTCAGAGCTTCACATTCATCATTAGAACCATATTTTCTCTTTAGGCAGTCACAAAATAAGCCTACCTCTGAACAGTAAGAAAAATAAATAATAAGATTTTACCCAGATGACTTTTAAAATAGTAAATATCCACAACAGTAGCACATCATCCCAATAAAACATGTTTTATTTTCGCAGTGACCTTATACAACATTTAACATAACATTTATTTAATAAGAAATATAATTTAAAGTTTTTGAAGGACAATCCTTCCTCTCTTATTTTCTACTGTTAAGCTATTTTTCCAAGTTATTCACTCTCTCACTCAAATATGAAAACCAAGAGTCTCTCATAATGTCAGACACAGGACACAAAAAGGACAGTATATTCATATAGTTCAGCTGTGTTACTATCAAAAAATAAGAAAGTAGGTGATGTTTTGATATCAAATGTCAGAGAAATAACATCACATACATCTATTTTTTATTACCTTCAGATTTTTAGGCATTGGACTAGACTCTTAATATTTAAAGATCAAAGTATACTGGTGGAGAGAAGACATAAGAAACAGCTACATTTTCTTTGCTTACAAATTCATGCTTAAAAAAATAACATAAGACTTGGTAACCTACAACCAACTGCTGAACTTAATTAAAAATCACAATGGGCTGGGCGCAGTGGCTCACACCTGTAATCCCAGCACTTTGGGAGGCTGAGGCGGGTGGATCACCTGAGGTCGGGAGTTCGAGACCAGCCTGACCAACATGGAGACATCCCATCTCTACTAAAAATACAAAATTAGCCGGGCGTGGTGGCCCATGCCTGTAATCCCAGCTACTAGGGAGGCTGAGGCAGGAGAATCGCTTGAACCTGGGAGGTGGAGGTTGCGGTGAGCTGAGATCACACCATTGCACTCCAGCCTGGGCAACAAGAGCGAAACTCTGTCTCAAAAAAAAAAATCATAAATAAATAAAAATCACAATGACCTGTGGTCCTGCACCAGTCAATAAGGCATGGTGATGGCCATGCTTGTGTCTTAGATAATATGCCTGCCCCTAAGCTTAGAATTCAGCTACAGACACAGGTTCCGGTGACTCAATAAGAAAGAGATTTAAGACTTCCTTTGATTACCCAGTTATCCACTTGGTTAACTCCCTAATGCCCTTCAAGTCTGTTCAAATCTAACCTTTTCAATGAGGCCTACCCTGACCATCCTTATATAATTCCCCAACCTGCCTTCTTCACTCCATTCAGGCATTCCTGATCCTCCTTAACCATTCAACCTTTTCTTCTTTCTATACCTTTAATCTCCTTGTAACGTATTATACAATGTGTTTATTATGTTTGTTGTCTCTCTCCCCCCACTAAAATTTGAGTTCCATGAGGGGAGGAATCTTTGTCCGCTTTGTTCACTAGATGTATCACAAGGCACCACAACAGTGTCTGCCCCATAGGAGGCCTTCTATAAGTATTTGTTGAATGTTAAATACTCCTTTGCATCCTGTCCTCCCAGTTCTCCATCCCAGCTCCCATTCATTAACATGCCTCACTCTAACCATGCTCGCAGTGGAACAACTAGGACTGGAAATAAACAAACAAGGCTCCAGATCAGAAAGGGAGGGAGGTTTTTACATTTATCCCCTACTCTAGTCCCTAAAAATCCATCCTATGTTTTTTCCTTTTATCTGCTTTCTGAATTCTCAATTCCTCCCAAATTCTTTGTCTTGATTTCCTTCTCTGTAGAATTCCATCTCTAAACTCAGCAATCGTCTTAGACACTTGGGTGATACGACAAACTTAAAGAATGGTAACTGAATGCTGTAATCACTCAGTCTTGATGAAAGTAAAACCCTGAAACAAGAAGAAACATTTGTGTGCCTCATTTCTCTTTCCTGTCATAGCTAAGCTGCTTCAGAGAGCAGGCTACATTCCCTCTACTTCCTCACTTACCAATCATACCTCAACTCTACTCTTAATGAACCCTTCCAACTCCTTGCTTACATGACCACTATGCTGCTTACTCCTTCAAGGCATATTTATTGACCACATACTATATACTAGGCAATATACTAGTACAGGTGTTTCAACAGTAAACATAAGATCTCTGTTCTCATGCAGTTTTAGTCTACCAGGAAGACAAGCAAAAATGAGAAGTGATAAATGATGAGTATCATGATAAAAAATGTACATGGAGCTTTGAAAACATACAGCTGCTAGGTGTGACCTACTCTAAGGGACAGAAAAGCCCCCCCACCGAGAAATGTAATGTTTAAACAGAAACCCAAAGAGTAGGCGATAAGATGGAAGAGAAAGAGTGTTCTAAAGGAATACCTGCAAAAATCTGAAAGACAGAGAGTAGAGTGCATATAAAGAACTGAAAGTTCAGTATGGATACGGTATTGGGATAAGCAGGGCCTTAACAGGAATATTATTCTAAGACTTTATTCTACAGACAAAGGAAATAAAGGAGAAATGACACAAAACTTCAGATTTATATTTTTTGGAGAATGAATTCATCTTCCTCATTGCAGTTAGAGCAAACAGGAACAAGAATGGAGGCAGCTGATGATAGAGATCATCTCTTGAAACTTTTCGTTCCTATGAAAAGAACTTCCTCATACCGCTTTGTTTCTTCTCAGACACCTTCAATATATTATTTTTCTCTGCCACCCCTCTAAGGCTACAGCCTTTCCTCAGCTCTCCTACAAACTCTCCTGGGTGACCTCACCTATATTTCACAGGTACCACCCCATAAAGTGATGATGACTCCCAAACCTGTATCCCCAGTCCAGAACTCTCAAGGCCAGAGGTGCATTTCCTACCACCTACCAGACACATTCACCTATGCAATGCCTTATGTTCAAAACCAAACACAAAATCCAGACTCCACATATTTGGTATTTCCTAACTCTGTTGATAGCATCAATGTAGTCACTCAAGCCAGAAATTCTAAATGCCATCAATTACCCTTCTCCTCCTGCCCCTCACCGATTACCAGGTGTTTTTGATCATCTTCTAAATATGACTCAAATCCATCCCTTCCTTTCATCTTCTATACCAGGGCCTAAATTTAGTCTTGCATAAACTCTCATCCGGATTATTCGGGAACTGGTCTCTACATTTCTAGCCACTTTGTAAAATCCTTACACTACACTGTAAGATATTTCCTCCTAAAAAGTGTTTCTCTAGTCCGGGCACAGTGTACTCACACCCTAAAATCCCAGCACTTTGGGAGGCAGAGGTGGATGGATTGCTTGAGCCTCCGAGTTCAAGACCAGCCTGGGCAACATGGCGAAACCCCACCTTTACAAAAAAATAAAATAAAATACAGAAATTAACTGGGCATGGCAGTGTGTGCCAGTCCCAGCTACTCAGGAGGCTGAAGTGGGAGGATCACTTGAGCCTGGGAGGCGGAGGGTCTAGTGAGCTGAGATCATGCCACTACACTGCAGCCTAAGTGAAAAAGTAAGACCCTGTCTCAAAAAAATAAAAATAAATAATTGAAAAGGTCCAAATTCTTTGATATGACACATGGAGTCCATTAGCTGGTGTTTCCTGCCAGAAAATAGCCTCTATTCTCCATCTATAAAATAATAAAAATAAATAATTGAAATGACATCTCTGCCAGATGTCACACTGAACCTGGAATGAATACAGATGCAGATCTCTCAAAACTCATCACGGCTTCTCAAGCCTCCAGGTGTTTGCACATACTATACCCAAAGCCTGGAATATCTTTTCCTATCTTCTCTACCTAGAAACCACTGGTCTTCTTTTAAAAATCCAGTTAATGTTCCTTCCTCTGTTAATCTTCCTTGGTTCACACTCCTCTCTCTCCCTTCCTTCATCCCCAATAAAGGCAGAGTTTGGCATTTCTTCCACTTCTCCTCTATGGCACATAATTTTCTACCAAATTATGACTGCTTACATGTCTGCTTTCTTTTTTCTTTTTTGAGATGGAGTTTTGCTTTTGTTGCCCAGGCTGGAGTGAAGTGGCGCAATCTCAGCTCACTGCAACCTCCGACCCCCGGGTTCAACCAATTCTCTTGCCTCTCCCAAGTAGCTGGGATTATAGGCACCTGCCACCATGCCCGGCTAATTTTTGTATTTTTAATAGAGATGGGGTTTTGCCATGTTGGCCAGGCTGGTCTCAAACTGCTGACCTCAGGTGATCCACCAGCCTTGGCCTCCCAAAGTGCTAGGATTACAGGCGTGAGCCACTGCGCCTGGCCACGTCTGTTTTCTTGACTAAACCATATGTTCCTTATTGACAGTGTACTTCATCTCATGTTTGCATCCCCATATCCTAACACATTGTCAGCACTCAACAAATACTTCTTTAATGAATGAATGCTTCTAGAAGTGTGATGATACATTAAGCTTTGTCTCTATAAAATGGGATCTTGGGATATGTTTCAAAGTGCCTAAAGCCATTCCAGAATGGTGACTCTTGGCTGGAGGAAAAGAAAGTAAAGGCATACATAAAGGAGATTCCCCATAGCAGACCTAATTCATCTAGCATCCAGAGGAACCCACGTTAGTGATAAGACTACATGACAAAGACTTCTACGCAAATTATAACATCATTTATAATTGCAAAAAAAAAAGTTTAAAAACTAGAAATAACAAATATGCAACTTAGAATGATTAACTAAATGAAGGCTCATTCAACGGATCCTTTAAAAATAGTACTTTTGACTGGGTGTGGTGGCTCACCCTGTAATTCCAGCACTTTGGGAGGCCAAGGTGGGCAGATCACGAGGTCAGGAGATTGAGACCATCCTAGTCAACCTGGTGAAACCCCGTCTCTACTAGAAATACAAAAATTAGCTGAGTGTGGTGGCACATGCCTGTAATCCCAGCTACTCAGGAGGCTGAGGCAGGAGAATCACCTGAACCAGGGAGTCAGGAGGTTGCAGTAAGCTGAGATTGCGCCACCGCACTCCAGCCTGGCGACACTGCAAGACTCCGTCTCAAAAAAAAAAGTACTTTTGTATGATTACACCACTGCACTCTAGCCTGGGCAAAAGAGCAAGACCCTGTCATCCAAAAAAAAAAAAAAATGTACTTTTGTAGAATATTTAACGACTAGGGAAAATGCTGGTCATTTCAATCAAACAGAAAAAAGACCTGTATCATATTCCCAATCATAAATTAAATATAAAAGCCATTTTGGAAATACTGATTTAAAAACATTTAGGAAATAAGCCTGAAATAAACTGTATTAAATTATTAGCAGTACCTATCTCTGAGTAATTTTCTACAACTAATTTGTTCAACAAATATTTATTGAGCATTTGTTTGTTACATTACAAAGATGTGCAAGAGACATCTGTTTCTGTCCCCTGGGAACTAAACATGTTATTCTTCTATAATCAATCAGATAAAGCAATAAAGCTTAGAAAAAAATTCATAGGATTGCCCAGTCTAAATTTATATTCTATGAAAGGTAAAATAATAATAATAATAATAATAAATAAATAAATAAAAATAAAAATAAAAAGCCAGATTGCCAGAACTTCTCTGAAATCTAGGCTGGAAGCAATTTTGATACAAATATTTGGATAAGGGCTGCCCAAATGGCTTGTACTACTGATTATGAACTGTATCATGATGCTGTAGTTGTTATAGATCCTTGTGGTCAGAGGTAGTTGAGAATCTAAATCTCCAGATTTATCCTTCCTGCTGGCAGATCTACATTTTTACAGTAATTACAAATAAAAGCTGCTCAGTTGACATTTAATCCTTCATCCACCATCCACCAAATTCCTTTTCTCTTCTGTGTTTCTTTTCCCTCTACCATTTCCTGCTCTTGCCCTCAATGATTCACTCCATTTATCTAAAAGAATCTTTATGTTCCTCCTCTTCTTTCAACCAAAGAACAGCCAATATAAGATTGAACTCTCCCTCTTGGGGATTCTCAGGAAAGATGGAAGCTTCAGAGGGGATCTGTGGTATTGATGAACATAAAAGTAAATTACGAAGAATCTCAAAGCCAGAGTCCTTTAAAGCTTCTGCTTCAAAAGATACCTAAGGTGTAAAAAAAAAAAAAAAAAAAAAGGCAGGGAAAAATCCAGGCTTGGTGGCTCACACCTATTAATCCCAGCCCTTTGGGAGACTGAGGCAGAAGCATCACATGGGGTCAAGAATTTGAGACTAGCTTGGGCAACACAGGAAGACCCTGTCTTTACATTAAAAAAAAAAAAAATTAGCCAGGCATGTTGCCACACACACTTGTAGTCCCAGCTACTGAGGAGGCTGAGGAGAGAGAATCCCTTAAGCCCAGGAGTTCAAGGCTGCAGTGAGCTGATCGTGCCACTGGACTCCAGCCTAAAGCACAAGACCATCTCTCAAAAACACAGGGGGATATTATCTGAGTAGAACAGTGGCTAATTTACCTTCATTATTCTTTACTGCAGGTATTTCACTAGTTTATATCCTACATTGAAAATACTTCTAAAACGTCCTAGGATGTTCAGCTCATCAGAAACACAGTGATAAATAGCAAAATTACTCTAATTGCCCAGAGCTTAAAAAATTCAGCACTACAGTTTCAGGTTATGTGTTTTTAGGCATACTAAGGAGTAAATTTAAACTGACAAAATTCTATAGGACTTAGATCACTGATAGTGGATATACTATAAAATAGTTTTTCAGAAATATTTCCCCAGAGAACTCAAATAGATGAAATTTGTAATAAAAATACACACGCAGGGTATCATTAGACAGCATCACAGGGCCGGATGTGGTGGCTCATGCCTGTAATTTCAATACTTTGGGAGGCCGAGGCAGGCAGATCATTTAAGCTCAGGAGTTCGAGACCAGACTGGGAAACATGGCAAGACCTCCTCTCTACTAAAAAAAAATACAAAAATTAGCCAGACATGGTGGCACACACCTGTAGTGCCAGCTACTTGGGGGGCTGAGGTGGGAGGATCACTTCAGCCCGGGAGGTTGAGGCTTCAATGAACCAAGATCACACCACTGCCCTCTAGCCTGGGGGACAGAGCGACATCCTGTATCCAAACAAACAGACAAACAGAAGGCATTACAGGAATACATAGAGTATTAAATGCTAACTTAGTGCTATGATGTCAAAAGCATGTGCTCAGAGAACTAAGTGACAGAGTCTGATATTCATTCATTCATTCATTCATCAAATTTTTAGGAAGTACTTACTCTGTGGCAGGCATAATCAGAGACAGAGCAGTGAAGAGATTAAAATCCCTGCCATCATGGAGTATTTTAGTGAATCAAGATAGATAATAAACAAGAAAAAAATAAGTAAAACATTATGTTGGTGATAAGTACAAAGCAAAAAATAGAGTAGGAAAAAAAGATCGGGAGGATGTGAAAAAAAGGAGGAAGGGAGCAAGCCATATAGTGGGGGGCGGTGGTGAAGGGGAGACATTACGAAGAGAGGAAATAGCAAGAACAAGGACCCAAAGATGGGGAGATGCTTATCATGTTTAAGGAGCAGCAAGCAGGCCAGTGTGACTAGAGCAGAATGACTAAGGAGAGTGGTAGATGAGGCTGAGAAATAAGAGGGAAGGGCTGTCTTGCCCAGGAGCATTTGGGTAAGGCTTTCATGGACAGGTATTACAGCAACAGGTGGAAATGGAGGGGTGGAAGGTGATTCCAAGTAATTAGAACAAAGGAAAACAAAAGACAAGGAGCTAAGAACGCCTTAAGGATGTTTAGAATCAGAGGCTGGCCTAGTGTGCAATGAATATACATGTAAGTGTGAGGAAGCAACATTGTGAGGGTAGAGGAAGCAACATTGTGAGGGTAGGGGACCATGTGTTAAGGGGTGAAGGTAGAGTATGATGAATATTCGGTTTTTGATTCTGTTTGGGAACTGCAGAAGAGAGACTAGGGCAGGAAGGCACCAGGGTAAAAGGCAGGCATTAGCTGCCCCTTAAATATAATCTTTGCTTTTTCTCAGGCATGAATAAAATCCTGCTCCAGAGTTGCTTTAGTTACTACATCTATGAAGAAAAAGGGTGGAGGTCTTAAGATCTTTATGGGAAAAACACTCCTAAAACTTTATTGTAGTAGGGAGAAGAGAATATATACAAGTAGAATTTATACTATTGTAAATTAACATGAACTAAATTGAACTCGTCTAACACACAGTGAATCATAAGACAAAGATGACTAAAAAATGAGACTGAGAAAGGAAATAGGAATTTCAATTTTCTGAAGAGCATTCCACAAAATGGCTAATCCCTGGATAAACAACTAAGTTAACTACCTCTAATTTTACATAAAGAAGAAGAGGATTGTTACAAACATACACTTTGAGTTCAAAGGTATTCACAAGGTAAGAGCCAGAACCTTGCTCACAATTCATCACCTCAGTACCTCTACCAGTGCCTGGTACAGAAGACTCAAATGCTTGTTTAAGCAATAAAAAGCCTATCCATTACAGTTTATCTCAGTAGAATCAAACAGTGCTAGGGCTGTTTGATAATACCACTACCTTGAAATGCTAATATTAATTAGGAGGAAATTAAAAGTAAGTAGAAAGAGGGGAACCACCTGTGCAAAACAACAACCTAACCCCAGAGGAATCTACTGGTTAATTACCCAAATGACACAAAACCACTTCAGCGATATGCAGAAGTGTTGTTTGGCACAATGCGATATATATCATGATCAAATCCAATAAACAACGCCGTTGCAAAAAGCAAAGGAATTTGCCCTTAATATTCATAGGCTGCACTAATGCTCCCTTTTTGGAACACACAACAAAAAGCATAAGGCAATCTCAATCTCTTTCCTCTGAACCATTCAAGAACTCAGCGGATTTGGGGAATTGGGTTTGCTTCTCTACAATGTTTTTTAAAATCCTAAATTAGGTGTAACTTACTCTCATCGTTTGTCTTAAGTAATACAAAACAGCACAATACAAAGACAGCGGCTCATATCCACTCTTGGTTATAGGATGTTATAAATCCCTGAAAGGAACCGCTAAAGTAAAACAAAACCCAGCAAGTTAATATCACATTTTTATCGCCAACCAAAAACAAACGATCAAACTTCCACCAGGAAAAGCATCTTTTTATATGGGATAATGCTTGCATAAATGTCACCAATATTAGTTTGCTTACAGTTAAAGCTCAGAGACAGGGTTTCATATGGCTTTTTTAGTCAAACTCATCCATTGAAACAAATTTTTTTAAAAAAATGCAAATGTCTGAATGTCAATATTCTTTCCTGTCTATCTTCCATGAAGCATTTTTCCATGCTAACACTAGAGCATCCTTCGGTGTAATTCCACAAGCAGATTCAAATTCCCTTCAATACCATAAATAAGCCCTATTAAAAAGCCTTTAAACCACAAAAAAAGTGCAACAGCGGTTTGCAACTGTGTGGTTAGTTCTGCCTGTTGGTAGCGATTAGAACAAGCCATGAGTCGAGGGTGCTCAGAACCGAGTAAAAGGGACCCCGGCCGCTTTCTCCCCAAGAGGCAACAATAAAAGCATCCTCCTCTCGCCCCAATACTTCGCAGGAAAGTGGCCCCATTCCCGGGACCCAGTCGACCGCAGGAAAAAAGCACGGCCAGCCTCACTTACCTTATAGACGTCCCCGTAGGTGCCGCTGCCGACCCTCTGGACGAGTTCGTAGTCCTGCTGCGGGTTCCGCCTCAGGATGTCCGCGGCAGGCCGCAGCGGGGCCTCCATCTTCACTTAGGGCCCGGCCCCCGCCAGCTCACCCCGCGGCTCCCGGATTCCCGCTAACAAGCACGAACGGCGCCGCTTCCCAACATGGAGCCTCCGCCCGCAGCTCCGTCTGCACGAGGGACGAGCAAAGGCTGGTTGGCGTCGCAGGCTACGACCCCCAGCGGCCCGCGCCCTCGCGGCCCGGCCCCTTCCCTTCCGTCCCGCCAGGGGCCGTGGAAGAGAAAGGGGCCTGGAAGGGCCCCCGGCGCCCCGTATCCCCGTTCGGTCTGCGGCCCTTCCCCCTCCCCGGCCGCCCGCGAACTGCCCGACGAGGCCTCCCCGCCAGCCGGGGCCCAGGGCCGGCTCCGTACCTAATGGGGGCGGCCCCGTCTTTGTTGAGCGCGGAGCCCGGGACCTACTTCCTAGACCGCACCCGCGTCCTCCTCCCGCGCGCCGGCCGGCAGCTCCGGGTTTGCCGTCGCCGCCGCCGCCACTCAGCCGCTGCACGGCGCGTCCTCTCGGGGGCGGCGGAGGCGCGTACAGTCGCCGCCGCCGCCGCCGCCGCACCACGTTCCCCACCCGGGGCTGCGTCACCGGGAGACACGTTCCCAGCCAGCATGGGTCGGCGCCCAGCGGCCCGCCCGAGCACTCCGGCCGCAGAACCAGAGTGCCGCCCTGAGGCCTGCTGAGAACACAACACCCTCCCGACCGCGCCACCGCGCCCCCCTAGCCGGGCGCGTCCTTGCAGGGCCTGGGCTGTCTCCCTCCCACTCTCAGAAATAAGGCACACGCCTGGGCATTCGTGGGCCAACGGGCCTTGGCTAAACCGTCCCCACATTTGTCAGGTAGGCCTGTAGGGTGACGGGTAGAGGAAGAAGGGCGATGGGAACGTAGCCCTCCAAGTTAAACACGGAAAAGGTACGTTAAGGGCACCGGGCCAGAAGTAACCTGGCAGCGGGGCGCCGGGGAAGGAGGTGGGGGAGTGCCAGGTTAACTAAGTCCCGGCACACCCTACTGCACCTTCCTGTTTTGCAAACCGATCCCGGTGGTACCAGTTTGAGGCTGCACTGCACACCTGCACAACCTGCCTTCTACTTAGTTCTTCTGAGACATTTCTGAAAGTCTGAATTCCTAGGACTGCTCAATGACCTTTGTCCCTGTTGGGCACACGCAGTGTCTCATCGCTGGTATTGCACCTTTAATGAGACCAGGAGTTCCGCAAAAGTAAAACAAAGGGGTCACAGACTGGTTCTGGTTCTACCACTTCCTCAGTATGTGCTCTGGGACAAAACAGCATATTTGGCAACATCTCGGTGTCCTTATCTGCAGCTTGAAGAGGGTAAGATTTTGCATCTGACACCCAGGAAAGTGTTTATAAAGCGTTTTACAGGATAGTAAGGGGGGTTATCGAATATAAGAGGTCTTAAAATACTTAACAATGCACAGCATATATGGAACAGGAGTTCGGGGAAGTAATTTGGCTGATATTTCACAAGCTGTTTTGCAGTTTCAGTTCCAGTCTTGCTCTGAAGGTAGAAATTAAGTTGCCAGTGTTACATTATACTGGCTAAGTTATTTCTAGAGCCTCATAGAGAATTTGAACAGAAAAGCCAGATAACACTCAGCCACTGCATTTAGTGACTGAAACATCATAAAAGAGCAAGTTGGAGATGTTGGCTTGTGGCTTTGAACATCCAATTTTTAATTCTGCTCTTGAGAATTAAAATACTCCTTATTGTTGATAATTGTATAATGTATAATAAGGAGTAATTGACAATACTCCTTATTGTTGATAATTGTATAATGTAGAAATTAAATTCGCACCTTAACAGGACAGGGCATATATGTATTTTCTTGTGCTCCACACACAAAGGGCACTTATTTGGGGAACATAAGTAAGCCCAGACTTACATGCTCCATGGACAAAGCCTATGTGTTTGCTGCATTGAAAAAATTGTTGAAGAACAGTTCCTTCTTTCAAAGATTCTTGGCACTTGTTTTGGTGGGCACATACTTTTGGCTTCGATGACTCAAAATCTCTTCAAATGTTCTATTGGTATCTTAGCACTTGTTTACTGTCATAGATTCATTTGAGATTTTTTTCCTCTGGCCATATAAGCACTGATCCTTTATCTAGTCTGAAATATATTTATTCTTACATGTTTACACTTGCGTTACTCCAGGGAATTTCAGGCAGCACACAGAAAACACTTACTATAAAACAAGATAAAAATAAGTGGGCAAACTAGTATGACGTTAAAGAGAAGGAAAATACGAAACCAGAACAGTGTGACAAATCGGCCAACCAGAGGATTTTATAGTGTTTTTGAGATCAAGAGTAACCAATTGATCAAGAAGAGGCATATATTTTCCTAATGCAAAGACTTCCAAAAATTTTATTTAATGAGCCTTCTTCATAAAGTAGAAACTGAATGCCCAGTTTGAGACGAGGACAAATATCCTGACAATCCTTTAAGCATGTTATTCTTGAAATACAGCATTTAAAATGAATTAGGCAGTGAAATGTTTGAGGTCATAGGCTTCAACAAGACCCTGGAGTGCGGATATTTTATGTTGCCAGTAATGGCAGATCCATATGCTTTGACCATCAACCTAGAGGCAGATAGCATGGAAAAAGTCAAGACTCTATGTGGTGGTTAAAAAGTCGAGACTCTATGTGTCTGCTATAATCATTATTTTACTTGTACTGCAATTCATGCAAAGAGGAAAACATTTGTTTTATACTAACTCCAAAAGAATCTTAAGGATTTTTAAAATACTGGTTGAGTTAATTTTAACAAGATCAGTGAAGTGGGTTGCTTTGTAAAGAAATGCAAATTCAATTTACTTAAATGTACACTGAGTAAATTTAATTTTACATCCTAGACAATTAAGCAAACAATTTCAAGGTTGAAGTTTATGTAATAATATGTTAGTTATGTCATGGTAACTGACCAGAGAGTTTCTTACAAACCACCCAGTTTCATATGACAAGGTATGGAATAAGAATAAATATGGCTTGATAGGTCCTTCATTCCAACCTAATTGTCATGCATTCTTAGTATCTTCATGCTGACACATAAATATTTTTCAGCTTTTACCCTTATCATTATAATATACGATAATGGTTTGCCACATGCTTTGTAATGTACTTCCCTTCTTTGAAAGTTCTTCAGTAAAATGCTGACTGTAATCTGTGGCCTCTAATTTCAGCTCTAACTTTAGCCAAGGCTGAATAAAAAAGAATTGGGAGACATAAAATGCTTTATCTTATATAAAGCTAAGGTTCACAATTTATTATCCAAGACAAAATGGCTAATTAAACCTTCAAGTGTGAAAGGACAGAGCATAAGGACAATAACTTTAGTCTATTGAACATACAGATTTAAGCAATCTGGTAATCTCCTGATTAATCTGCCAACATAAACTAATTTCAACATGTAACTCTATGATTCAGTTGACTGCTCTATAGATCTGTTAAACAGAAATCAATTAAATGTTGGAAGACATTGCCACAATTATGATTTGGATTTTTAAATAATTATTATTAAACTATTGTTTTACTAATTAGGGCCACTTGTCTTTTGAGGCATAAACCATGTTTTCCAAATATAGGGCAATTTTTATATAATTTGTTCTGGATGGCAATAGAACATGTATCTCATTCAGGATTAGTATCAGGTCATTAGGATGAGAGTTTTAAAAAGGAGAGGTGAGGAAGGCAGTCGATATCCCTTTCATCCAGTTTGAATTGATCATCAGATATGTTACTGATATGGTTTGTCTGTGTCCCCACCCAAATCTCATCTTGAATTCCCACGTGTTGTGGGAGGGACCAGGTAGGAGGTAATGAATCATGAGGGCAAGTCTTTCCCATGCTGTTTTCATGATAGTGAATAACTCTCACGAGACCTGATGGTTTTAAAAAGAGGAGTTCCCCTGCACAAGCTCCCTCTCTTTGCCTGCTGCCATCGTGTGAGACATGACTTGCTCTTCCTTGCCCTCTGCCATGATTGTGAGGCTTCGCAGCCACATGGAACTGTAAGTCCAATTAAACCTCTTTCTTTTGTAGATTGCCCGGTCTCAGGTTTGTCTTTATCAGCAGCATGAAAACAGACTAATACATTAAATTGAGGTCTGGCGCCATGGCCCATGCCTGTAATCCCAGCACTTTGGGAGGCCAAGGTGGGCGGATCATCTGAGGTCGGGAGTTTGAGACCAGCCTGACCAAAACCCCATCTCTGCTAAAACTACAAAATTAGCCAGGCATGGTGGTACATGCCTGTAATCCCAGCTACTTGGGAGGCTGAGGCAGGAGAATCGCTTGAACCCAGGAAGTAGAGGTTGTGGTGAGCCAAGATTGCACCATTGCACTCCAGCCTGGGCAACAAGAGCAAAACTCTGTCTCAAAAAAAAAAAAAAAAAAAAATTGTTACCAGTAGAGTGAGATGTTGCTGAAAAGTTACCTGAAAATATGGAAGCAACTTTGGAACTGGGTAACAGGCAGAGGTTGGAAGAGTTTGGAGAGCTCAGAAGAAGACAGGAAAATGTGGGAAAGTTTGGAACTTCCTAGAGGCTTGTTGAATGGCTTTGACAAAAATGCTAATAGTGATATAACAATAAAGTCCAGGCTGAGGTAGTCTCAAATGGAGATGAGGAACTTGTTGGAACTGGAGCAAAGGTGACTTTTGTTATGTTTTAGCAAAGACACTGGTGGCATTTTGCCCCTGCCCTAGAGGTTTGTGGAACTTTGAACTTGAGAGAGAAGATTTAGGGTATCTGGCAGAAGAAATTTCTAAGCAGCAAAGCATTCAAGAGGTGGCTAGGGTGTTGTTAAAAGCATTCAGTCTTATAAGGGAAGCACAGCATAAAAGTTTGGAAAATTTGCAGCCTGACAATACAATGGAAAAGAAAATCCCATTTTCTGAGGAAAAATTCAAGCAGGCTGCAGAAATTTGCATAAGTAACGAAAAGCTGAATATTAATTCCAAAGACAATGGGGAAAATGCCTTCAGGGCGTGTCAGAGGTCTTCATGGCAGACCTTCCCATCACAGGCCAGGAGACCTAGGAGGAAAAAGTGGTTTCGTTGGCTAGGCCCAGGGTCCCTGTGCTGTGTGCAGCCTAGAGACTTGGTGCCCTGCTTTCCAGCTGCTCCAGCTGCAGCTGAAAGGGGCCAACATAGAGCTGGGGCCGTGGCTTCAGAGGGTGCAAGCCTCCAGCCTTGGCAGCTTCCACGTGGTGTTGAGCCTTCTAGTACACAGAAGTCAAGAATTGAGGTTTGGGAATCTTTGCCTAGATTTCAGATGATGTATGGAAATGCCTGGATGTCCAGGCAGAAGTTTTCTGCAGGGGTAGTGCCCTCACGGAGAACCTCTGCTAGGGTGGTGCGAAAGGGAAATGTGGGGTCAGAGCCCCCAGACAGAGTTCCTACTGAGGTACTGCCTAGTGGAGCTGTGAGAAGAGGGCCACTGTCCTCCAGATCACAGAATGGTGGATCCACTGACAGCTTGCACCGTGCACCTGGAAAAGCTGCAGACACTCAACATGGCTTTCCCATGAAAGCAGCCAGAGGGAGGCTGTACCCTGCAAAGCCACAGGGGCAGAGCTGCCCAAGACCATGGGAACCAACCTCTTGCATCAGCATGACTTAGATGTGAGACATGGAGTCAAAGGAGATCATTTTGGATCTTTAAGATATGACTGCCCCACTTGATTTCAGACTTGCAGGGGGCCTGTAGCCCCTTTGTTTTGGCCCATTTCTCCCATTTTGAATGGCTGTAGTTACCCAATGCCTGTACTCCCAGTGTATCTAGGAAGTAACTAACCTGCTTTTGATTTTACAGGCTCATTGGTGGAAGGGACTTGCCTTTGTCTCAGATGAGATGTTGGACTGTGGACTTTTGAGTTAATGCTGAAATGAGTTAACACTTTGGGGGACTGTTGGGAAGGCATGATTGGTTTTGAAACGTGAGGACATGAGATTTGGGAGGGGCCGGGGGCAGAATGGTATGGTTTGGCTGTGTGCCCACCCACATCTCATCTTGAATTCCCACGTGAGAGAGGGACCTGGTGGGAGGTAATTGAATCATGGGGGCAAATCTTTCCTGTCATGTTCTCGTGATAGTGAATAAGTCTCATGAGATCTGATGGTTTTAAAAAGGGGTGTTCCCCTGCATGAGCCCTCCCTTTGCCTATTGCCATCCATGTAGGATGTGACTTGCTCCTCCTTGCCTTCTGCCACAATTGTGAGGCTTTCCCTGCCACATAGAACTGTAAATCCAATTAAACCTCTTCCTTTTGTAAATTGCCCAGTCTTGGGTACGTCTTTATCAGCAGTGTGAAAATGGACTAATACAGTTAAAAAGCTGTTTCTGTTAACCTTTATCGTCAGAGTGGTTTTAAGGTTTATGTGAAAATTGGTAGAAGGATTTCTGTATTCAACTCACAAATTGATTTTGTCTGCAAATTCAATAGCTAAGAAAAGATAGCAGATTACAAATAATCTTACACTGTTCCTTATTGGTTTCCTCACGCAATAACAGGTATGTTCAAAAGGGTGCCCAAAGTTTGCCCACACCTCATGTAGACTAGTGTTATGAGCAGAAAAAGCTACAATGCTTGGCTGGGATCCTATCTTACAGCTGCATAGCTCTTGCAGGATTCCAGTAAGTTCTCCTTTTCTTTGTCTCTGCAGAGCAAGGATAATAATGGCTTTCCACTGTTGCTAATCTCAGGATTCCTCACTATCTATTGGTGATTCGCTTAACCCTGTCATCTAATCATTTATTTATTTATTAGAGATGGGTTCTTGCTCTGTTGCCCAGGCTAGAATGCAGTGGCTATTAACAAGTGCTATCATACTGTACCACAGCCTCAAACTCCTGGCCTCAAGCAATCGACCTACCTCAGCCTCCCAAGTAGCTGGGACTATGGGTGCGCACCACTGTGCCCAGCTTTTATTTTTATAAATGGTCCTTTTATTATATTCTCTTTCTGTGCTTTTTCTTCCCAGAAACCCGATTGATAAAGTTATAGGGATTAGAATTAGTCTCAGAAAAGAGACTCTCAAAATGGCTTTCTAGGATGATATCACTCACATATCTGATGATTACTTGTATAAACTACTTGCCAAGGAAAATGGAACAGTGGTATCCTGTAGCATGGAGTGGCATCACAATTACTCAAACTATCAGCAGTGACATGAAATGGAGTGTCAGTGTAGGGCACAACATTGAAAGATCAATCTCTAGCACTTAGCTGCTGTAACAGTGAGGTTTACTAAAATTATTGTGTCATTTGGCTCTTCTGACTGCTTCTGTGAGAGTACATGAAAACAAGACAAATAGCTTTGGGTTCCAAATACCAGGCATGAATAGAAAATCAGAAAACTTCCTTGACAGCTTTGAAGAAATCCATTATCTCTCATAGCTAAGGGGAAGATATGGCTGAGGACCAAGTCCAGGGCCTGACTATAAAGGCTTTGGAGTTGCAATGTTAATTAAACGTGAGACCCAGTTCTGTTATGCTAAAGTAAGGGCACTGGTGGAGATGGCCTAGAACCTATGACATGGGATGGGGGCATTTGAGCAGATATGAATGAGGCTTAGAACTTTAAACATGAGTTAGAAGAAAGAGTTTCAGTATAGCCCTAATGGGGAAGTACACAGAATGCTCTTGGAGGAGAGCTTATACAATGAAGAAGTTGTAGGATCTTGCTAAATACTTACCTGGGATTCAGATTTGCTCTGTTGACTTGAGCATCTGGAAGTCCTTCTAAGTGGGTTACTAGAAGCTTGTTCTCAATAATAGCTTACAATCTATGTGCTGAGATGCCAGAATTTCCCTGGCATACTGTAGAAGAAAGAATCTCAAGGTTTAGGGAGATGGGATGTTGGATTTGCTCTGTTATAGTCATTCTGCTTAGTCAAACTCTATTCATACCATGCCCAGGAGGGCCCATACAATTTACTCTTTTCAAGGCATTGAATGAGGGAGAACAGATATCCTCGAAAGATTCTTCTGTGGCTGCCCTCAGTGGATTAGAGATGATGATTGGGAGCCCACATTGAAACTGGGATCCATGATTTTATATCCTGGTAGAGGTCAGGTGGCTCAACTGTCAAAGACATGTTTAGCACAGTTACTATAATAACCTTCAGGAAGAAGTGAAATCAGGATGTTTTGATTGCAAGGATAGGTGGTGCTATCCTATTATTAATCCCTGAGTCTCTAGGAATGAATAAAACCATCAGCGTACTTAAGTGCCATTTGACATATGTAGGTGGAAAAATCCTGGGACTGATTGGTAGAAACCTAACTGAAATCTCTGTAACAGAGATTCAAGACATATTACCTGAATCTTAGACATAAACCAATTCACAAACCTGGAGTCCCTTAATTAAGGGTGAGGGCGGATGTCTTTGAGGGAGAGTCCCATAGTGCAGCCAGGTATAAACGGTGACTTTTCCCCAAGGCCATTTCCAGAGGTACTTGTAGCCTTTTACCAGGGTGATTGTGAGCTAAGGAATGGGTGATTCTCATACATTCTGGAGGTTAATTGATATTAGCTCTAAATAATAATCTCTGCAGTCTCAAAATACCGCCAAAATTCCAGTGATTAAAGTAGAGATTTAAGAAAGTCAAGTGGGACTAAAGATCCACTCTGGAGTTATTTTTCCAGTCCCAAAATATATGTGAGTATAGATATATTGAGTAGCAGAATTCCTACATTAGGTTTCTAGGGAGCTATTATGATAGGTAGGAACAAGTGTAACCTCCCTAGCTAACTTCTTACCCATGCCAAAGTAGAATACCAAGATTAAATTTGATCTCCAGGGAAATTACAGAGATTAGTGCCACCATTAAAGATATGAAAGATACAAGTCTTTTCCTTTTAACTCCTCTTGGCTTGTGCAATAGCCAAATTAGTTTTGGAGAATGTGGATTATTAAAAATTTAATCAAATGTTGATGCTAGTCATAGTTGTGGTTCCACATATGGGGGATCTTTACTAGAGCAAATCAGAACAGCTCTTGGCACCTAGAAGGTAGCTATTGACTTGAAAACTAGAAAGTAGCTTTCTTTTCAATTCCCGTCAGCAAAAATAATCAGAAGCAGTTTGCTTTCACATGATTGCAACAGCACTGTCATTGTACTACCTCAGGGATATTTAAAGACTTCTGTTCTATGATAGAGTATCATTCCAGAGGGACCTTTGTTTCCTTGATATCCAGTAGAATATCATGGTAGTCTTTTATCTTGATAACATTATGCAAATTGCACCTTGTGAGCAGGAAGTAGCAACCACCCTACATACTTTAAAAAATACCACTAATACCAGAGAACGAGAGATAAACCCAGTTCAGGAACCTGACACATTAGTGACATTTCTAACAAGGAAGTAGTGCTCTACCTTGTATCATCCACCTTAAAGATGCACAGTGTTTGTTTGGCCTGTTTGTATTTTGAGACAATGTACTGCATTTGCTACTCTTTGACCCATGTAACCTGTATGACTGCCACCTTGTTCATATCACTTGGAACTACATAATGTACTACAGAGAAGGCTATGATGCAAGCTGCCCTGACACTTAGGCTTTAGGATTCAGCAGACCCAATGGTAAACAGGAAACTGTATGGAGTCTCTTGCAACCCCAGTAGGAGAATCCCAATGCAGACCCCTAGGATTTTGGTATAAGAATATGCTGTTGGCCAGGCGCGGTGGCTCACGCCTGTAATCCCAGCATTTAGGGAGGCCGAGGCAGGAGGATCACGAGGTCAGGAGATTGAGATCACGGTGAAACCCCATCTCTCTAAAAATACAAAAAATTAGCTGGGTGCGGTGGCGAGTGCCTGTAGTCCCAGCTACTTGGGAAGCTGAGGCAGGAGAATGGCATGAACCCAGGAGGCAGAGCTTGTAGTGAGCCGAGATCGCGCCACTGCACTCCAGCCTGGGCGACAGAGCGAGATTCCGTCTCAAAAAAAAAAAAAAAAAAAAAAAAAAAAAAAAAAAAAAAAAAGAATATGCTGTTATCTGCTGACAGCTATTGTCTGTTTGAAAGGCAACTCTTGATTTACTTCTAGGTCTTAGTAGAGGCTAGACTCCTGACCACAGGATACTAAGTAACTATGTGACATTAACTGCTCTTTAGAAATTGGGAGTTACCCTGCATGTTCTCACTCATAAGTGAGAGTTGAACAATGAGAACACGTGGACACAGGGAGGGGAACATCACACACCGGGGGCCTGTGGTGTCGGGGGGAGGGGGTTGGGGGCAAGGGGAGAGAGAGCACTAGGACAAATACCTAATGCATACGGGACTTAAAACCTAAATGACAGGTTGATAGGTGCAGCAAACTACCATGGCATATGTATACCTGTGTAACAAACCTGCACATTCTGTACAGGTATCCCAGAACTTAAAGTAAAATTAAAAAAATAAAAGAAAATAAAAGAAATTGGATGTTACCTAATTTACTGGATCGTAAGTTGAACATGGGCAGCAGAATTCCGTTGTCAAATGGAAGAGTATACACTGAGGTGGCCTGAGATGATCTGGAAGACACAAGTAAATCATATGGAACAAATGTCCATTGGACCTGCCCTTACTTCTTTGCCACCTGTTTTTTTTTCAACCCATTATCTATAGGCTCATAGCCATTTAGCAGGGGAAGAAAAAGTTTAGGCTTGGTTTATTAATGGTCTGCATAATATGCTAGCACCAACTTGAAGCAGAGAGCCACAGAATTCTGTGCCCACACCATAATGGGGTGGCCCTGAAAGATAGGAGGAGAAATTCTCCCAGTGGATATAACTTTGAACAATACATCTGGTTGTCCTCTTTTTTAGGAAGAAGAGCTGATCTGAGGTATGGATCTGTACTGATTCATGCACAGTAGCTAATAGGTTGGTCAATTACTTGGAAGGAAGAAGATTTGAGATAAGGAAGTCAGTGGGAGAAGTATTATGGATGGATTCTTAAAATTGCCCAGAATGTGAAAATAACTGTGAACTACAATACTGCCCAGCAGAGGGCATCCATCTCGATAGTTATACAAGAAGATCTGTTCTCCAGGTGTCAATCAGCCTCTTTACACAGTCACTCTAGTGCTTGCTCAGTGTGCCTACGTGACAATAGGAATGTAAGCTAACATTAGATTCAACAATGTAGACTTCTACTTGCCAAGGATAATTCAGTTACTGCCACTATGGAGTGATTAATCTGCTTATAGCAGAGGCCATTGCAGAGATCCCAGTATGATACTGTTCCCTTGACAGATAAGTCAACCATCTGGTGGCAGTTTAATTTCACTAGATTCCTTTCATTATAGAGGGAAGAGTGACCTGTCATCATGGGAATAGATACATATTCTAGGTAGAGGTTTACCTTCCCTGCTTGGAAAGCTTCTATTAGTGCCACAATTCATGGGCTTATGGAATGCCTTGTTTTATCACCATGTATCACAAATATCTTTGAGCAAGAAAGTAATTTTATTATGAGAGAAGTGTGGCAGCAGAGTCATGCCCATGGAATTAACTGATCTTACCCATCACTCAGGAACAGCTAGTTTGATAGGATAGAGGAAAGTATGCAGAAGGATCAATCGTGGTGCTGGCTGAGAGAAAACCCCTGTAAGGATGTAGTATAGGACTCAACCCAGTCACCATTATATGTTGTCATCTACTCAATATTCAGAATGCATGGGCCTGTGAACCAAGAGGCAGAGGTAGGAGTGGCTCTTCTATTATTCCTAATAACTCTCTTGAAAGTTTTTTTCTCTACAACTTTGTCTCTATTATATTGTCCCTATAGGATTGGACTTGGTGAGTTTGGAGGCCCTAGTGCCCAAGGGATTGATACTTTCCCCAGATGACATGGTCACAATTCTATTTAACGGGAAGCTGAAACTGCCATCTGGCTATTTTGGAGTCTTCAGATCACTAAATCAACAGTTAGAGAAGGGGGTCATTGTACTGGTTGGGGTGATTGATTCTAACTACCATGGGGAAATTGGTTATTGCTCCGCAAAGGAAACAAGGAAGACTATGTCTGGAATCCCAGGTATTCACTAGGGTGTCTCTTAGTATTCACATCTCTAATATTACTGGACAGTGGGAAACTGAAGCAACCCAATGAAGATGAGAGCACTAAGGACTTGGATCCTCTGAGACTAAGGTTGGGTGACCCCACCAGATGAGGTATGAGTTAAGGGTTATGGGAAAGTGGAAGCCATGATGATCACTTTGGCCCTTGGGCCCAATAACTACCCTCTTTTCTCTGTCCTTACTATCAGAACCACAATTTTGTTGACCTCTTCCAAGTGGCTATGTCCATCAGGGGAGACTGAGACACTCCCCCGTCTTAGGGAATAAATCTTGATTGGTCTAGCCTCATTTTTCTTATTAAAGGAATGGTTTAGGCTTGGACAATTCTGGACAATGACACAGGAGGAAAAGTCTGCTGGAGTGCTTCTAGGAAGGTTTTCCTTGCTATTAACAGGGTACACAAGACACAGACATGACTTATTCTGTCTCTAGGCATGGATGTCTGCTTCTGATGTGACTAGAATGGCAACTGCCATTTTGAAAACATAAGAGGAGCCAGCATTAGAAAATAAGGTGGCTGGGCGATGGTGGCTCACACTTGTAATCTCAGAGCTTTGGGAGGCTGAGGTGGGAGGATTGCTTGAGCTCGGGAGTTTGAGACCAGCCTGGGGAACATAGTGAGAACTCATCTCTACTGAAAGTTGGGAAAAAATTAGCCAGGCATGGTGGCATGACGCTATAAATGCAGCTACTCAGAAGGCTGAAGCAGGAGGATTGCATGAGCCTGGGAGATGGATGCTGCAATGAGCTATGATTGTACCACTGCACTCCAGCCTGAGTGACAGAGTGAGACCCACTCTCAAAAAAAAAAAAAAAAAAAAAAAAAAGAAGCCAACTATAATGTAACAGGTCCCTCACCAGATTACTGAAGGGTGTGTGTCCACTGCTTGAACTCGGAAGGCCAGGCTGTGAGCCAAGGCCATGATGTCCAGCCAAGGAACAGGTGTTTCTGAGAACCCAAACATCATGGAGAGTATCTGGGAACCTACTAAGAAAAACAGTCTCATTGCTCAAACACAGTAGGCAAAGAGCCAGAAAATTAAAGGCAGTTTAGAGATGGAAAGTAGCACAGGTCTCTAGAGCTGTCCTGCTGCTGCTCAGGAGCGCCCTGTATGTAAGTCCTAATAAACTCATCTACTTGCCAATCTGAACTGTCTGAGTCACGTTTTGGTCTCAGCTCCCTCCCAGTTTGGGAGACCATTATTCTATAAAATCCTGGGCTTTTCTTATAACAATTGGCATCACAAACAGGATCTAAGAGACCAAAGGGAGATTCAGGAAGGGGTGTCTGCAGTGGGAATCCCAGGGTGGTCGACGGCATCCATGTGGGGTGAAATAGTCCAACTGCTCAACCTTTGTGGGCTGCTGCTTGAGTACAGGGATGCTTAGAAAATTCCAGTGGGGAGTAAGCATGTAGTGCAAGGACCTAAGATGTTAAAGTACAATAAGAATAGCAGATGTGCTGTTGCTGTGGTAAGACTGGCTACTGAGAAATTGTTAAAGCAGGAAAAATAGATACAAAAGTTAAGGGAGGAGCTGCAGTTAGAAAGGCACATGCGAGTATCCATGTCGGCCCTGGTTGGGGATTTGGTGGAGAAGGTAGATAAAAGGGAGGAAGGGTTGGAACTCCTGTAGCTTATGTTTCCAAAAACATGGGGAAGTTCAAAGGCATGCCAGGTTTTCTAGGACGCCAGCTGGTTACATATTATGACTCATCCTTGTGCACCTTTTTAAACTGATGGCCAAATTACAGCAAGAAAAATCCAGAGCTCAAATGTTTCACCTTCAGCTATAGTTCATCAGATCTTCTGAAGCTCTCTATTTCTCTCTTTTCTTTTCTGCCTGCTTTGAATCTGTTGTTATTAAACTACTGGTGTTGAAATCAAACTCACTGTTTATGGTACTGCTAATTCAAAGCCACTTGGGGATTTTGTTTTTCTTACACAGGTCAGACAATTCTAACTAAAATGTAAATGTTAGAAACTCATTTGAAACTGAAGAAAAAAAAGAGGGTAAAAGAAGTTTTTTAAAAAATCAAACTGCTATGAAAACTACTTTACCCCAAATTTTTGTCCACAGCCTTCACTGGATTACCTATTAGGCAAATAAAGTTTAGCCATATGAAGGGGTCCCAATTTTGTCAAAAATGATATGGATCCAGTTATCCTTTATAGTCTCATGAGTTTATAATACTATCTCATGGCTAGAGTTCTGAAGTAAAAGGTACTGGGTGTGTGTGTGTGTGCGTGTGTGTGTGTGAGAGAGCATACATGTTTATGTTTATATGTATGTACATGTGTTATATGTTATGTCTGACATGCTACCAACTTGGCTTATAAGTAAATGAGTACTCACACATTAAGGTAAAGTCAAGTACTTTTTAAGTTTGTGTAAATTTAGTAATCTTTAATAAACAAGCTGGATTTAAAATTATTGGTAAAATAAAATAGAAATGTCTTCAGAATTGTCTGCATACATTTTTGTCTAGGTTTACTGATTAGGTAAGTTTTATATTTGCCTCTGCTAGATATTTTAAGATGTCAGAGTTTGACATGAAAGTTATAAGACTGTAAACCCAGCCAAAACCAGAATGATCTTTGTTTGTGTGGTTTTTTTGACAAATAAGACTAATTTAATATAGTTGGTTCAATGAAAGTAACAAAATCTTCTGAATTATCAGCAAAATGCCCATGTGTTTAAGGTTTTTTTTTAATTATTATACTTTAAGTTCTGGGGTACATGTGCGGAACATGCAGGTTTGTTACATAGGCATACACGTGCCATAGTGGTTTGCTGCACCCATATACCCGTCATCTACATTAGGTATTTCTCCTAATGCTATCCCTCCCCTAGCCCCCCACCCCCCAACAGGCCCTGGTGTTTCTCACTCATAAGTGGGAGTTGAACAAAGAGAACACATGGACACAGGGGGAGGGGGGAACTTTAAGGTTTTTACTTAGGTGAACATCTTATATTTACAGGCTATAAAAATGGTTAACAGGAAAATAAGTTAGAATAGTGATTAGATTTGTCTAATATCTCAGTTCTCATGAGTCATCCAGATAAACTGCTAAAAACGAATGAATTGGATAGATATGAATGAGATAAATGCTTATAGGTGAACTCTTGTGTAATTTAAAATCTTAAAATTATTTTAGGTACTCAGTGAATGTCTGAGTGATTTCCAGTTGAAAAAAAAATGTTATAATAGAGGGCATTGGTTGTACTTCTGTACCTGTTAATGGGAAATGAAATCTGTTATGTAGGGGAAGCATTGGTGGACCTCTGTGAGCTGAATAAAAACAAGGACGGAGTCTGAAAATAAATCAAGGAGCAAAAAGAATATGGGCCAAATGGGTGCCTGTACACTTGCCCTAGCCCAGGCAGGCAACGAAGATGAAATAATACTGCCTACCAGGGGAAGATTCTGAGATCACCCAAACAATCCAGAAGTTACATAAGGTACAGATAGGCCAGAACCCCTATAACAGCCCTGTGTGGCCTGTGAAAAAGCCAAATGGCACTTGGAAAATGATGGTAGACTACCATGAGCTAAATGAGGTGGTGCTGCTTGTATCTGCTGCCGTACCCAATATTACTCAACTGCCACAGCAAGTAGTCCTTAAGCTGGGAAGTGTCCGTGCTATGATTGACTTGGATTATGCCTTTTCCAGTATTCCTTTAGTGGAAGATTTACAAGACCAGTTTGCCTTCACTTGGGAGGGCCAATAATGGACTTTCCAGGTACTACCAAAAGGATACCTGCACAACCCCACCATCTATCACAGTATAGTTGCATAGTACCTATCTAGACTCTCTTTGCCTGCCTCAGTCTCTGTGTTTCACTGTATTAATGATATCATGCTAACCTCAGAGTCTCTTGCAGATGTGGAGACTACCCTACAAACCACCTTGGATGGCCTAAAGAACAGGGGATGGGAAGCCAACCCCAAAAAGATACAGGGGCCCGGGATAGGGGCCCAAATTCCTGGGAGTTACCTGGTCAACTAAGACATGAAACATACCTGGAGCTGTCACTGATAAGATAGTACAGCAGCTTGTTCCCCAGACAGTAAAGCAACTGTAGGTTTTCCTAGGTTTACTGGGCTACTGGAGGATATTCATTCCTCATTTGGCACAAACCCTCAGCCCATTGTACACCCTAATGAAGAAGAGTAAAAAATGGGATTGGGCACACATAGAGCAAGAGCCATTTGAGAAAGCAAAAATATTGGTGAAACAAGCCCAAGCACTAGAGGTCCCACTGCCACAGGATCCTTTTGTATTAGAAGTCACTAGAGATGCCACAAGGATGACTTAGGGTTTGTGGCAAAAGCAGCCAATGGGAATGGTAACTGTAGGGTTTTGGTCTCAATTATGTTTCTTTGTTTTGAGATGGAGTCTTGCTCTGTCACCCAGGCTGGAGTGCAGTGGCGTGATCTCGGGTCACTGCAAGCTCCACCTCCCAGGTTCATGCCATTCTCCTGCCTCAGCCTCCCCAGCAGCTGGGACTACAGGCACACACCGCCACGCCCAGCTAATTTTTTTGTATTTTTAGTAGAGACAGGGTTTCACTGTGTTAGCCAGGATGGTCTCGATCTCCTGACCTTGTGATCCGCCTGCCTCAGCCTCCCAAAGTACTGGGATTACAGGTGTGAGCCACTGCACCCGGCCTGGTCTCAATTATGAAAGGGGGCAGAATCCCACTATACAGTCCTAGAGCAACAGCTATTAGCCATGTATAGGGCATTGCAACAAGCAGAGGCCATCACCACCAGAAAGCAGACCACACAATAAAAACTGCCTACCCCATAAAAGGTGGGTGGAAGGCTTTCTAACCAAGCCCGTCTCTGGGGTGGCACAATTACACACCCTGCAGAAATGGCATGCCTGTCTACAACAAAGGGGTGCCCTGTGTACTAGTCCTTAAAGTCAGCTTCTACAGGAGGTGCTTGGACCCATTCACTTTGAACAAGTGGAGGGAGCCAAGATGGCAACGGAACCACCTACCAGGCCAACCATTGTATATAAGGGGACCCCACCAATACCCACTAGGACCTGGTACATTGATGGGTCTAGCAAAGGCACCCAACACCAATGGTCAGTGGTCATGGTACAAATGGATACTGACACCATATAACCATATAGGTACATCATAAGAGCAGCCACAGGGTGGGCCACAGCAAAGGCAGCAGGCATCTCCATCCTCTATGCAGATATTCTAGCAGCTGTTCAGAACTGTGAGACCTACTCACAGCTGAGACCTAGAAGGGTTCCCTCTGCACCAAGTCACATACATAAACCCATACAACCTCCACAGGACTGACAAGTCAATTGTATTGGTCCTGTGCCCTGGAATGGTGGGGAAAGGCATACCTTAACCTGTGTGGACACAACAATGGGGCTACTACTACACAACAATTGGGGCCTTCCCAATAAAACATGCCACCCAGCTGGAGACCATCAAGTGTCTCACTGCTCTTAGTTTCATATATGGCATGCTACGAAGAATATATAATGATCAGAGCTCCCATTCATGGGCCACGATATCCAACACTGGGCATCAGAACAAACCATAGACTGGAGGTTCCACTACCATATAACCCAACAGGGGCAGGACTCACAGAAAAAAAAGGAATGGCCTTTTAAAAACCCAATTACATGCACTGTCCCAGAATGGCTAAGTTCCCTGGACTAAGAATCTCCCTGAAACCATACAAATTTTAAAAGAGTTACCCACTAACACACTTGGCATCATTCCGTATGAATGGGCCTGTAAAATATGCGCCGCAAACTCTCAGCGTTACCTCTGAGACACTGAGCTGTGCTTCTGAAGCAGAAGCCATACTGTGCTCCTAAGAACACCAGTGGATCTGCCAAGTGGCGATGGCTACATGGACCTTCAGGTTTTATGATGCTGGAGGGTGAATGAAGGCTGCTGGAGGATAAGTGATCCCAGCTGTACTCTTTGAGGGAGGTCTGAGAGCCTTATGATATCAACATCAGCAGCACTGATGCCTGCTGGAGTGGTCATAGTGCAGATTGCATAGGCAAGGCTGGAAGCTTACCAATTGGCTACTATACCCACTCCTAGAGAGGGAAGCCATGTGTGGTACTGTAAGCCAGAACTGAAGCCTGTGGCAGCCTCATTAATAGGGCCAATGGGAGAAAATATAGCAATAATAATGTTACAAGGAGTAGATATACCCATGAGGGTCCCTACTGAACATCTGTGTTTGCCTTGTTTCTGCTACCCATGGCAGCTGGTAATGTCTTCTGAACTAGGCTGTGACTACAGCAGCGGTCAGCCACCAGTCCTATTGTGGGGTATGTGGATTCCTCCCCTTGTTAAGTTGCAATGGTATGCCTTGGGATATTCTGCCTTTTGCCTGACAGAACTGGAGTGACTGGTTCAACAGCACCAATAAGGCAACCCAGGATCACTAGGGATTGTCTCTGCAGGAAGGCCTGATTGCCAGTGCAATGGAGACTAAAAGATATGTGCCCTTAGGCCACAAAACAAGTCTCAATAAACTTAAGAAAATCAAAATTATATCAAGTATCTTCTCAGACCACAGTGAAATAAAACTGGAAAATAGCTCCAAAAGGAATCCTCAAAACTATACAAATACATAGAAATTAAATAATCTGCTCTTGAATGATCTTTGGGTTAACAATGAAATCAAGATGGAAATTTAAAAATTCTTTGAACTGAATGATAGTGACACAACTTATCAAAACCGCTGGGATACAGAAAAAATGGTGCTAAGAGGGAAGGTCATAGCATTAAATGCTTACATCAAAAAGTCTGAAAGAGCACAAATAGACAACCTCAAGGAACTAGAGAAACAAGAACCAAACCCAAACCCAGCAGAAAAAAAAATTAACAAAGATCACAGCAGAAACTAAATGAAATTGAAACAAAAAAAATTCAAGACAGATGAAACAAAAAGCTGTTTCTTTGAAAAGATAAACAAAATTGATAGACCATTAGTGAGATTAACTAAGAAAAGAAGAAAGAAGATCCAAATAAGCTCAATTAGAAACAAAATGGAAGATGTTATAACTGATACTACAGAAATACAAAAGATCATTCAAGGCTACTATGAACACCTTTATGTGCACAAACTAGAAAGTCTAAAGGAGATGGATAAATTCCTGGAAATGTACAACCCTCCTGATTAAATCAGGAAGAAATAGAAACTCTGAACAGACCAATAACAAGCAGTGAGATTGAATCGATGATTTTAAAATTGCCAAAAAAAAAATTTCAGGATCAGATGGAGTCACAGCCGAATTGTATCAGACATTCAAAGAAGAATTGGTACCAATTCTACTGAAACTATTTCAAAAGATAAAGAAAGATGGAATCCTCCCTAAATCATTCTTTGAAGGCAGTATTACCCTAATACCAAAACCAGGAAAGGCCATAACAAAAAAAGAAAACTACAGACCATTATCTCTGATGAACATAGATGCAAAAAATTGTAACAAAATACTAGCTTTCTGAATCTAATAGCATATCAAAAAGATAATATACATGATGAAGTGGATTTCATACCAGGGATTCAGGGATGGTTTAACATATGCAAATCAATAAATGTAATACATCATATAAACAAAAATTATGTGATAATCTCAGTAGGCACAGGAAAAGCATTTGATAAAATCCAGCATCCTTTCATGATCAAAACCCTCAAAAAATTGTCATAGATGGGACATACCTCAAAGTAATAAAAGCCATCTATGACACACCAACAGGCAACACAATACCAAACAAGGAAAATTTGAAAGCATTCCCCCAGAGAACTAGAACAAGACAAGAATACCCACTTTCACCACTTCTACTCAACATAGTACTGGAAATCCTAGCCAGAGCAGTCAGACAAAAGAAAGAAATAAAGGGTATTCAAATTGGAAAAGAGGAAGTCAAACTGTTGCTGTTCGCCGATGATATGATCATGTACCTAGAAAACCCTAAAGACTCATCCAAAAATCTAGACCTGATAAATGAGTTCAGTAAAGTTTCGGGATACAAAATCAATGTACACAAATCAGTAGCACTGCTATATACCAACAATGACAAAGCTGAGAATCAAATCAAGTACTCAATCCCTTTTACAACAGCTGCAAAAAAAAATTAATTAAATAAAATACTTAGGAATATGCTTAACCAAGGAGGTGAGAGTTCTCTACAAGGAAAATTACAAAACACTGAAAGAAATCATAGATGACACAAACAAATGGAAACACATCCCATGCTCATGAATAGGTAGAATCAATATTGTGAACATGACCATACTGCCAAAAGCAATATACAGATGCAATGCAATTCCCATCAAAATACCATCATCATTCTTCACAGAACTAGAAAAATATCCTAAAATTTGTATGGAACCAAAAAAGAGCCCACATAGCCAAAGCAGTAATAAGAAAAAGAACAAATCTGGAGGCATCACATTACCTGACTTCAAATTTTGCTGTGAGGCTATAGTTACCAAAACAACGTGGTACTGCTATAAAAATAGGCATGTAGACCAATGGAACAGAATAGAGAACCCAGAAATAAAGCCAAATACTTACAGCTAACTGGTCGTCGACAAAACAAACAAAAACATAAAGTGGGGAAAGGATACCCTATTCAATAAATGGTGCTGGGATAACTGGCAAGCCACATGTAGAATGAAACTGGATCCTCATCTCTCACCTTATAGAAAAATCAACTCAAGATGGATCAAAGACTTAAACCTAAGAACTGAAACCACAAAGATTCTAGAAGATAACATCAGAAAAACTCTTATAGACATGGGCTTAGGCAAAGAATTCATGACTAAGAATCCGAAAGCAAATGCAACAAAAACAAAAATAAATAAATGGGGCCAGGCATGGTGGCTCACGCCTGTAATCTCAGCACTTTGGGAGGCTGAGGCGGGTAGATTACTTGAGGTCAGGAGTTCAAGACCAGCCTGGCAAACATGGTGAAACCCTGTCTCTACTAAAAATACAAAAAAATAGCCATGCATGGTGGTGTGTGCCTGTAGTCACAGCTACTCAGGAGGCTGAAGCAGGAGAATGCAGTGAGCCGAGATCGTGCCACTGCACTCCAGCCTGGGTGACAAAGCAAGACTCCGTTTCAAAAAAAAAAAAAAAGTGGGTAAAGGACATGAATAGACAATTCTTGAAAAAATATATACAGACAGCCAACAAACATTGAAAAAATGCTCAAAATCACTATAAGGGAAATGCAAATCAAAACCACAATGAGATACAACCTCATTCCTGCAGGAATGGCCATAATTTAAAAATTAAAAAAAAATAGATGTTGGCATGGATGTGGTGAAAAGGGAGCTCTTTTACGCTGCTGGTGGGAATGTAAACTAGTACAACCACTACGGAAAACAGTATGGATACCCCTTAAAGAACTAAAAGTGGAACTACCATTTGACCCAGCAATCCCACTACTGGGTGTTTACCCAAAGGAAAATAAGTCATTATGTGAAAAAGATGAATGCACACGCATGTTTGTAGCAGCACAATTCACAATTACAAAGATATGGAACCAAGCTAAATGCCCATCAACCAATGAGCGGATAAAGGAAATGTGGTATATATACACCATGGAATATTACTCAGCCATAAAACAGAACAAAATAATGGCCTTTGCAGCAACTTGGATGGAGTTGGAGGCCATTATTCTAAGTGAAGTAACTCAGGAATGGAAAACCAAATATTGTATGTTCTCACTTAAAAGTGAGAGTTAAGCTATGAGGATGCAAAGGCATAAGAATGATATAATGGACTTTGGGGACTCCGGGCAAAGGGTCGGGAGGGTGAGCAATGGAAGACTACATATTTGGTACAGTATACTCTGCTCCAGTGACAGGTGCAGCAGAATCTCAGAAATCACCACTAAAGAACTTATTAATGTAACAAAAAAAATCTGTTCCCCAAAAACTATTGAAATTTTTAAAAAGTTTTTTTTTTTTAATCCACAAAAACCAATACGTACCCTTAGAGGCACTACCTGTTGTGCCTATATGCCTGATGAAGAGAACAGTGTCACAAATGTTTTAAATCATTTGTCAACTCAAATTCGTTATATAACCCGATTAAGCTTCTTTGACTCATTCTCAAATTGGTTACACACCTTACCTACTCATTGGAGTTACGTTTTGCTAACAGGCATCATAATTGTAGTTAGCTTCTGCTTTTTATGATGTTTTGTATACTGTAGATGTGGCTTGTACGCACAAGCCATGGCTATACTTTATAGGTCTGTATAGTTCTTCCCCTCATACCCCACTCAAGGACTTTCATGCAAGATTGGTGGGAAGAATATAAAGAGCTGGGGAATGGGGTGGATTGTAGTGTGATGTGTCCCCACTAGGTTATTTAAGGTGTACATCCACTGCTTGAATGGGGAAGGCGGGGCAGTGAGCCAAGACCATGATGCCCACTGGAGGAGCAGGTGTCCCTGAGAACCCAAATATCTCAGATGGTATCTGAGAACTTATCAAGGAAAACAATCTCATTGCTCAAACACAGTAGGCAAAGAAGTTACAGAAAATTTGTTTAAAAGCAGTTTAGAGATGGGAGGTGGCATGGATCTCTAGAGCTATCCTGCTGCTGCCCAGAAGTGTCCTGTATAAGTCCTCACAAACTCATCCACTCGCTGGGCTGGACTCGTCTGAGTCATTCTTCAGTCTCTTGGTTCCCTCCCAGCTTGGGAGAACATTTTTCTATACAGTCCTGGATTTTTCTCATAACACCAACACATGGAAGATGGTAGAGTGCACCTTTGTCTTTTTGGCAAAGTCTTCTGGTTATTTTCCAATGTCTATTTCCCTTCTTCGTTTAGTATTAGACCCCAAAATTTTTGTTACATATACGGTATATTTATCAATGAGGTGGGACATGGTAGGTCAATGGTATTTGAGTGGAGATGATGTGTGCACTTTCTGGGTTGTACCCTTAGAGAGAATGGATATATTCACTTCTTCCCTTTTACCCTTCTGTATGGCTAGAATGAAAATGTGAATGCCCACACTAGAGCAGCCATCATGGAACATATGATAGAAGCCCCAAGTGAAAGATGGAAGAAGGCATGAAGAACTTTAGTTCCTTCATTTTTGTTTTGTTTTGTTTTGTTTGTTTGTTTGTTTTTGAGACGGAGTCTCGCTCTGTCACCCAGGCTGGAGTGCAGTGGCGTGATCTTGGCTCACTGCAACCTCTGCCTCCCGGGTTCAAGCAATTCTCCTGCCTCAGCCTCCTGAGTAGCTGGGACTACAGGTGCACGCCACCCGTCCCGGCTAATTTTTTGTATTTTTTAGTAGAGACGGGGTTTCACCGTGTTGCCCAGGCTGGTTTGAAACTCCTGAGCTCAGGCAATCTGCCCGCCTTGGCCTCTCAAAGTGCTGGGATTACAGGCATGAGCCACCGTGGCCAGCCAGTTCCTTCATATTTTGAAGCCACGGTATTATCCCTGGATGGCTTATGCTCAGATTATTTCATAAGACCAAAATAAATATTTGTCTTATTTCAGCCGTTGTAATTTTTATAGTAGCCAAAGCTATATCCTAACTAATATAGTCCATGATACCACTGAGCTGATGAACTGACCACCATAGAACCAGTCTATCTTTAAACAAATTGTTGCATGAAAGTAAATGTCATTTTTTGGTTAAGCCATTTTGTGTTACCGCCAAAAGCATTCTAATTGACATAAATACTTTTCTAAGATTGCTATTTATAGAGGGAAGGAGCAAATTGAACCATCAACTATTGAGAAACTTCTGATTGAGGGAGCCCTTTACTTATGATGGAGGAAAATGAGCATGGTGAAAGAACCAATGGAAGAAAAAATAATTGAGGATACAGGGGGAAGAGAATAGTTTGTGGAGTAACATCCCGGAAGAGTCAGGAAGAGAGAGGATTTAAAGTACTAAAGTTCAAATGGAGTAATACCTTTTCTTCTTTTATTCTGATTTAAAATGAACTTGACTTTTGACTTTTTAAAAACATTTGTATTTTAAAAACATAATTCACATACCATAAAATTCACCAACTTAGATTGTACAATTCAGTGGAGTTTTTTTGTTTTGTTTCATTTTTTGAGACAGGGTCTTGCTCTGTCATCCAGGCTGAAGTGCAGCGGCCTGAATCCTTGAACTCCTGGGCTCAAGGGATCCTCCCACCTCAGCCTCTTGAGTAGCTGGGACTGCAGGTGCACATCACTGCACCTGGCTAGTTTTTCTATTTTTTTTATAGAGATGGGGTCTTTGTATGTTGTACAGGCTGGTCTCGAACTCCTGGCCTCAAGTGATCCTCCCACCTCAGCTTCCCAAAGTGCTGGGATTACAGGCGTGAGCCACTGCACCCAGCCTAATCCAGTGGCTTTAGTATACCCAAGAGTTGTGCAAAGTTGATTTCATGATGAATTCTAAAACATTTTCATTGCCCCCAAAAGAAACCTCATACTCATTAGCAGTCACTCTCCAATTTCTCCCCAACCTCCCACTCCTTTCTTCCATCCCTAAGCAACAATTAATCTACTTTCTGCCTCTTTAGATTTGCCTATTCTATAAATTTCATATAAATGGAATCATATAATATGTGGTCTTTGTGGCTGGCTACTTTCATTTACTATAATGTTTTCAAGGTCCATCCATGTTGTACCATATATTGGTACTCAATAACTTTTTATGATCAAATAATGTTCTATTATATGGATATACTACATTTTGTTTATCCATTCACTAGTTATTTGGCACTGGGATTGTTTCCACCTTTTGGCTATTATGAATAATGCTGTTATGCATATTCCTGTACAAGTTTTTTTGTGGACATATATTGTAATTTCTTTAGGGTGTATATCTAGGAGTGCTAATGTATATGGCAATTCTATGTTTAACTTTTTGAGGAACTGCTAGACTTTTTCCCAAAGTATCTGCACCATTTTATATTTCCATCAGCAGTTTATGAGGGTGCCAATTTCTCCACATCTCACCAACACTTGTTATTATCTTTTTGATTATAGTCATCATAGTAAGCATTTTAAAACTTATTCTGGAGAATGTGAAACATTACTGTTCTAAGACTCAGAGTTATATAAAAGCATTACACTTAGAGAAATATCAGTCCCCTTAATCCCTACTACCCTCTTCCCATTCTTCCATTATTTCTACCCTATTCCCACCCATCTCCCGTAGGTGACCAATCTCATTGGTTTCTGGTTTAGTCTTGCTGTATTTATTTTTCACAGATGAATGGATACTTTTTTCATATCCTTTCCTTTTTCCAGGAATGGTATACTATTTTCACTTTTTCCTCCTCATTTAACATTGTATTCTGGAAATCACTCTGTATTAGCTTATAAAGATCTTCTGTATTCTTTTTCACACCTACATAACATTCTATTGCGTATATGTATTATAATGTATTCAACCACTCATCTATATGTGGGCATTCAGGTTGTTTCCAGCATTTTACAATAACAAAAAGTAATGTAATACATAACCATGTATGTTTATATTTTCATACTATTGAGGTATTTCTTCAGAGTAGATTAAACTTATGATTAAAAAGATGCATTCTAGCAATGTCCACTGAAAGGGTCTAGAAACAGTGATCTTCACCCAGCAATGAGCACAACTAGCACCCACGTCTTGGTTTCTAAACACCTTTTCTCGTTAAAAGGAGCCACAGCATCTTGGAGAAATGGCTATTCTAGTTCTAAGATAGGGAAAATACAAAGGAACCTGAAACATTTTCTTTTACCAGAATACAGGGAACTGCTCAAAGACAAAAAGGGACAATGTTAAAAGGACACACGAGCTGACCCTCAGCCAAATTAGGGGAATTTAGGCATTAAAAAGAATGGTGATGCATAGCACAATTTTTTTAAAAGCTTCCATTAATTTATAGAGGGACTCAACATAGAAAAGTGGGAGAGGGAATGCCAGCTACTTAATTTAAAAGACATGACATCAAGAGGCTGAGGTGGGCAGATCGCTTGAGCTCATGAGTTTGAGACCAGCCTGGGCAACATGGAGAAACCCCGTCTCTACATACAAAAACAGCCAGGCGTGCTGGCGACCGCCAGTAATCCCAGCTACTTGAGAGGCTGAGGCATGAGAATCGCTTGAACCTGGGAGGTGGAGGTTGTAGTGAGCTGAGATCACGCCACTGCACTCCGGCCTGGGCAACAGAGGGAGACTGTGTCTGGAAAACAAACAAACAACAGATAATGATTTTAAAGCCTCCATTTAAAAAATCACTAATATGAAATTGATTCAGGCAAGGATCAATGGATGCTAAAATCAGTGGATGAAAAGTTATTGGCCAATAGTACAAAAAGTCACATACAGAGAGCTATTTATTTAAGCATTTTTTTGTGATTCACACAGTCTCAAAGTATTCACCTGCAGATTACTTACTAATTATAAACACAACAGGTTTTTAAAAAATTAATTTCTTTTTCAATTGGGCATAGGTGTTGAATTATATAAATTTTTTCTTTTTTGTGTGTAATCTATTGTACTCTTAAAAATGGGATTCATATGAAAGGGATTTTCAGGCTGGAATGTAAGCTGAGAATGATAGTAAAGGAATATAAGAAGAAAAGCAGACCACACTTCTCTTTTGTTCTATGAACTTGGTTTATAGGTATAAGGATGAGATAATGTCTGTCTTCCTATGTTGTTTCATTAATGTCATTTCAACTCTGTTGAGCACAGACTTCTTTAAAACCATGTTGTAAACTTGGTTACAGTGTTCACGACTCTGCAGTCACTAGAACCAGTAACTGAAATATAATGCATAAGATTTGGCAGTGGTGGGGGAGTTTGTTTTCAGATATGTTGATGTTCAAATGTCAGTAGGAAAACAACGTGAGGATAACCTTAGGCAGTTATAAACACACCTCTGGTATAATGTCCTCTCTTCTAGAGGGCAGAAGACTACAAGTATAGATTTGGGAATCATCAGCATGGAGGTCCTGTCTGAAGCCATCATAGTAAATTACATTGAGAGAGTGTAGCGTGAGGAGTTGCTTACCATGAGGAATTAGCAGAGATCATGGATCTGGTAATTAAGAGGCTGGCAGTGATCTCCTAAGAACCGATCAGTACAGAGTGTGAGTAACAACCAAATGGCAGAAGGAAACTGTAAGGGACGGCATGATGGTATCTTGAGGTTGAGGTAGTATAAAGGGACAGTGTTTCCAGGTTACTGAAAACAACTAAGTTTGTAGCAGAGAGAAAGCAGTGAAAAGGGAAAGATTGAAAGTATTTTTATTTTTTTTCTTTTCCTTTCAAAATTGTCTGCAACCTTTATGGCTGCCAGGGCCCACCCATACCCAGACTATGTAGTATGATTTCAGCTCAAATAATTGCTATTGGACTATAGGTCTGGACCTTATCTTTGCAAATCTAGTGGGAAATTTTACCCAGTGGATATTGAGTTACAGATCGTAATGAATCTACAGCTTTCATTTATCTTGATCTTCTTGATATAAATTTTGCTATTCTAATTTTAAGACAAACTACTCAGTATACATATACAAAAATGCATGATACCCTCTTTACTAACATGACCTTGCTTTTAAAATGGAAAAAAAAATGGGTGCCTCGTAGATAAATGCACATTATTTTAGCTACTTTGGCTATATAAATGTTGCCAGCTTGTTTGTACTAATGTATAACCGTGCTTGAAACAGGTATTTGAACATCCAGAATCATGCAGTATATCGGTTTGTGTATTTCTGATAACGCTGTTAAATTCTTTGAGAGTGTGTTCGAGGGGGGTGCTGTTTATTTGTTTGTGTTTTCCGTTGAAAATGTTGCGGTACGTGGTCTATCACTGTCTTCACGGTCTGGGGGTGGACTGAGGTAGGGAGGGTGTGACGCTGGTATCTGTGTGAACTCGGGCTTGTGATGCTGAGCTTGGTTCATCTGCTTTCTCCTCCCTTTTCCTCCCCACTCCTTCCCACCAGCGCCACAGCAACATCCTCAGAGTCTGAGCGAACTGCGCCCAGCGCGGGCACGGAGCCTCCCACCGCCAGCAACCTGCGGCCCCGGAGAAGGCAGCGAGCGCAGTGACAGCGCCTCACCGCCACCAGCTCCTGGACCACCATGGCCAAGAACCGCAGGGACAGAAACAGTTGGGGTGAGTAGCAAATGAGAACTTCTGCAGCCTGCACGGGGTCTTCTGGCCCTCCACTTTCTGCTTCTGTGGAGACAGGGAGGGCCAAGGGCTGCTAGGTGCCTGCGTCCACGGCTGGGAGACGGGCCGTAGCCGAGCCGCTCCCTGTTTGGGCGGAGGAACCATGGCCGAGCGGTACCCGCGTCACCGAATCGCGCTGTCGGGGTGAGGGCTGCAGCTTCGCGCAGGCCGGGCCTCCAGCTCCTTCTTCCCCACCCCCCTCCCGCCTCCTCCCAGCATTTGGACAGCACCCACCAGGCGCCTCCGGGGACTTGTGGGTTCCGCCTTAGCGATCGGTTGGGAGGAAGGCTATGGGGGTGGGCAGGGGGCTGTTGTTACTCGGCCCCAGAGGGGCGAGGGGTCGGGGATCTAGAGCAGGCCAAGCCCCAACCCCCCTCCCCGGGAGCCGCCAACTCGCTGGCTCTGCAGGGCGCGGGCTCCCGGCGGCGGGCGGCGGGCGGCGCGCTGGAACAATGAGGCGGAGCGCGCCGGGTCCCGGACGGACGGTAGCAGACCGAGCAACTGGGAGAAGGGCCACCCTCTTGGGAATTCCTGAGCACTGCAGTACTCCTCTTAATTTGGGGGTTGGGTGGGGGAATTGGGGAAGAAGGAGAGCAAAGTTGTGGTTTCCAGCCTTCTGCCCCACCCCGACGTGGTACCCCATTCAGACCAGCCCCAAGGGTGGCTTTGTTCTTTGATTTTACCTTTTGGAGACATTGGGCTCATGATTCAGCACCAGGCCGAGGGGAGGGGAAAGGAGAGGCGAGACCCAGTATGTTCACACCGCGAGTGGGTGGGCGGTGCTCACGCAGGCGGAGAAGAACGGGCGCAGCGATGCGGAAGAAATCGCGGCCCCGCCCGCCTTGCTGCTCCAGACCTAGTTCTGGACGGTTAGTGTGGGCAGGCTGGGCGTCTTTTTGTCGTAGGTTCCCGATTTCTTGCAGTCACAGTGCTAAACTCACCAGCATCTTAGGAACGAAAGCCCTCTAAGGCATTTATTTTATTATCTGAACCAGAGAATGTCTCAGGCTACTGTGGCTTGGTGGGTAAATAAATATTTTGTTCATCAGCTTGTTATTTAGAAATTGTTATTTGGAAATAACAGTTGTTATTATTTGAAAAGTTCAGAGCTGCTTGATTCTGTTCCACATCTCAGTGAGAGCTCTTCTATAACTGTTTATTTGAGCGAGAGGCACAAATGTAAATTTTAATTGGTTATTTCAGTTTACTTTAATCAAAAGACCGTGTATCTCCTTGCCTCTGATTGTTCTAATGGTCACAGGATACGGTAGACAAGGTTTACATTTGGGAGATTATCCAAGGTTTGTGGTAGGCATGGAGAGTTGGAGCGGGGAGGTCTGTCATGACTTAGCTGAGTTTAAGAGAAAGTGGTTCCATTTTCTGAGATCATGAAACTTCAGTTTTAACAGACCTACCTGACTATTGCAATAAGTTTTATTTCCTTCTTCTGAAATTTAAGTAAGCATTTGCAGTGTATCCCCTTTCCACCCGTTCTCTTGGCCTCTAGAATAGGAATTTATTGAACACACACAATTAGGGTGCGTATATTCAAGTCACTTTTGGTCTCAGTCTCCATGAATTGTTGTCTCCACCCTGTTAACAGAAGCATGTGAAAATGTATTCTGAGGATTAAAATTTTTCTCCTTTATGAAGCTTTGGATCATTATTGCGCAGAATTTCCTTTGGCTATAAACTTTTTTTTTTTTGAGATGGAGTCTTGCTCTGTCGCCTAGGCTGGAGTGCAGTGGTGCCTTCTGGGCTCACTGCAAGCTCCACCTCCCGGGTTCACGCCATTCTCCTGCCTCAACCTCCCGAGCAGCTGGGACTACAGGCGCCTGCCACCGTGCCCGGCTAATTTTTTGTATTTTTAGTAGAGACAGAGTTTCACCATGTTAGCCAGGATGGTTTCGATCTCCTGACCTCGTGATCCGCCCGCCTCGGCCTCCCAAAGTGCTGGGATTACAGGAGCGAGCCACCATTCCCGGCCTTATAAACTTCTTATGTAGTGGGAGTTTTTCCCTCTTGGGAACATGGTTCTCACATCCGGTTTTCATAAAAATCACACAGGGACTTATTAGAAATGCAGACTCTCCCATCTTCCAGCCAGAGCTTTGGAATCAATAGATCTGAAAGAGGGCCTAGAAATCTGCCTTTTAATTAGCATTTTAGGTGATTGGGAAGCAGATGGTCTTTAGGTGTTACTTTGAGAAATACTACCTTAGATTATTTACATTTGATAGAAACATCTCAGATAGTTTACCCAGAAGTCATCAGGAAAGTTTCAACTCAAGTGATGGATTAGGAAAAGAAATACTAGAATCACTATAGTGTTTACTGGAAATTATTATAGAAAAGAAAGAGTGGAATTCTGGACTCTTATCTTGATGTTCTATGGAAATGCTTTACTACTTAGATTTTTCTTTGCTGTTAAGTACATATGACATAAATGACTTAGAAAATGTAGTAGATGGAGTAGGAGATAGAGGTTTTGGCACAGATATTAGCCCTGTCAGTCTTAATTCCATTTTATTACCAGTATCTAATAGAATGCCTAACACAGTAGGCATTTAGTAACAGCAATAGTAGCCAACATCGTTAAGCTAATGTCATATGAAATAGGTGCTGTAATACTCATTTTACATATTAAAAGGTAAAGCTAGTAGATGATTGACCCAGGATTCCTGCTCTGGCAGTTTGAATTCAGATTCCTTTATCTTCTATCTCTTTGTTGAATGGATAATACCTTCTGTATTATATTATAGAACTACAGTTTCAATGCATATTCATCTGCATTATTGCATTTGATCTTCAACCTCTTAAGTATGTGTCTTAGGGCATATCACTATTTTGCAGATGAAAAAACTAACTCAGAGGTGAGTTAAATGATTTGGTGAAAGTCATGTATTTGGTAAGTAAAAGGACTGAAATTAGAATCTGGGTTTTTTTCCTAATTTATTTTCTATAACATGATATTGTGGAATGTTTTCATGGAGAGAATGGGGTGGGGTGTGAAGATAATAGAGAAAACAGATCCTTGTAGTAGACAGAGGTCTCTCATGAGAAAAATCTTATGAGAGCTTAAAAAAGAAGACAGTGAACTGACCTTATCTAGCTAAGTAAGTATTTTTCAGACAAGTTAGAAAGAAAAAGGCATCAAGGTAGACAATCCAGAATGAGAAAATACAGTGATTTCCAAGAAAAGGGCAAGGAAGATATTTGCAAAATCAGCATGAGAGCTAAAATTTAGATAAGGAATCTAAGGACCATATAACAGGTGTTTTTATCTTAGTAGCTAGAGACCTGTAGGTCTTACAGGGACCATGAAAGCTACACAGCAGAAAAGCATCTCTGCTGACTGCTAGAATTGAGGACGATGTTTGAAGACCATACCCAGAGATAAAACTGGGAAGCGAGTCTGAGTAGAACTGAGCATCCTACCATCTGTACCTAAATCTACTCTTAAGATGTTTGAATAAATTTAAGCATATAAAAGTCAATTCTTCCAAAATAGGCATTGTTATTATTAATCATTTGAATGTATAAGAGATCTGAGATTCAGAGAGCATAAATGACTTGCCAGAGGTACCATAGTTTCTAGGTTATAGATCTAGTATTCAAATTCAGAGTTGTTTGCTTCCACAGTCCATGCGATGAGGACAAGGAATAGTATGCCAAAAGGTACCACAACAAGCTTATCTAGGATTAAGCTGATATAAGAAATCAATGCTGTATAAATTTGATCATTTGGACTAGAGAAGTAGGCAAAGAATGTGCTAGTGTGGAAAATAAAGGGGACAGATAAGTATCAGAAACAGTAGCCCAGAAAGCAGTCTTGCACTGCTTGGTCAGAGCTTAAGTGCTACCAGAAACAAAACAGAAATGCATACTTTGTTTGTTTGTTTTTGTCAAAGTTGCTTAAAAACTTGGGATACCACCTGGGAATTTGAGTTTTCTACAATGTAACAGAAACAGATAGTGCAAAACTGCTTTAGAAAAATAGTATTCGCACTAGGCTGGGCGTGGTGGCTCATGCTTGTAATCCCAGCACTTTGGGAAGCTAAGGCGGGCAGATCAGGAGGTCAGGAGATGGAGACCATCCTGGCTGACACGGTGAAACCCCGTCTCTACTGAAAATACAAAAAATTAGCCGGGTATGGTGGCATGCACTTGTAATCCCAGCTACTCGGGAGGCTGAGGCAGGAGAATCGCTTGAACCCGGGAGGCGGAGGTTGCAGTGAGCCAAGATCCGCCGCTGCACTCCAGCCTGGGCGACAGAGCAAGATTCCGTCTCAAAAAAAAAAAAAAAAAAAAAAAAAAAAAAGAAGAAGAAAAGGAAAAAGAACGATAGTATTCGCAGCAAAGTATCAGCTTTGACTACCTTTAAAAATAACTATCTTAGCTTCACAGTAAGTGTAGGAAATGCCTATTTGTTGAAAAGGCATTTGTGGAAAATTAATTTTTAGGTTTCTGGTTTTGAGGAAAGATTTAAAACAATCTTGAGTGTACTATAGTTACCTCATGATCTTCTTTCTTTTCCAGTTGGCTATATTCTATTTTTCTTGAAATGAGACCGTCTGTCCCTTTTTACCTACCTCATCTTCTATATACCTAATTCTTCTAAAACAATATAAAATTTCTACTTGGTCTTGGCTGGACACGGTAGCTCATGCCTATAATCCCAGAACTTTGGGAGGCCAAGGTGGGCAGATCACCTGAGGTCAGGAGTTCGAGACCAGCCTGGGTAACACGGTGAAACCCCATCTCTACTAAAAATGTAAAAAAAATTAGCCGGGTGTGGTGGTGGGCACCTGTAGTCCCAGCTACTTGGGAGGCTAAGGCAGGAGAATGGTGTGAACCTGGGAGGCAGAGGTTGCAGTGAGCCGAGATCGCACTACTGCACTCCAGCCTGGGCCACAGAGTGAGACTCCATCTCAAAATAAATAAATAAATAAAAAACAAACAAAAAAAACCACCCCAAATTAGCTGGGCATGATGGTGCATGCTTGTAATCCCAGCTACTAGGGAAGCTGAGGCAGGAGGATCACTTGAACCCAGGAGGTAGAGGTTGCAGTGAGCTGAGATCGCACCACTGTACTCCAGCCTGGGTGGCAGAATGAGACTTCATCTCAAAAAAAAAAAAATTCTACTGGGTCATACATGTACTGTATGATATGTACTATATATAAGACATGTACTGTAGATTTTCCTTCCCTACATTTTTTAAGTTGCCTTCCCTGCATCTTTTCAAATGTACTTTTCCTATGTATATTTTTTATACTTAACATCTGCTTACCTTGTCTTGATGACTCAAGGGTTACACCTTTGCTGCATTTCAGACTCTGCAGACTTTATTATCTTTAGAATCAGTGGCTACACTGTAGGCAGAACCTGTGATCACCAGGGAAATAATCCACTGTGTAGTACTTCCAGTAATAAAAAAAGATTTTAGATTTGGAAGGTCTTCCTCTTTTACATAAAAATTTCTTATGAAACATATATGTATACAAAATAACATGTAAAACGTGTTCAGTTTTAAAAAAGGAATGAGCACCTGTGCCCCCCAGCCAAAGAAATAGAACATTATCAATATTTTGTCACTCCTTGTATGCCTCTCCTTAAGGACAACCTGTTTTGTTTTGTTTTCTTTTGTTTTGTTTTTGAGACAGAGTCTCTCTCTGTCACCCAGGCTGGAGTGCAATGGTGCAATCTCAGCTCACTGCAACCTCCGCCTCCCAGGTTCAAGCAATTCTCCTGCCTCAGCCTCCTGAGTAGCTGGGATTACAGGTGCCCGCCACCACACCCAGCTAATTTTTGTATTTTTAGTAGAGATGGGGTTTCCCCAGATTGGTCAGACTGGTCTCAAACTCCTGACCTCAGGTGATCCACCCACCTCAGCCCCCCAAAGTGCTGGGATTACAGGCGTGAGCCACTGCACCCGGCCAGGACAACCTGTTCTTACCCTCTCCAAAGGTAAACACTTTCATTAATTTGAAGTTTCTAATTCTCTTGATAATTTTTACAGTTTAGCTATAAATAAATATATATATATCCCTAAATAATATACTATTTAGTTTTACATTTGAAGAGCCTAATATAAAGGGAATCTAGAGTGTGCATTTTTCCACAAGATATTTTGTTCACTCCACATCCTTACCCATAGTTGGTAATATGATAGGTCTGAAATGGTATCTCATTGTAGTTTCAATCTGCATTTTACTGATTACCAGTGAGATGTGAGCATATATTTATTGTCCATTCACATTTCCTCCTCAGTGCCTGTTTGCCCTTTGCCCATTTTAAAATTAGGTTATCTTTTTCTTCTTGCTTTGTAGGAGTTTTATACATATTTTTTATATAAGTCCTTTGCTGATTGTCTTATAGATCTCTTTTACCACTTTTTGCATGACTTTGATCTCTATGGTGTATTTTAATAAACAGACATTATGTATTTAAACGTAGTCCATTTAAACAATATTTTCCTTTATGGCTTGTACTTTTTATATTTAAAAAAATCTTCTCTTACCTCAAAGTTATAAAATCGTCTTCTATATTATCTGGTTTTAAAATTTTACACTTCATTTTTTTTCAGTTTTTAAAATTTGTGGTAAAATACACATAACATAAATTTTACCATCATAACCATTTTTAAATGTACAGTTCCGTGATACTAGTACACAAGTAAAATATTGTTGTGTAGCTATCACCACTGTCTATCTCCCGAACTCTTCATCTTGCAAAACTGAAACTCTGTGCCCATTAAACAGTAACTCCTCATCCCTCCTCATGGCTACTAGCAGCCACCATTCTACTTTCTTTCACTATGACTTTGACTACTCTGTGTACCTCACGTTAGTGGAATGATACATTTTTTTTTTTACTGGCTTTTTCACATAGCAAAATGTCCTCAAGTTTCATCCATATTGTAGAATATATCACAACTTCCTTCTTTTTTAAGGCTGAATAGCATTCCGTTGTAAGTATACACCACATTTTTTTATCCATTCATCTGTTGACAGACACTGGGTTGCTTTCACATTTTAGCTATTGTGAATGATGCTTCTATGAACATGGTGTACAAGTATCCCTTTGAGACCCTGCTTTCAATTCTTTTGGGTATATACCCAGAAGTGGAATTGCTGGATCTTATGGTAATTCTATTTTTAATGTTTTAAGGAACTGCTATACTGTTTTCCACAGAGGTTGTACCATTTTATGTTCTCATCAACAGTGCACACAGGTTTAAATTTTTTCATATCTTCGCCAACACTTGTTATGTTCTGTTTTTTAAAAAATAGTTGTCATTCTAATGGATGTGATGTGATATCTCATTGTAGTTTTGATTAGCAATTAATATTATGATTTCTCTTGTGATTTTTTCTTTGATCATTTGTTGTTTAAGAGTGTGTTGTTTAATTGCCACAAATTTGTGAATTTTCCAGTTTTCATTCTGTTACTGATTTCCAACTTCATCTCATTGTGGTTGAAGAAAATATTTAGTATTATACCTATCTTTTTAAAATGTATTGAGACTTAATATGTGGACTCCCTTATAGTCTATCTGGAGAATGTTCCAGGTACACAAGAGAAAAATGTGTATTCTATTGTTGTTGGCTAGAATGTCTGTATTTGTCTGTTAGGTCTAATTGGCACATTGTGTTGTTCAAGTTCTCTATTTCTTTGCACGTCTTTATTTCCTTTTTGTTTGTTTGTTTTATCCATTATTGAGAATAGGATATTGAAGTCTCCAACTGTTAGTATAGAACTATTTCTTCTTTCAATTCTGTCAACTTTTGCTTCATATATTTTGATACAGTGTTCCTAGGTACATAGATTTTTGTCATTGTTATATATTCAAATGCCGTATTAAAACTTTTATTAGTATATGATGTCCTAGCCAGGTATGGTGGTATGCACCTGTAGTCTCAGCTATTCCAGAGGCTGAGGCAGGAGGATCCCTTGAGCCCAGGAGTTTGAGGCTATAATGTGCTATGATTTGGCCTGTGACTAGCCACTGTACTCCAGCCTGGACAACATAACAAGATATTGTCTCTAAAAAAAAAACCAGTTCTTTGTTTTCTGTTAACTTCTGTGGTTTTTTAAAGGCTATCTTTTCTGATATTAGTATTGCCACCTCTACTCTCTTTTGGTTTATATTTACGTGGAATATCTTTTTCCACCCTACCACTTTCAATCTGCTTGTGTCTTTGGATCTAAAGCAAAGCTCTTATAGACAGCATAGAGTTGGATCATGTTTTTAAATCCATTCTGCCAATCTCTTTCTTTTGATTGGAGAGTTTATATCTGTTTACATTTAAAGTAATTACTGATAAGGTGTGACTTCTTTTGTTTGTCTTGCTGTTTTCTATTTGTCTTATAGCTTTTTTGTCTCTCATTTCCTGCATTACTGCGCATTACTCTCTGTTGTGTTCAGTTGATTTTTATAGTGTAATGTTTTAATTCGCTTATCATTTCCCTTTGTGCACATTTTTCTAGCTTTTTTTTGTGGTTACCATGGAGATTACATTTAACATTCTAAAGTTGTAACACTCTAATTTGAATTTATACTAGTTTAATTTTAATAACATACAAAAATTCTTCTCCTTTACATGTCCATCCTCACCCCTTTCAGTTATTGGTATCATAAAAGTATACATATTGTGTGTCCAAAACACATAAACTAGTAACTGTTTTTTTAAAATGCACTAGTTTCTCAGCTGGGCATGGTGACTCATGGCTATAATCCAAGCACTTTGGGAGGATGAGGTGGGAGGACTGCTCGAGCCCTGGAGTTCAAGACCAGGAATTCGGGTCAATATGGCAAAACCCTTTCTCCACAAAAAAAAAAATGCAAAAATTATCCAGGTGTGGTGGTGCATGCCTGTAGCCCCAGCTACTCCGGAGGCTGAAGTAGTAGAATCACTTGGGCCCAGGAAGTTGAGGCTGCATTGAGCCATGATCATGCCACTGCATTCTAGCTTGGGCAACAGAGAAAGACTCTGTCTCATTGAGCTGTGATCATGCCACTGCATTCTAGCTTGGGCAACAGAGAAAGACTCTGTCTCAAAAAAAAAAAAAATACATTACTTTCTTAAATTATATAGAAAACAAAATGTGGAATTACAGACCAAAATTACAAGTATTATTATATTAGCTTTTGGACTTACAGTTTTTTTTAAAAGTATTAGTCTCTTAAACCATATAGAATACCAAAGATGAAGCTACAAACTGTTGTTAAAATAATACTACCTTTAATGATTGCCCATGTATTTACCTTTACTGAGATTTTTATTTCTTCATGTGGCTTTAAGTTACTGTGTAGTGTCGTTTCATTTCAACATGCAGGACTGATTACCATTAGCATTTCTTGAAAGGCAGGTCTAGTGGTAACAAACTCCAGCTTTTGTTTATCTGGGGATGTCTTAATTTATTCCTCATTTTTGAGGGACAGGGCTGCTGGATATAGGATTTTTAGTTGACAGGTTTTTTTTCTTTCAGCACTTAGACTATGTCTGCCCACTGCTTTTTTGCTTCCAAAGTTTCTGATGTGAAATTTGCTGACAATCTTGTTAATAATCCCTTATATGTGATATGTCACTTCTCTCTTGTTGTTTTCAAATTTTTCTCTTTGTCTTTGGCCTTTGACAGTTTGATTATAATGTGTCTCAATGTGGGTCTCTTTGAGTTCATCCTACTTAGAATTTGCTGAACTTCTCAGATGTTTATCTTTCATCAAACTTGGAAAGTTTTCAGCTATTATTCTACAAATAATCTCTCTGCCACTTTCTCTTTCTTTTCTTCTTCTGTAACTATTACAATGTGTATGTTGGTTCATTTGATGGTGTCCCACAGGTTTGTTAAGCTCTATTCAGTTTTCTTCAATCTTTTTTCTTTCTATTCTTCAATGACTTGATAATTTCTATTTTCCTAATCTTCAAGTTTGCTGATTTTTTTTGTCTGCTCAAATCTGTCTCTGACTACCTCTAGTGAATTTTTCATTTCAATTATTATATTTTTAAGCTTCTTTTTTTCTTCTTTTAAAGATAGGGTCTCACTCTGTTGCCCAGGCTAGAGTGTAGTGGTATGATCAGAACTCACTGCAGCCTCAAAATCCTGGCCACAAGTGATCCTCTCACTTCACCTTCCCAAAGTACTTAAGTTACAGGCATGAACCACCTTGCTCAGTGTGGAATTTCTTTTTGGTTTATTTTTAGGTTTCCTGTCTTTTTACTGAAATTTGTATTTTGTTTGTATGTCATTTTCTTGACTTTCTCCATGTCTCCTGCTGGTTCTTTGAGTATTTATAAGACAGTGGTTTTAAAGTAATTGTTGAGTAGGGTTGCCATATTGTCTTTCTCTAGGACAGTTTCTGTTTTATTTTTTTCCCTTAAATGGCCAGTACTTTCTTCTTTCTTTGTATACTTTGTGATTTGTTGAAAACTGGACATTTGAAACTAATAATGTGGTAACTCTGGAAGTCAGAATTTCTCTCTTTCCCACAGTTTGCTATTTTTTCTTTTTGTTTTAATTGTTGTAGGATGTCTCCATGTCAAGGATCAGCCTGAGATGTAAACTTAAGATCTTCACGGTCTTTTCTGAGCCTGTGCCTTTCCCTGGGCAGTAACTAATTTCCTCTGTGTATGCAGTTGCTTTTGAATGTCCTAGTCTTTAGTGTCTGGTTTTCAAAAGTGGGTGGGAAAGAAAAATGAAGGGGTAGTTAAAGGAACCTGCCCTTTAAGTACCCTGGAAGTCACTTGAGCTAGAGTGGGAGGGGCTTCCAACAATGAGAGGTGGGGTGTGCAACAAGGACAGCTCACCTGTATCTGCACCTCCATGATCAGAAGCAGCAATTATCAACCAGAATACAGATCTCCAAATTTTGGAGGACAGGGGTTCTTATTCCCACTTTGGCTCCCACAACCTGCATTCAAGCTGCTCCAGGAACACATGCATGGCTGCCTGCCATGGGACTGGGAGATATGGGATGTGTAGCTCCTGCTAAGCTAAGAGCTAAAATTGACTGAAATTAACTGCAATTTACTATCCAAGCTTATCCCTGGAAGTTTCAAGTTTTTAATGGATTCCAGAGTTCTTCTCAGAACTCTTTCCAGTCTCACTTCATCAGATTAAGACTTCATCAGATTTCTCCTTTATTCATAATTATTAGTATTTACAAATCATCACTGGATATTGAATTTTAACAAATGCCTTTCCTGCATTCATTCAAATAATTATATGGTTTTTCTTTTCTAGTTTGTTAATACGTTTAATTAGATCAATAGATTTTTTATGTTGAGGTGATCTTGCATTTCTAGAATAAATCCAGGCTAGTCATGTTGTATTTCCTTTTTTAATACATTACTGGGTTTGCTAATCTTTAGATTACAATATTTGCAAGCATGTTTACAACTAATTTTCTTTTTTTGACTATTACAAAAGTTTATTTAACAAAAAGTCTAATATGAAAATGTACATGACCTAATTTTTACATAATTTTTACCTAACTTAACAGGCCCTTTGGAGAGGCGACATGGATTTCTCTGCTGAATGGTCATTATTTATACATTCCAAGTCTTCTAACATGATGGTACTATTTCCTTGCATTACCACCATTCCAATATTGTTTTGTTGCCCGCTAGTTGCCATCTCCACACATTTATCTATCACAAGATTCATAAAGGGATCAAATCCCCACAATATTCCTTGGACATGTCTGCCACCATTTAATTTCAGTTATAACTTCTTGTCCATAAATTTTTTTAAATCCAGAGGGTGAGCTTTGCTCATGGTGTCTTTTCCGTGGGCTTACAGATCACTGAATTTCCTTTCTTGCACTTTCTTTGTCTGACTTTGATATCAAGGTATCAAGGTTATACTAATTTTATAAAATGAGTAGGGGACATTTCCTTTTTAAAAAAAATTCTCTGTAAGAATTCATGTAAGATTAGGATGATCTAGTTTGAGAAAACTAGTCTATTAAACCTCCTGGACCTGCCATATAAGATTTTGAACTGTTCATTCAATTTCTGTTTTGGTTATAGAATAATTAAAGTTTTCTATTTCTTCTTGAGTCAGTTTTAGTAATTTACATTTTTCTTGAAATCTATCCATTTCATCAAGCTGGCATAAGATTGTTCTAAGTTTTCTGTTATTTTCTCTGCTTAATTTTGTTTATGTGTACCTTCCTTAGTATATCTTTTATCATGTGATTTCTCCTTTTTTCTTTTCTATTTATTTAATTTCTGTGCATCTCTATTATTATACTTTCTTTTGGTTTATTCTATATTTTATTCTTTGTAACTTAAGAAGTTGGATACTGAGCTCGTACATTTTCAGCTTTTCTTCTTTTTCTGATCTATGCATTTAAGGCTATAAGTTTTTTCTACATAACAATTTTGCTCTATCCTATATATGTTGATATGTAGTAGATTTATTATTGTTCAGTTTTAAGTATTTTACTGTGTCATATTAGTCTATTCTCATGCTGTTATAAGGATATACCCTAGACTAGGTAATTTATAAATGAAAGAGGTTTAATTGACTCACAGTTCTGCATGGCTGGGGAGGCCTCAGAAAACTTACAATCATGGCATAAGGGGACGCAAACACATCCTTCTTCACATGGTTGCAGGAGAGAGAAGCGCAGAGCTAATGGGGTAAAAGCCCCTTACAAAACCATCAGATCTCATGAGAACTCACTCACTATCATGAGAACAGCATGGGGGAACTATCCCCATGATCTAATCACCTCCCACGAGGTCCTTCCCCCAACATATGGAAATTACAATTCGGATTACAATTCAAGATGACATTTGGGTGGGGACACAGAGCCAGACCATATCAGTGTCCATAATATTTTTTTTACCCATGAATATAGAAAAAGTATGGATTTTTCTAAATTAATGTTTTGTTCTTGATTTCATACTTAATTTTGTTATAGTCAGAATATATTTTGTATCGCACCACTTTCTATGGTAATGGAAATGTTTTGTGTCTGCACTGTCCAATATGGTAGCCATTAGTCATATGTGGCTATTGAGCACTTGAAATGTGGCTAGTGAGAATGAGGACCAAATCCTTAATTTTTGATTGATTTAAATAGTCACATATGGCTACTGGCTACAATACTGAGCAGTTCATGTTCATAGAACACCCATGCTTTGAACTTGGTTGAAATTCGATTTATGTACTAATGCATTTTTAATTTTTATAAATATCTCATGTACATTTGAAAAGCATTTCATGTTTCCTGATTTTTGATGCGGTATGCAATATATGTCCATTAGCTCAAATCTACTAAAAGTATTGTTCATATCTTCTATACTCTGATTTTGGACTGCTTTATCTACCAAATACTGATATCTGATAGATACTTTAAAGTTCTCAGATATGTTTTTTAAAAAAACATGAAGTGGATTTGTCAGTTTCCCCTTCTGTTCTGTTATTTTGCTCATAGACCTTTGAACTATGTTAAGTGTGCACAAATGTGGAATTGTTACATCTTCCTAATAAGTTTAACCTTTTATTTTTATGCCACAAACCTCTTTATCTCTCATGACACTTTTTGCCCTGAAGTCTATTTTATCTGATATTAATGTAGATGCTTTATGTTTCTTTTGCTGGTTTAGTTTCTGGTACTACTGAGCTGGGGTAGCTGGGGAAGGAGACTGACTGATAACCGTAAAATGAGTCACCTTGTGTACCTAATTACCTAGAGGCTCCTCAGCAGTGAATGCCCTTTGGAGGACATTCACCTGGGACTGAATATCCTTATACTCCGTGCCTGTTCCAAAGCTCTATCACATATTTCTTCCAAGTGCCTGATTATCTGGTGGAAGTGTTAGCTACTGTCCACAAATTGGTGTAGTTCTGTGCCTTTGCCATGTGCTGCAAGTCTCATGGCTGCTGTCAGTTCACTTATCTATTCTTTCTGTTAGAAGGCAATAATGGCTTTTCCTTCACCCTGTCTTCCAAAAGTCATGAATGCTTTTCACTGGCAAAATCTAAACAAGAGCTCTCCCAAGAAAGGATTGCAAGAATTGTAGTGCTGTAGTTTCAGTCTCTGCAGTATATTTCCAATCTCTGCAATATAGAGAACAGCTTAGAATGATTGAGCATGACACAGACAAAATTCAGCACAAAGAGTAATCATCCATTTTCAATATAGCTGACTCAAAGATGATTAAAGGACCAGGTAATTCTTTAGAAAACAACTGTGTCTAAAACTGACTTTTTTCAGTGACTACAAAGGCATATGTATTTGTTTTTCTTAGCGGGAATTGTGCCTTCCATCTGTTCTTCTTAAAACATGTGAACATATTTTCTTATGATTAGGTTTTTTTCTATACCATGATTTCAAATGGCTCCATATCTTGTATAATAGAGCTGTGAAATAATTTATTTACAGTATCCTACAGTTAGACATTTAGATTGTTTCCAATTTGTCACTATGTAAATAATGTTGTCATGAACCTCTATGTAAATAAATACGCATGGAATTGTTTTATTAAAAGGTATGTGTATTTTTAAATGTTTTTCATTGTTTTCAATACTGAGTGTGTGTGTGTGTGTGTGTGTGTGTGTGTATATATATATATATATATATATATATATATATATATATTAGCTTTTACTAGTTATGATAGCCAAAAAGACTATCTCTTTTTTCCTCTCTCTCTGGTCCTTGATTTAGGAAGGCTATCTATTTTAATTAGTTTGTCTTTAATTACTGGAAAGACTTAGCTTTCCCCCCATGTCTATTAGCCATTTATATTTCTATTTTTATTAGTGACTTACTTTTCTACACACACACATACACACACATGCACAGTGCCCTCATCATCATGTCATTGTTCTTCTAGAGAGATCCATTGAATGGTTTATGGAATTCTTTTGTGTCCAATATAAATAAATAGGTTGTTATATAAATGACTGACTCAACTTCTTCCAAGGCCTTCATGTTGCAGGATCTGCATTAATCCTTTTAACCCTCTTCTTCAAGGCTATCATTAACAGCAGAGCTATCTGAGAGTCTGTACGGAAGTGTTTTGAGATCTATTACATATAATCCCATATCTCTACTGTTGCTCTAACATTCTTAAGATTCACATTTATGAGTTAGTATTTTGTTTTTGTTTCCTTATCTCTGTTTGTCTCTGTATAAACTCTTTTGCTGTTACTTTGGAAGTCATTCTCAGTTTTTCATTCACACAATGTTTTTGATGTCATTCTCTTTAAGTTCTACTGCTAGGAAGGGACATAAATAGTTTAAGAAAAAGTAACAGTTCTTTTTAATTTTAGTTGCCAAGAGATAGTTTCCTTGGTGGTATGTTTTTTTCTCTATAATGGCTGCAATATACCCAGAGTTTGTCATCTTACTTAGTTTATGCTGGAAAAATAGATTTTTTTTTACAAAGTTTACAATTAAGAAAATTAGAAATACACTTCCACAACATTTCTAGTATATGAATATGATTATTCTCCACATTTGACATTTTTGAAGATTCCCCTTCTACATGGCTAAATTCAGTAGCTGAGTGCCAGCTTCCAGTAACTCAGAACACCACATAGAATGAAAAAGTCCCCTAAGTCCCTATAGTGATTGAATATAAGACCAAGTGTATAAAAAGGTGAAATGATATACAGACTATCCTCAACTTATGATGGTTTGACCTATGGGTTTTCAATTTTACAATGGTTTGAAAGCAATACCTATTCAGTAGAAATCATACTTCAAGTACCCATATAACCATTCTTTTTTCACTTTCAATACAGTATTCAATAAATTACATAAGATAGTCAACACTTTGTTATAAAATAGGCTTTGTGTTAGATTATCTCACCCAGTTGTAGGCTAACGTGTTTTGAGGATGTTTAAGGTGGGGTAGATTAAGCTGTAATGTTCAGGAGGTTAGGTGTATCAAATGCATTTTCAACATATATTTTCAACGTATGATGGTTTTATCAGGATGTAACCCTATTGTAAGTTGAGGAGCATCTGTATAGTTGGTTCTTTCCTTCCTTGTGAGCTGTACATTTGTATTATTCACAGTAAAGTGCTAGTTTCCATCTGGTTTACTTCTGACCTGTTTCCTGCCCCCTCTCTCTTTAGGATTTGCACAGTATTCTGGGAATTGAAACTGAGTTTAATTTAGCAAAACATATTTAAGAAAAAAGAAATCTGGTGCTGAGGAAACTTGTTATGCATTCCAAAGGATTTCTGAATGAAAAAAAAATTTTAGAGACAGGGTCTCATTCTGTTGCCCAGGTTGAAGTACAGTTACATGATCATAGATCACTGTAATCTGCTATTTCTGGACCCAAGTGATCCTTCTACCTCAGCCTCCTGAGTAACTAGGACTACAGGCATGTGCCTCCATGTTTGGCTAATATTTTAATATTTTTGGAGAGATGGCACCTTGCTGTGTTGCCTAGGCTTGTCTCGAACTCCAGAGCTCAACCGATCCTCCTGCCTCACCTTCCCAAAGTGCTGGGATTACAGATATGAGCCACCATGCCCAGCCTATTTTAGATTAGCAAGGATAATATTTATTGTGTATATAATATATAGTTACAAATAATGAGTCGAGTACATAATATTTGTTCTTAGTAATACCCTGAAGTCCAATATTTTTCAGTTATTTGTATTAAATTTATGTAAATATTTATTGAGCACCTACTGTGTGTAAACTTCTGTTATAAGTTTTTGTTTGTTTGTTTTTGTTTTTGAGATGGAGTCTTGCTCTGTCGCCCAGGCTGGAATGCAGTGGCGCAATCTCAGCTCTCTGCAACCTCCACCTCCCGGGTTCAAGCGATTCTCCTGCCTTAGCCTGCCGAGTGGCTGGGACTACAAGCGTGTGCCACCATGCCCAGCTAATTTTTTGTATTTTTAGTAGAGACAGGGTTTCACCGTGTTAGCCAGGACGATCTCAATCTCCTGACTTCGTGATCTGCCCCGCCTTGGCCTCCCAAAGTGCTGGGGTTACAGGCCTGAGCCACTGTGCCCAGGCTATACATTTTTAAGAAATACAAAGATGAATAATACAGTCTCTGCTCTCTAAATATTTTTAGTCTAGTTTTTCGGTTTTGTTATTTTACAGAAACTGAAGTTTTTCTAAATAGTTTTTTAACAGCTTTATTGAAATATAATTTATATTCCACATAATTCACCCACTTAAAGTGTAGAATTCACTGGTTTTAGTATATTCAGAGTATATTTAGTATATATAATTCTGAAATTATTATAGTTTTAGAACATTTTCATTAGCTCCCAAAAGAAACCTTATATCTGTTAGCCATCACCCTCCATACCCTTCCTACTCCCCAGCTCTGGGTAACCACCAATCTACTTTCTGTTTCTATAAATTTGCCTAATTCTATACATTTCTATGTAAATGGAATTATACAATATGTGGTCCTTAGTACTGGCTTCTTAACATAGTGTTTTCAGGATTCATCCTATTATAGCATGTATTGGTACTGCATTTCTTTTTATTGCTGAATAATATTTCATTGTATGGATATACCACATTTTATCTGTCCATTTATTAGTTGATAGCCATTTAGAGTGTAGCTTTTCTAAACACTTTTATATGTAAATGTTGATTACCATAATTATATGTATGGGCTGATGTTAATGATAGGTTTCTTTCTTAACTGTAAGTGACATACAAACTAATGGCTATATATTTATAAATATTCCACAAATTCATTCTATTCTATTATTTATTCTCTCATGTAATAACAAATGATTTCTGTATTTTTAAAAGTCTCTATACCAAGAAGGAATATTTAATATGGTATTTTGCTTACATAGACAGAATGAGACTTCTTTGTATAAAGCATCTCAGTATTTGATACTGAGTGATAAACAAATATCACAACTCAGGTATTTGTTTTATTTTGTAGCCTATGTAAGTCATGGTTAATAGACAATCTCCCTCCTCTTCATTAATTCCATGTGTAACTCTTCAAGAGCCTTGAACATATAAATGTAAAGTTCAGAGTTATCTACCTAACCCACACCTGGTATACAAAGGCAGACAAGGAAAGGATAATCAGATACCAACATCCACTGAAGTGTTTTCCATTACTCTCACCCATAATATCCACTCTGTTCCAAATCCTTTCATATTTGTGCTCTGTCTTACTCTTCCTGACCTGGCCCCTCATAACCTTTTCAACCTGCTCCATGCATATTGTACTACTTGCTATTCTTAAACATGCCAAACACACTCTCCCACACACTTTTTTTTCAGAGTTATACCATATTGTACACACTGTATTATACTGAGTTATTTCTTATGATATATATTGGGCAATTGTTCCAAATGAACTTCCTCATTCTTTACAATTATGTTTCACAAGAGGATGAACCATAATTTATTAATCAGTCCCTCATTGATGGACATTTACATTGTTTCTGGTGTTTTGCATATGTATGAGTATATCTGCAAATGAATTCTTTGAAATAGCATTGCTGGGTCAGGAATACATATATTTGTGTTTTTCATAGTTATTTGCCAAATTGCAGCCCAAAGATGCTGTATCCATTTTAATTCCCACCTGTAGTATCTGTGAGTACAAGTTTACATCTGAACTAATGAAAATAATTATTACACTTTTGATCTTTGTAAATCCAATATGTGAAAAAGTTATCAATATATTTTTTCATTTTTATTTGCATGATGGTGAATATCTTTTTATATGTATGGAGTCATTTAATATTGTGGGTTTTGTCAGTTGCTTATTTGTGTCTTTTGTCCACTTCTCCTCCACCAGGTGTAGGTCTGTGATTTATTTGGAACTGGTTTTTGTGTATGGTGAGAGCTAAGGATGATGGCTCATTTTCCCCACACATGAATATTCAATGGATTTAGCATCATTTATTGAAAAGATCTCCTTTTCTTATCTATTGCAGTGGCACCTTTGTTGTAAATCAGATGATTGTATATGTGTGGGTCTGTAGTCTTTTCTATTGGTCTGTTTGTTTATACTTGTGATAATTTCACTCTGTCTTCATTACCATAGATTTTAATTATCTATTGGTGTCTGTTAGTGTAAGTCCCCCAATTTTGTTCCTCTTCAAGGTTGTCTTTGTTATTCTTGGCTTTTTGCCTTTCCATACAAGCTTATTAATTTGCATAATAAAGATTTATGCAACAGAGAAATAAGCTTGTTAATTTGTACAAGAAAGATTGCTGAAAATTTGATTTGGGTTATAATCAATCTATTGATCAATGGGAAGCATCGACACATTCACAATATAGAGCTTTCTAATCTGAGAACATGTATATCCCTCTTTCAGTAATGTTTTATATTTTTCTGCAGAGGTCTTAAATGTCTTTCATTAGATTTCAGTGGTATGTTGGAGCCAGCTCCTACTAGTTCATGAGAGCTGATCGGGTACATCTCTTCCTGGCTCCACATTCAGTAAATCACATTGTGAGACTAAAGTGGGCCATGGTGGTAGTATTTATATCACAGAAATTGGCAAATGTCACAAATCAGGACTTTTCCCCACCTACCCACTGCTAAGAGCTGGTTATTAAACATTTGCCAACACATCACTTAGATTGATTACTAGATGATCAGGTTTTATAATGCTATGTAAATATTTTTTCTCACTAAAAATAATTAAGTTATAATCTACATACAGTAAAATTAACTTTTTTAATCTACTGCTCTGTGACTTGTGAGAAATTTATATAGTCACGTTATGACTACCACAATCAATATTTAGAACTGTTCCATTACCCCAGATAATTTTCTCTATGTCTTTAGAGTCAGCTCTAAAGTTGAATGTATCACGGTTATTTATCCATTCCCTAGTTAATGGAAATTTGGGTTGTTCACAGTTTTTAGCAAATATGAATAAAACTGCTATAAACATATTTGTGCAGGTTTGCGTCTGAACACGGGTTTTCACTGACTTTGGGAGAAAGCTTTCAGTATTTTAACAGTAAATGTAACATTAGCTATATTTGTAGATACCATTTATTAGATTAAGGAATTTTTCTTCTATTCCTACTTTGCTGTGAGGTTTTTTTGGTTTTGTTTTCTTTCTTTAATCAGGAATGACTATTACATTTTCATACCTACTTTTATGCATCTACTGAAATAATCATATGTCTGTCTCTGTTATGCAATGTGGTGAATTATGTTAATTGTCTCTGAATGTTAAATTAACCTTGAATTCCTATAATAGATACCATGTGTTTGTGATATTTAAAAAATTTATGTCTGGATTTTATTTGCTATATTTTGTTTAGAGCTTTTGAGTTTATCTTGATAACAGATACTGGCTTATGATTTTCCTTTTTTATAATGTCCTTGTCAGTTATTGGTATCAGAGTTAGTCTGACATTATAAAATAAGTTGAGAATGGTCTCTTATTTTCTGTTTCTTAGAAGTTTGTGTAAGATTGCTCTTCGTTGTTTTCTAAATGTTTAGAAGAGTTCACCAGGGAAGCTGAGCCTGGAATTTCCTTTGCATGAAGGTTTTAAATTATGAATTTAATTTTTTCTAGGTATAACAGTATTCATAGTTATTTGTCTTATGTGGTTTTTTTATAAGTGATACTTTTAATTTGTTCATTTCATCAGAGTTATCAAATTTATTGTCATAAAATTACTCATAATATCCCCATATTATTTTAAAAAATCTGTAGGATCTATAGTATCTTTTTTTATATCTAATATGAGTAATTTGTGGGTTTTTTCTCTTATTTTCTTTGATCAGTCTTATATTATTAAGTTAATCTCACTGATCTTGATTTCTAGTTCATTTATTTTTGACCATTATTTCCTATCTTTTCTTGTCTTTGAATCTAATTTGATATTCTTTTTACTGTTTCTTGACATAGATATTAGCTTATGATTTTTTTCAAGCATCTTTACTACTTTATGCATTTCAAAGTTTAAGTTTCCTCTAAGCAAGTTTTTTATATGTCATATTTTAAATATTTCAATATAAATAAGATACTACGACCTAACATATTGATTCAATATTTATATGAAAAGGGTCAAAATAGCCAAGACTGATAGTAATTAGAAGATAAGAGGGCTTGTCCTATTAACATATAATGGCTTTTCATAAAGCTATTTTAATGAATATAGTGTAGTATTGGTGCTGTCAAAGACAAATTGACAAATAGATCAGAACATTCATCAGATCATTTAGTTCACAATATTTTCTAGTTTTCATTGTACTTTCTTCTTTATTCCATAGGTTATTTAGATTTATTGCTTAATTTCCAAACATTTAGAGATTTTCTTAATATCTTCTTGTTACTGATTTCTGGTTTAATTCCTTTATGATGAGATAACATATTCTTTCTTACTGTAATTCTTTGAAGTTTATTGAGATCTGATTTATAAGCCAGTACCTAGGCTATTTGGTAAATGTTCCATATGAACTTAAAAAGAATGTGTGGTTCTATAATTACTAGATGTCAGATAGGTAAGGCTGGCTACTGGCTAATGATGCTGTTCAAATCTGCATATTTACTGATTTTTGTCTGAATTTTAAGGCAGTGAAAAGAAAATTCCTAGAAAGATAGAATGAACTAGAAGTATTTCAAGAACTATCAAGCTTTATTGGTACTAATATCACAATAGCAATAATAACTATTAAAGAAATTGAAATGGCCAGTCGCGGTGGCTCATGACTGTAATCCCAGCACTTTGGGAGGCCGAGGCGGGCGGATCACTTGAGGTCAGGAGTTTGAGACCAGCCTGGCCAACATGGTGAAACCCCATCTCTACTAAAAATACAAAAAATTAGCCGGGCATGGTGGCACGTGCCTGTAGTTCCAGATACTTGGGAGGCTGAGGCAGAATTGCTTAAACCCGGGAGGCAGAGGTTGCAGTGAGCCGAGATCGCGCCACTGCACTCTAGCCTGGGTGACAGAGTGAGTCTCCATCTCAACAAAAGAAATTTAAATGACAGTTAAAAATCATCTCACAAAGAAAACACCAGGTTCACAAAGTTTTACAGGTGAGTTCTATCAAAATTTCAAAGAACCGTTCACTCCAATCTTTTATTACAAACTTTTCTCTTTTTTTTTTTTTCCATAAGACGGAGTCTCACTCTGTCACCCAGGCTGGCGTGCAGTGGTGTGATCTCAGCTCACTGCAACCTCTGCCTTGTGGGTTCAAGTGATTCTCCTGCCTCAGCCTCTCAAGTAGTTGGGACTACAGGCACGCACCACCATGCCTAGATAATTTTTGTGTTGTTGTTTTTTTTTTTTTTTAGTAGAGACGGGGTTTCACCATCTTGGCCAGGTTGGTCTCAAACTCTTGACCTCAAATGATCCACCCGCCTCGGCCTCCCAAAGTGCTGGGATTACAAGTGTAAGCCACCATGCCCAGCTGCTAATTCATTTTATAAAGCTTGCATAACTTATATAATAAAACCACCCAAGGACAAAATAAGAAAGGAAAGTCATAGGCAACTCATTTATGAATATACATGCACAATTCCTAAACAAAATCTTAGCAAACTGAATCCAACATTATACTATACCCTGAGACTATTAGGTTTATATAAAAAGTGCAAATATATATTATTTGCTACACTGATATGTTGGATGTGAAAAGCTATATGATCACCTCAATAGATGCAGAAGAGATTATTTGATAAAATTCATTATTTGTTTGTGATTTTTAGAAACCCTTAGTAAACTACACATAGAATTTCCTTCATCTGATATGATAAAATGTATCTACCAAACCAAGCCCAACAAAACTGTAACAAAAGTAACCCCAATAGGCAAATATTGGAGACATTCCCTTTAAAATCAGGAAGTTATGCCTACTGAAATCAAAAGTTATGCCCATTATCACCTCTTCTATTCAACATTGCCTTGAATGTCTAATAAGTTAAGAAAAAGAAAAGACATACATAAAGATTGAAAAGTTGGAAACTGTCATTATTTGAAAATTGTATTTCTGTTTCTACATTTAAAAAACCCAAAAGTATCTACATAAATTTTACAGGAAATAATAAAGTTTAGTAAATGCTTCAATATGAGACCAATGCATTAAAGCTAATTATAGTTCTTTATCCAAACAACAACTAGAAAGTATAACTAAAACAACAACAAATAAACCAGTCATAGTTAGCAACAAAAACTACAGTGCACCTGGGACTAAATGTAATAAACCTCTTCCTACTCCCCCAAATTATAAAAACATTACCAAAGGGAATTAAAGACCAAACATAGATGGAGAGCTAGATCATGTTAATGTATTAGAAGACTTAATAGCATGAAGGTACTGATTCATTTCAAACTGATCTATAAATGTAACTTCAGTAAAGAGTTCAACTAACAGATTGATTTTAATATTTATATGGAAAGGGTTAAAATAGCCAAGACCAATAATAATTAGAAGGATAGGAGGTGCTTGCCATATTATATACAGTAACTTTTTATGAAGCTATTTTGAATAGGATAGTGTAAAATTGGTGCTGGTGTAGAGAAATTGATGAATGGATCAGAACTGAGAGCTCAGAAATGAGTCAGTGTGTATGTGGGGGTGTGTGTTTGTGTAAAACTCTTACTTATGACAAAGATCTCATGGCAGACCACTTGAGGAAAGAAGGGGCTTTGACAGAGCTCTGAAAAAATTTGTTTCTCATATTTAAAAAAGAAATGGCTTTTATCTTCCACCCTACAAATAACAACTTCTGATGGACTAGGAACTTAAGTATCAAAAGCAAACTTTAAAACATAGAAAAGTCTGGGCACCGTGGTTCATCCCTGTAATGCCAGCACTTTGGGAGGCCAAGGCACGTGGATCACTTGAGTCCAGGAATTTGAGACCAGCCTGAGCAACATGGTGAGACCCCATCTCTACAAAAAATACAGAAATTAGTGGGACTTGGTGGTTGTGTGTGCCTGTAGTCCCATCTACTCGGGAGGTTGAGGTGGGAGGATCGATTGAGCTCAGGAAGCAGAGGTTGCAGTGAGCTGAGCTCACACCACTGCACTCTGCCTGGGTAACAGAGTGAGACCCTGTCTCAAAAAACAACAAACAAATAAACTTAGAAGAATATATGTGACTATTGGCCGGGCGCGGTGGCTCACGCCTGTAATCCCAGCACTTTGGGAGGCCGAGGCGGGCAGATCACGAGGTCAGGAGATCGAGACCATCCTGGCTAACATGGTGAAACCTTGTCTCTACTAAAAATAAAAAAATAAAAAATAAAAAATGCGAGGTGGCGGGCACCTGTAGTCCCAGCTATTCAGGAGGCTGAAGCAGGAGAATGGCGTGAACCCGGGAGGCGGAGCTTGCAGTGAGCCGAGATCGCGCCACTGCACTCCAGCCTGGGCGACAGAACGAGACTCTGTCTCAAAAAAATAAATAAATAAATAAAAAATAAAATAAAATAAAATAGAATATATATGACTATCTTTCAGATCTTGTATGTGGAATCATTTCTTAAACATGGTATACAAAATGTTAACCATAAAAGAAAATATTAATAAAATCTATTACATTAAAATTAAGAATGCCTTTTCATCAATTATAGCTTAAGGAAAATGAAAAGGCAAACTCTTAGAAACTAGAAGACTCTTGCTATGCATGTAACTAACAAAGGGATAGCATTCAAAATACATAAAGAACTACAAATCAGTAAGAAAAAGACAAACTACCTAATAGAAAAACGGATAAAAGGAGTACTTATCTTATTAGCAATTAGAGAAATGTATATCAAGACCACAGTGAGATAACATTTTATACCTCTGCAACTGACAAAAACAAAGTCAGATAAAACCAAGTGTTAGAAAGGATATGGATCAATAGGATGTTAAATTGCTGGCGGAAGTGAAACATTTATATAGCCACTTAGAAAAAGACAATTTTGCTCCATGTTTTAAAGTTGAATATTTGAAAAACTTACAACCCAGAAATTCCATTTCTATGTGCATTCTCCAGTACCTTTTGCATATGTGTAGTTTGTTGCAAACAATTATTTCAGTCTATAGAAAGTTATGATCTAGTTTTCTGCCCCAAAGCTGTTTCTCTATCCAAAATATTATGTCTAGCTTGGGTCTGTGATTCACATTTGTGTGCTCAGATCATAATTAAATCATAGGCAAGGAGCGTCATCAAATAAAATATGTATTTGCTATTCTCAAAAAGGGCCTTTGTACTGAGACTGAAATTAGGTGGTAGGTAGGACTGTAATCAGACATGAATAGATAATAGTATTAATAACAGTCACCATTCATTAAGCATGTACTATTTGTCAGATTCTTCAATCTTTATTTAATGGAAATTACTTTGTTAAGTCTTCACAAAGGCTTTCTGATATGGGTACCATTATGAATCTTTTTAAAATGGAGCATAGTGAGCCATTGGGAAGCTAAATAATTTCCACAACTTTATGTTGTAAATTGTAAGGCTGGGATTTAAACAAAGGCTCTCTGACTCCAGCACCTGTGAAATGGCAATATAGAAGCTATTATCTTTCAGATAAAAAGTCAACTTTTCTTAACTTTGCAGAGAGAACAACTCTGATTCGTGGCTATAGGCAATGGTCTGTTGTCTCTAGATGCTTTGTATGATTGTTCAGAAAGTAGTGGTGTATACTTATCTCTACTCATGCAAAACTAAAATTATATATTTTCAGTATTTCAATAGCATTATTTTATAGATGAACAGCAATAAAGTTATCAATGTGATATATATATATCAATGTGATCTGAAGACTTATTTAAAATTATGCCAAGAGATGATTGCCTTGCTTTTATCTAGTTATAAAACTTCTTATCAAATAGACATCATGAAGAATGTCTACCTAAAGATATTTTCAAAAATTTAGATAAAAGATTATTTAAGAGTCCAGTTTGTTTCAAAATTATTATCATTGTCTTAGTCACTCTGGGCTGCTGTAACAGAAAATCATAGACTGGGGTGGCTTAAACAACAAACATTTATTTCTCACAGTTCTGGCAGCTGGATGAGATGAGACTGCCAGCAGGGCTGGGTTTTTTTGTAAGGGTCTTCCTCCTGGTTCATAGACTGCTTTCTTCGTGTATCCTCATAATTCAGAGAAAAGGGGCTCTGGTTCCTTAATTTTCTTATAAGGGAACTAACTCTATGATGGGAGACCCTCGTAACTTAATCTAAGCATAATCTAAGGCCTCCCAAAGGCCTCATCTCTAACATTGGGGATTAAGGTTTCTACAATAGCAATTATTGAGGGTTTCTTTGAGGCTAGGTCATATATCTGATCTGAGGAATTAATTGGTGTATGTATAGACTTTCTGTTCTTATGATATAAAGCAAACGAGCCTATGTATGTGTTGTCCAAAAGTTATTTGATTGCTACCAAAGAGGCAGAATTTTTTTTTTTTTATTGTAGTAGAAAGATCTGGGATGAAAGTTTTGACTCTTGCAATCTAATCCCAGTTTGGCAGTTACCGTCCATGTGAACTTGGACCTGTAATCTGTCACTTTCTAATAGTTGTGCTCTTGGGAAATTTAATTAGATTCTTAATTTTCTCATGTGTCAAAAATACAGATAATAATAAATACCGTACTGGAACATTACAAAGATTAAATAAATAACATGAGAAAGATATAGAAATCCTATATGAGGAAGTCTACCATTTCCTTCCTTCTAAATTCCATTTCCATCTCTTGGGCAAGGTCAGTCACATCTTTGGCTTTAATTTCCTCATCTATAATAATACCAATAGCATGCTTGAGAATCTGTGATTCTGAGCCCTTCTAGGTATTTCTTCCTATATATGTTCAGCTTTAAAAAGTATTGCAAGGATCCTTTATGTAAATAAGCTATTTCTAGGGGATAAAGAAAGTGTGAACTACAACCATTTTATTCCTCTGCTCCAAAAGTAGAGTGCTTTGCTTTGATTTTCTTTCTGACTCAGCAGACAGAGACATCTGCACTGACTTAGAGTTTTCTTGAAAAATTTTTTTGATTCAGTCATATGATCAGAAAGAACAAATGTAAGTCCTCCTGGGATATAGTGTGAATGACATTAAAATATGTCATTAAAACAAACATTTCTTTTCTTTCTTTCTTTTTTTCTTTTTCTTTTTTGAGACAGGGTCTCCCTCTATTGTCCAGGCTGGAGTGCAGTGGCACAATCATATCTCACTGTAGCCTTGACCTCCTGGGCTCAAGTGATCCTCCCACCCCCGCCTCCTGAGAGCTGGGACCACAGGCACGTGCTACCACACCTGACGAATTTTAAAATTTTTTGTATAGACAGGATCTCACTATGTTGCCCAGGGTGCTCTTGACTCCTGGGCTCAAGCGATCCTCCCACCTCAGCCTCCCAAGGTGCTAGGATTACAGGCATGAGCCACTGCACCCAGCATAAAATGAGCATTTATAATTCCAGTATGCTCCTGTGTCGGATGTTTGAGAGTTAAGAGGTACATATACATTTCTTGGCACTTTGAGATGATTAGCTGAACCAGTCACTGCTCTGTTCAACAGGTGGATTTTCGGAAAAGACATATGAATGGAGCTCAGAAGAGGAGGAGCCAGTGAAAAAGGCAGGACCAGTCCAAGTCCTCATTGTCAAAGATGACCATTCCTTTGAGTTAGATGAAACTGCATTAAATCGGATCCTTCTCTCGGAGGCTGTCAGAGACAAGGAGGTTGTTGCTGTATCTGTTGCTGGAGCATTTAGAAAAGGAAAATCATTCCTGATGGACTTCATGTTGAGATACATGTACAACCAGGTATGCAGGAAGTACTTTAAAAAGTTTTCTTTCTTCTGTGCTTCTGTCACTTCATGTTTTTATTTCATGGTGTTCAAAATTTTCATTTCTATTATTATGTACCCTATATATGAACCAGCTAAAGAAATGCTGTGGTGTAACCATTCCAACCTCAGTGCTTTGGGGACCAAACTACACAGACCAATTTTCTCTGAAGCTGCTTTGCTGCATTTCCCTTAGAATATAACTTATATTTTTATTCTTTTAAAAATAGGCACATAATATTCTGATTATAGACTTAAATGTTATAGTGTTTAAAATGTCACATAATTTTTGTATTGTAATCACTTTTTTCCAACATTTAGTATGAAATATTTCAAGCATATAGCAAAGTTAAAAAAATTTTATACTAAACATCTTGGTATCCACCACCCAGATTCTACCATTAACATTAGTATTCCTGCTTTATCACTTATGACTCCATCTATTCATCCCTCTTTCCAGCCATCACTCCAAGTTATTCTTTGATGCATTTGAAAATAAATTGCTGGCCGGGCACTGTGGCTCACGCCTGTAATCCCAGCACTTTGGGAGGCCGAGGTGGGTGGATCACGAGGTCAAGAGATCAATACCATCCTGGCCAACATGGTGAAACCCTGTCTCTACTAAAAAAAAACACACAAAAATTAGCTGGGTATGTTTTCCTTGTCCTTCAAGGTTATTTTTCAGGCTTAGGATTTTTATGAATATCTCAATGTAGATCATTGACTCAGAGTGAATGTTATGGAAATGTTATTATGCTAATTAATAATAATCACAATTTATTCATTGAAGTATGCATCCCAAGACATTTTTCCAGGTAATACCTTATTGGAAAAATTTCAATTTCTACCTCAATAGTAATTATTTATTGACTACCTGCTAAATGTTCTAGATTGTGCTAGGCACTATGGTGGATACCAAAGAAAACATACCATAGATTTTGCACTTAGGCATCTCATGGTTTGGCCAAGGAGACAGAATAACAATAGGTGAAATATTTAGAGCATCATTACATGGTGATATGGTGACAGATATATTTTTTCTTTTCTTTCTTTCTTTTTTTTTTTTTTTTTTTTTGATACAGAGTTTCACTCTTGTTACCCAGGCTGGAATGCAGTGGCGCAATCTTGGTTCACTGCAACCTCTGCCTCCCGGGTTCAAGGATTCTCCTGCCTCAGCCTCCCAAGTAGCTGGGATTACAAGCATGCGCCACCACATCTGGATAATTTTTTGTATTTTTAGTAGAGACAGGGTTTCACTATGTTGACCAGGCTGGTCTCAAACTCCTAACCTTGTGATCCACCTGCCTCGGCCTCCCAAAGTGCTGAGATTACAGACATGAGCCACCATGCCCAGCCTGATCGACGTATTTCTAAGTGTAGTTCAGGGAAGGGCATATTGTAGGCAAAAGTAACTGGAGAAAGCTTCATAGAGATATTGGAAGTTAGAATAGATTTTGAAGATGTGTGGATCTGGACCAGAAAAGGAAGAATGGACATTCTGGACTATGAGGAATAAGTATAATATATGTATTAAACAGAGTGTACACCTTCTTCCCTAGAGTGGAAATTAAGTATTGGAGATGAAGAAGAAATAAGATTGAATAGGTTATTGAGCCAGATAATAGAACAAATTCACAGAAGAACCAAAGCTCTTGATAACGGTCTAAAATGCCTTTTAGAACAAGATAGGATATAATTAAATACATTTTTCTTTAAATTAGTTTATGTAGATTTTTTATCAGTCCAAGTAGTCCTCTCCCAAATTCCTCTGCATTCGTTACTGTAAGGTTTTAGATTGGACAATTATCTAATGAGATCTTCCAAAAACTAATAACTTATTCTCTGTAACAGATATCAAAATGGGGGTAACTACTATCAACCAAGGTCACCAATTACTGACTTACTAAATCTATGGGATATTTTCCATGCCTTATCCAACTTGATCTTCAGCCTTTAAACAATTGATAATTTTTCCTATTCTGTCTTCCTTTGGCTTCTCAAACTCCACTTGCATCAGTACTTGTCTATTCCTTCCTGCTGTCCTGGCCCTGGTCAGACCTTCAATCATATTTTTGACCTTTATTATAGCACCCCCACCTTTATCTTTTCTAGCTATCATTTCCCTTCCCTACTAACTAGCCCTACCTACTTCTAGAATAGTATCTTTCTACCACAACTATGATGATAATTCATCTCTGCTTCTTCATAACTTTCCGTCGCCTGCAGGATAAAATCTGACTCCCTTAAGGACCTTACAAGGTCTTTCAGAATCTGGCTGTCTGTCCAGCCTCTTCCTGCTACTTGCTTCCTCCTCCCACAAAACCAAAGCATAATATGCTCCCTACTTCCTTCCTTTCTGCCTGCCTGCCTGCTTGCCTTCCTTTCTGGAATGCCTTCTCCAAATTTGCTTCCCTGGAAAATTCCTAAATATTTTTCAAGTCTTAGCTCAAACATCCTATGTGGTCTTGCCTGACCAATGGTTAGTTATTTATTTTCTATGCTACCATTTATGCATTATATATACTTCCATTTTGGCATGCATTTATTGCATCATAATGGTTTGTTTGCATGTCTGTCTCGCTGTTAGGCTGTGAATTTCCTCTGGTCTGCAATGATATCTTTTCATTTTTATATCCCCAGGACATATCAAAAATGTGGCAGATGGTTGCTCCTCTGTAATTATTTTTTGGATGAATAAAGTGATGGTATCAATGCAATAGATGTGCATATGTTGTTTCCTTTTAACTCGAATTGGAGAGGGATAAGAATCAGAATGAATGAATGGAAAAAACTATATACACATATCAAGTTCCATATCATAGACTTTATCATTTTATAGGAATCAGTTGATTGGGTTGGAGACTACAATGAACCATTGACTGGTTTTTCATGGAGAGGTGGATCTGAGCGAGAGACCACAGGAATTCAGATATGGAGTGAAATCTTCCTTATCAATAAACCTGATGGTAAAAAGGTATGATGCTAACTTCCTAAATAAAATTGAGTTTTCACTTATAACAGTTACTACTTTTTAGGATCCTTGAAGTTGCACTTTTGAAAATTAATTTTGACCATTTGACATGAAGCTTAAAGTGGGGTAGCATCCTATAGCATGATCTTTGTTTCCCTTTCTTGTGATCAGAGTAGGCGAAATTATAACGATGATAGAACAGCAGATCAGCAAGTAACATCTGTATTTTGTTTCACTGCTACATAAAGTTTCTGTTACGTTGGATTACTAGTAAAAATTACTTATAATAGTAATCAGCTGTTAATATTTTTATTTTCTGTGGCATTCATGGCATGTGTAAGAAATTATCTAAAATAGTATTGATTAATAATGGTTTGCTTTAGTTCTTATATTAATATTATGGTAACCCTAATGACCTAGATGTTCTATAAAATATCAATAATGTACTCTTCTTGCCTGTAGGTTGCAGTGTTATTGATGGATACTCAGGGAACCTTTGATAGTCAGTCAACTTTGAGAGATTCAGCCACAGTATTTGCCCTTAGCACAATGATCAGCTCAATACAGGTATGAAATAAGCCCATTTTGATGATGTTTCTTTAACTAAAAATTATGAGTATATGTGTTTCTACATACATGTTATAATTAGATAAACAACAGAAATTGGGAATCATATATATTGTTTGACTCAATTAGCATACGAGTTCTCGTGATTTCTGTGAGAGTGGAATTGTTTTTGTTACTGTAGTTTAATTACTGACAAACTTTCAAATTGACTGCTTTGGTTAGAAAAGGTCATATTATCTTATTGGGATTTTTGTTGTTGTTGTTTAAAGCCTACAATAAACTCAGTAACATAAATCTTATATGCGTATACATTGAGACCATCTATTGTAAGTTATGTTTAATGAAACAGTGTTTATAAATATAAATTTTGTTCTACATAGCCAGTAGAAACATTTCTAAATGTAAAAACATTTACATGTGTTCATAGCTTTTAAAAACACCTTAATGTACATTTAGGAAAGTAAATAGCTTATATATAAAATTTATCTTTCTTTCCTTTCCTTTTTTCTTTCACTTTTTTAAAAGTCTTATTTTTGAGGTTATTGTGGGCTTTCTAAATTGTCCTGAAAATCCTTGTAGAGTTTTATTAGAACCATAGAATCCATAGCATAAAAGATTTTAAGACTATTTTTAGATATTTTCAATCCACTGGCAAAAGCAAAAAGAGAGTGGCCAAGGAACAGGGCAGATCAATAAAAAAAGGTAAGATAGCTTAAAAAGGCAGAAAAGGCAAAGCAGTTAGGATGAGTGAGTCAAGACTAAAATTACAAGCAAGCATAGAGAATGGAGCTAGTGAACCAGCAACAAGGGCGTCATATATGATTAGGACAACCAAGACAGGGTAAACAGAAGGAGGAAGGAAGACTGAATTTATTAAATAAAGGACTTTAAAGTAAAAGTCATAAAAAAAAAAGTCATGGTTATAACCTACTTAATCAACTTTTAAAAATTAACTTTTCTTTCAGTTGACAAATAAAAATTATATATATTGGCCAGGCACGGTGGCTCACGCCTGTAATCCCAGCACTTTGGGAGGCCGAGGCGGGCGGATCACGAGGTCAGGAGATCGAGACCATCCTGGCTAACACGGTGAAACCCCGTCTCTACTAAAAATACAAAAAATTAGCCGGGCATGGTGGCAGGCGCCTGTAGTCCCAGCTACTCGGGAGGCTGAGGCAGGAGAATGGCGTGAACCCAGGAGGCAGAGCACTTGCAGTGAGCCGAGATTGCGCCACTGCACTCCAACCTGGGTGACAGGGCGAGACTCCCGTCTCAAAAAAAAAAAAAAAAATATATATATATATATATGTGTGTGTGTGTGTGTGTAAATTATATATATATGTGTGTACATATATCTGTATATATATAATGTACAATATGATATTTTGAATACACACATTGTATAAGCCTTTAAAATACTGACTTAATCTAATTTATTGTAATTCACAGTGTAAGCCATACTTATACAAGCCTATTTAAACCAGATTGACTTTGCCTTATCAGTATTACTCATTATTTATATTTGACCTGAATACATTGAATATTTTCAGAGAAAAATCTGCTAATTCCTTAGTAATGACTTTTTTTAATTATGTGAGAAATGATGATCTGTTATTTAAATAAGTATACAGAGCATTCTTTTTATATCAGTACATAAATATATAAGCCTCCTTAACTTTTCTTTGAAGTTAATGATATTTATTTCCCTCAAAAAATGTCATCTTAATGCTGTTATCACATATATATATAAGGATGTGAGCATGATATTCAGAACCTAACTTCCATGTGATGAAACTCTGTATAGACATAAATAAAATGATTAATTGTGAAGAAGTCAACATGATTTTTCAAAACAAAATTTTCCATATGGCTTGCTGAGATTTAGATTGTTATTATTTTGTCTTGCTTGGAAGAATGAGTTTTTTTGACTAATTGCATAAATTAGGTTCATAAAATAATTTTAATATTCCATCTCCAGAGCAGGTGACTACTGTATTTCTGGAACCATTTTATAATCATTGTTCATTCCTTATTGTCTCTCAAGCTTATTTTACTTCTCTCTCAAGGTCTTACAAATATCATGTAAGCATGTACATAAGAGAGTCCATTTTGTGGTAACTGATATTTTTAAAAGTAGGGAATGATGAAGTAAGTGCTTAGGATGATGCCAGTTATCTTATCATTGTAATTTTATTTCTTTATCAAGGTATATAACTTATCCCAAAATGTCCAGGAGGATGATCTTCAGCACCTCCAGGTAACAATATTTATTTTCTTTTTTGTGTATCTGGTAGTCTTTGAAACATGTATAGCAGAACTTTGGGGAATGATTTCAAAACATAATCAGATTCTGATTCTGCTGTTTAAACAGGAACTATTGGCCCAATTAGCTGCCTGGTAATTACTGCCTGAGACTGGTTAATTTATAAAGGAAAGAGGTTTAATTGACTCACAGTTCAGCATGGCTGGAAAGGCCTCAGGAAATTTACAGTCATGGCCGAAGGCAAAGGGGAAGAAGGCACCTTCTTCACAAGGCAGCAGGAAGGAGAAATGCCAAGCGAAGTGGGAGGAGCCCCTTATAAAACCATCAGATCTGTGAGAACTCACTCACTATGGCGAGAACAGCGAGAACAGAGAACAGCGTGGGGGAAACAGCCTCCATGATTCAATTACCTTCACCTGGTCTCTCCCTTGACACGTGGGGATTATGGGGATTACAATTTAAGATGAGATTTGGGCGGGGACACAAAGCCTAACCATATCAATAAGTAACTACCTTTCTCCCTAATTTAACATCAAATTTAATATATTTTTTAGAAAAAGAGCCACATTGCAAGTCACAGACATTTAAAAAAAACACAGCTGAGGTGATAAGGTTCAATCTAGCCTCAGGAAAACTACAGAGCAATCACTGCTCCAAAAGGAGCAGAAACAAAGAAGCAGAGTTTCGGTTTACAACTGGCGACAGTACTGAGAAAGTTCCCAGGACTAAGGAGCACAACTCTCCAGGTTTATTATGCTCTGGGCACAGTATATGTTTCTCCTCTTTCGAATTCATTTCAAGATTCTCCAGGGCCGGGTGCAGTGGCTTACGCCTGTAATCCCAGCAGTTTAGGAGGCTGAGGCAGGTAGACTGCTTGAGCCCAGGAGTTTGAGACCAGCCTGGGCAACATGGTGAAACCCTATCTCTACCAAAAATACAAAAATTAGCCAGGCAGGCGTGGTGGCGCATGCCTGTGGTCCCAGCTATTCAGTAGGCTGAGGTAGGAGGATCACTTGAGCCAGGGAGGTCAAGGCTGCAGTGAGCAGAGATCATGCCACTGCACTCCAGCCTGCGTGACAGAGTGAGACCCTGTCTCAAAAAAAAAAAAAACAAAAAAGAAAAAAAAAAGAAAAAGAAAAAAGACAAAGAAAGGAAAAGGACTCTCCATTTCTTAAGCTAAATGCCTAATGCTTTTGTAGTAATCCAAGCCATTGTGCCATTAAATTTCCTTAGGCAACAGCTTTTGTAAATATATCCTACATAGTTTACAGCTCTCTGGTCTAATTTATGCAAGTTCTGCTTCTAAAGGTCATTTAGCATGTTTCCTTCTTCTGTTTTGTCCCCCACAAAAAAATTAACCCACATTCTAGATATAAAAAGTGTTCATTTTAAAATATGAAAGTGTTAATTTTAAAAATAAAATGGAAATTTTATTTTTAAATGTACTTTATGTCTTTCATTCTTAAATATCTAATTGCCATGGCTCTGCTTTACCTATCCAATGCTTATTTCCTAAAAATGATTATTAGAATCTTCTTAATGTAATATTCTGTTATACCTAGAGGGAAAAGTAAATGAAAGAAAGCCAAGAATTAAAACTTTGCAGGTGCTAAAGTTCTCTCTCTCTCTCTCTCTCTCTCTGTGTATGTGTGTGTGTGTAATTTTTTTTCTAGCTTTTCACTGAGTATGGCAGACTGGCAATGGAGGAAACATTCCTGAAGCCATTTCAGGTGAGCGAGTGTTAAATGATGGTAAATTCTTACTAGATTTTCCTGAAGACTGTAACCAGGTATATTAATTAGGGTCATGTTTCCTTCTCTTTTTATTTCATTGAGAAACCATTTTTGAACTATTTTATGCTATTTGATGCAATATAGAATGAGATGGAAATGAGGAAATCGAATTTTTAAGAATTATTTTTTAAAAAAGAGATGTGGAAATGAAAGATGAATTAGGCATTCTGGTTCCAGGCAAAATGTCAGCTTTTTTTTTTTCCTGAACTCAAAGTGACTCTCAAAGTGCTGGGATTACAGGTGTGAGCCCCTGGGCCCAGCCTCATTTATGTACAAAAATTAAACATCCAGCCATATCTTATGAGATGTATTAAACATAAGAATGTGTTCATTTGAAAATAAAAGGATGGAAAAAGATAGATCAGGCACATACTAAGTGAAGGAAAACAAGTGTCTATATTTTTGTGAGACTTCAAGTCTATAAGAATTATTTAGAATAGAGAAGTTCATAATAATAAAAGGTTATTTCACCAGGAAAATACAAGAATTCTAGTCAGGCATGGTAGCACATTCCTGTAATCCCAGCTACTCGGATAGCTGTGGTGGGAGGATCACTTGACCCCAAGAGTTTGAGTCCAGCCTGGGCAACATAGTGAGAGATGGTGTCTCTTAAAAAAAAAAAATTCTAAATTTGTATGACATATAGCCTCAAAATATATAAAGATCAATAGAACCATAAGAAGAAATAAGTAAATCCACTGAAACACAGCTCCTAACTATTGATAAGTCAAGTAAACAGAAAATGAGTAACAATACAGAAGATGTGAAACCTAGGGCTAACAAGCTTGCTTTATGGTACATGCATAGAATAGTGTAAGTAACAAAGAAAACACATTACTCTTAAGCATGCAAGGTGTATGTACAAAAGTTTACCACATATTAAGCCACAAAGCAGGTCTCCACAATTTTCGAAGGATTGAATTCATACTGACCTCATTCTGTCATCATAGGACAATTTAGTTAAAAGTTAGTAAGAAAGTGCTCATTTTAAAAAGCATATTTTGGAAATTTAAGCACACACTTCAAAAATAATTCATGGGTTAAGTTAAACTCATAATAGTTATATGAAAATACTGCAAATTGAGTGCTTGAAAGAAAACACACATATTGAACATTAAATGCTATCATGAAAATGGTACTTAGAGGGAAAAAAATATAGCCATAAAAGTTTTATATTAGAGAAGAAGAAAGGCAGAAAATTAGTGATAAGTACAAATTAAGAAGAAAAAGTAGGCTGGGCACATTGGCTCACACCTGTAATCCCAGCACTTTGGGAGGCTAAGGTGGGTGGATTGCTTGAGGTCAGGAGTTCAAGACCAGCCTGACCAATATGGTGAAACCCCGTCTCTACTAAAAATACAAAAATTAGCTGGGCATGGTGGCGGGCACCTGTAATTCCAGCTACTCCGGAGGCTGAGACAGGAGAATCACTTGAACCTGGGAGTGGAGGTTGCAGTGAGCCAAGATTGCACCATTGCACTCTAGCCTGGGCGACAGAGCAAGACTCTGTCTCAAAAAAACAAACAAAAAAAAAAAAAGAAAAAAGAAAAAAGAATAACAGACAAAACCTAATGAAAATAAGAAAGAACATTTATAAAAGCTATATGTCTCAGGATGGATCAATTTTAAAAACATAATGTGGATTGGAAAAAAGCTAGTTGCCAAAGACTATTTACAGTAGGATAGCATTTTTTATAAAGGTCCAAAATGAGCAAAACTAAACAATATGTTAAGAATATAAACACGTGTGATAAAACTATTTAAAAAGCAAAATTAAAGTAGTATTTACTACCGGAGAGGAGAAATGGGGATGTATCAGGAAGGGACACACAGGAAGCTTCAATGTTATTGGCATTTTCAATTATTTAAGCAGGTTTGTGGGTTCACAAGTATTTATTTTATTAATCTGCTTAATAGCATATATATATATGTTACATGCATTCTTTTGTAGGTATCATATTATGTGATAACATTTTTAAATTTTAAAAGGTCAATAGTGTTTATTTTTTTTCTTTTTGAGACGGAGTCTCACTCTGTCGCCCAGGCTGGAGTGCAGTGGTGCGATCTCGGCTCACTGCAAGCTCCACCTCTGGGATTCACGCCATTCTCCTGCCTCAGCCTCCCGAGTAGCTGAGACTACAGGTGCCCGCCACCACACCCAGCTAATTTTTTTGTGTTTTTAGTAGAGACAGGGTTTCACCATGTTAACCAGGATGGTCTTGATCTCCTGACCTCATGATCCATCCGTCTCGGCCTCCCAAAGTGCTGGGATTACAGGCGTGAGCCACCGCACCCGGCCAATAGCGTTTCTTAAAACCAGCAATTACAGCTAGCAAATATAAGTTTTAAAATATATATACCATTCACAATAGCAAAACAAAACAAAAATCTTTAGTAATTAGCCACCAAAATATAAAGACCTTTCTGGAGAAAAATTCAAAGGTCTATTAAAGACCATAGAGAAAAAATTGTATAAACCAAAGAGATATAATATGATCACAGATGGTATGATTTAATGTTGTGGAGAATTTCATTCTCAACAAATTAGTCAAACTCAGTGCAATTATAATTGAAATTACAATAGGATTTTTGTATATTTTCTACAACTCATATGGAAGAATTAAGTCTTGTTTTGATTTAAGAGTCAGGTTATTTTATTTTTATTTTTATTTTTTTTTGAGACGGAGTCTTGCTCTTGTTGTCCGGGATGGAATGCATGCAATGTCATGATCTCGGCTCACTACAACCTCTGCCTCCCGGGTTCAAGCGATTCTCCTGCTTCAGCCTCCCAAGTAGCTGGGATTACAGGTGCCCGCCATCATGCCCAGCTAATTTTGTTGTGCTTTTAGTAGAGATGGGGTTTCACCATGTTAGCCAGGATGGTCTCGAACTCCTGACCTCAGGTTATCTGCCCGCCTCGGCCTCCGAAAGTGCTGGGATTACAGGTGTGAGCCACTGTGCCCGGCCTTAAGTCAGTTTTTAAGAAGACGATCTGAATTAGAGGGCTCAATACACACTAAAAAGCCATAGCAATGAAAATGGTGAGGTCCTACACAGATACAAGAGCAAAGCTCAGTGGAACTAAACAGTTTAAATACACTCATATATATATGGGAGCCTGGTAGTCAATAGAGGTGGCATCATAAACTGGTGGGAAATAAATGGGTTAATAGTTGGGTTTGGAAAAACAAGTTCACTATTTGAAGAAAGAGCTGGATTTTTACTAAATACTGTAATAGAAGTAATCTCCAGATGGATCAAAGAACTAAATATGCAAGTTAAAACTATAAAGCTAATAGAAGAAAGTGCTGGAGAATATTTTTCTGAACTGAGGTGAAGAAACATTTATTAGACCCTCTAAAATAAACCATGTAGTAAAAAATTGATGCATATTACTACATCAAAATTAAGTATTTGTATTTATCAAATGACTTTATAATCAAAATGAACAGATTGGTAGAAGACATTGACAATGTCAAAGTCAACAAAAGATTACTAAGCAGAACATACAGGAAACTTTTGCAAGTAACCAAAACCTGGTTCCCAATCAGAAAACAGGCAAAGAATATTAATAGACAAGTCACAGAAAGGAAACCTGAATGGCTAATACATTTTTGAAGGGATGTCAAGTCTCACTGATAATTAGATAAATATTAAAACAACAATGAAATACCACTTTACACTCATTAAATAGGCAAAAAGTAGAACATGGAGATAATACCAATGAAAGCTAGGATTTGGGAAAATGGGAACACTCAGGCCCTATTGTTGAAAGTGCAGATTGGAGCAGCCATTCCATGGAGCAGAGGAAATATATAAGGATATTTATTGATAGAGTAATAGTAGCAGGAATTTGGAGACAACTTAGGTGTCCATCACTAGCAGAACAGATACATAAAAATATGGGGAAAAGCATACTCTGGAATACTTTGCAACATCTAAAGGCAATGAACCAAAAGTGCATAGAGTAGCATGAATAGAGTGTTAAAATTTGTACAGAAGTAAGCAGAAAAAAGTGTGAGATTTATAACATGATACTATTTATGCATATTATAATATATATTAAAGTGAATGTGGGTGGGAATGAATAGTTGAGGAATGGGAGTGAGGATCTGGGAAAAATATGATGAAGTAAAGTAGCATGGAGAGATGATGTATGCTGTGATGAAGGGGTATGAATTCTCCTGAGGGCTCAGGAACCTGGTGTGGGGAGGAGGTGAGGTAGAATAAAACCAGCCTTGCTTGCAGTCTTCTATATGATTTACAATATGTACTAGACTCTGTTGTCTTTTTTTTTTTTTATCATTTGTTAGGTTGATCGTTGAAGTGCTATATGGTAATTAGGCTATTGTTTTGATTTTCTTCTCTAACTTGTTACTCAGAACCACTGGCAAACCAGAGTAGGGAACTCCATTGTAAATTACAGAAAGGGACTTTAGGTCTTACCAGCAGATGTCACTGCTCCTTACATTTTGCCAGAAACATTAAAACTGGAAAAGACCAATCAATGCTCCAATAAAACAGATGAGAGATAAAGATTGATAGAGTTGCGGCTTTTGGTTAAAAAAAAAAAAAAGAGTTGAAAACAAACAATGAAAAAAACTTTAAGAGATTACCCTAGTTAGTAAACTGTTGACATTATGAAATGTCAGTGACAAGAAAAAAGTTTTCGCTGACTGAGTCAACAATGACTCCTAAACATGTTTGGACTTGTAACTCTTAACTACCTGAAATTGAAATGCGAAGCTCATTAAGTAGTAAAGGTGGCATCCAAAGTTATTTTATAGTATTTTAGATTAAAGCAACCAAATCCAAAACAAAAAATACATTATAAAATCAAAAGATAAAATGCAAATACATTCAAATTTCAAAACATATATGAGTTAAATAATTCAAATTTCAGTTAGAAAAAGCATAGCAAAAAATTGCAAAGTAAAATAACTTCTAAATGAAATTTCGATTTAGCAATCTTTTTTAGCAGGTCACTTCTATCCTCTTCTCTCTGATAAGTTAACAGCTTTATTCATTTGGGTAAAAGTGTGGGGAAATTTTAAACATTGCCTGAGAAAGTAAGGTGAGGGATAATGAAATTTTAAAAATAATTTTATATTAAAATTAAACTAAGGCCAGGTGTGGTGGCTCATGCCTGCAATTCCAGTACTTTGGGAGGAGGAGGCAGGAAAATTGCTTGGAGACCAGAAGTTTGAGATGAGCCTGAGCAACATAGTGAGACTCTATCTCTACAAAAAGTGAAAGAAAAAAAATCCACAAAGAACTACAGCGCCTGTAGTCCCAGCTATTTGGAGCGGGGCTGAAGTGGGAGGATCACTTGAGCCCTGGCGTTTGAGGCTGCAGTGAGCTATGATTGCACCGCTGCACTCCAGCCTGGGCAACAGAGTGAGACCGTATCTCAAAAAATAAATAAATAGACAAAATTAATTTAAACAAATTTAAAATAGAAGAATTCTTAACTCTGAAATACAGTACAATTATGAATAATAAACAGACCTATAATAAACAACAAATATGAAGACAATTAGCTGGGAAAATGAATAGCTGAATTAACATATTAACTTGATTCTTTAAAAAAACAATTTATATCAAGCTGTAATCAAGCAAACAAAAATATGTTCGTGTATTTAAAAACCATGGTTTAAAAGAGAGAATTAAAAGCTAAATGAATTCAGTTTAAAAGCAATATTGAAGTGCAAGTGTAACCAGTGGTGTGCTGGCAAAATGTTTAAAACTGGTTGGGGAGGAGGGAGGAGGTGAGCCTGATATATATTATTTGCTAATTTTTATGGTGTAAATACTTTTACCATGGCCAATTTCAAGCTACCATGACGTCAACCAACTTGCAAAAATTCCTCAAAATTTAACAACTGTTTTTTGCAACCTCTAATGAGCCAGCTCTAAACTATGTAGCACGCCCAGGAAGTATAATTCACATTAAGACATAGTATAGAGTTCTCTAAGTGACATTAGTTATTTTCTCACCTGTTTTGCTCACTATGAGCATTTGAATTTAAAGTATAAAAATCTGGCAGGAGCTACTTTATTAACATATCTATCTATAAAATAACTAGGTTCTTTATATTAGCTTCTTTACCTTAGGACTTCCAGTTTTTGTTGAGAATGACAATATTTTTCCATTAATTTAAACATGGCTGTATGTAATAACTGTGCAAGTTTTATTTGAGTAATAACACCCAGTTTGCTCTAAGAACCTAGTGAAAATGTCTTGTCACGTGCGATAGATTTGTGTCTATATTGGTATGTTATGAGTTTTTCTTTCTTGGTCATTTAGACTTGCATGAGCCACACCTGGCCCCACATTGTTCTGTATTGGGATGATCACATCCTTGGGGCAGGATCCCTACGACTAATTCTGGATATTTTTGATGTTGTCAGACATTATTTGAAGTTCACTCTAAATGCAGGCTGCTTATCAACACCAAGCAAGGCTGTCTTCCTCTAATGCTCTGCTAAATGACCAGCCGCCAGTTACTTGTTTCCCCAGGAAAGGCTCATTTTCCACTTGTATGACTCTGAGGAGCTCTGTGTGTGTGCTTGTCACTCTTGTCCTCTCAGTTCTGCTGGGCTGTGGTGGTGGAGAGGGTTTCCACTCCGTCATGTGCTAACAACAGTAAGCTTGTTATGGGGTCTATGCTAAAAACAGATCCCCCTTACTAAGAAGACCCTGTATTATACCTTTAAATGTACCCTTTGGCAATAGCAGCCCAGGAGTTTACGATTTAATCACTTCATGCCTTCTAATTATGTAGGCTATGAAGAAATAGAAACATTCCCCATTTACTAAAGTGTATTATAGTCTCAAGATTCACTTGAGTTCGTGTTTTAGATGTCAATACATTTCTCAGTGGCATTTCGACATGGTGGGTCTGTTTCTAGTAGGCCGGTCTGCAAAATCCTGTTTAATCTACAGCAAATTTAAATAGTGGTCACGAAGTTCCTGAGCCTTGGTTCCTTTAAGGCAGAGTCCTGAATATATTTGATGATTTCTGGACCTTTTTGAGGCCCAGAGCCCTGAGGTAGTTGGGAATTTTAGCAGGATTTAGGCTGTATGGCTCACAGAGAAGAGATGGGGCTGCAGCATATCTGTAGCCTTGATGATTGATGCAGAAGCAGGTGTTTTAGGCACCTGGGTTAGAATCATTTCTGAGCCATGCCACAGTTCTGCTGAATTGGAATCCCTGTGTTTAGACCAGGGAATCTGCACTCTCTATGTCATTCTCAAGCACATATTTGAGGACAGATTTAGCCACTGGGCACACTCCAGCAGACAGCATCTATGGCAGAAGGTTCTGGTAGCAGAGAGATAGGGCACCATTTCTATGTACATTTCTGTGTACAGATAGTTAGTAGATTAAGGTTGGCCTGTAATAGGAAAGTAGGAAGCATAAACCCTAAAAAAAAACTTTCCTTCACACAAACTTGACTTCTCTTAGAAGGCTTATTTCTTTCTTGAGCATATATTTTAGGACTATTTACATTTATTATCTTCTCTTCCATGTCCTCAGTGTCAAGTACTTCACTTTCTGGAGTTAATTCAGCCCAGTTTTCACCTACAGCATGTTTATTAACCATTTTCATACACTTAAAAGCCCAGCAAGACCTTAGACCTTACACAGATATTCAAATTATCTTTGTGAGATAAAGGTAAAAACTCAATTCTTCACATTCCTTTCAGTGGAGATGTAATTATTAGTGAGCACATCAGTCTGTGCCAGTTTTAAGTTAAACTGAAGGTTGCTGAAAAATAATAGAAGGGGAAGCATATAATAATACTCTATTACATTAGGACAAGTACTGTTTCTCACCATTTCTTATTCAAATTGGGCCTACACAGGACAATTAGGAATTATTTTACTCTAGTTTGCTTAATTATGTTTGAGGACCCTTTATTCCCATGATTTGAGAATGTCCATTTGCACAAAAAATTCTTTGATAGTGATTTAAGCTACTTTGAAACAAAACATCTTTGGTCAAATATCTGTGATGATTATAACTGCCAAGTCATACCTGATAAATGCATGACCTCACTGAGAAAATGAAAGGCTGATGTCGGCCTGCTTGGGCTGAAAATTAAAGGAAATGATATGAAAAAAGACAGCTGAGGAAGTTATCTACCCTATCCCATGTTCTGTCGAGAGAGCAATTTAGGTGATCTGAGAGCTGTATGGATTAGAAGAAATGCTTATCTGGCTACATAGAACTAGGTCAGTGGTGTAGACTAGGATTCTCCCAATTTCTACATTTAGGTACCTGAAATGTCCAGAAGAGCAATAACAGCAATTTATTGCATGCTTATTTTGTGCCATGCACTGTGCTAAGCATTTTTCTTACATTATTCGAATTACTGATCATTACAGTTCTATAAAAAAACTAATGTTACCGCTCCTTCTTTATTCTCGTCTTTAATTTTTCTATCCAATGAGAAGTACTGAGGCTGAGAGTAGTTGAGAAACTTACTCTTGGTCACATATATCTTTAAATTGTAGAGCTGACCTCAACCTAGGCCACAGCTCAGAGCCCTTGCACTTAACTACCATCTTTTAGGGCTTCTCTTTGCTATCTTAATCTGAGCCACTTATTAAGCTGTATTTTATTGTCTTACATTTTAATGTGCCTATCCCCTCTCATTAATTAAATTATACATGACTTATGAGCAAGAACTTTGTCATTTACTTTTTGAAGTCTAGCGCACCTACCATGCTGTTCATAAAGCATGTGTACGATAAATGTTCACTAAGGGGGTAGTATATACATATTTGGGATTGTAAATAGTTTGCATATACAACTCGAAATTGGAAGACCTGGATTCAAGATCTGGAGCAAGTATTAGATATCCAGTATTGTCTCTTTATACTTTTAAGGTAAGAACTATATCCTTTATACTTTTAAGGTAAGAACTATATCCAAACAATATTAAGTCATAAGTTGACGTGAGAGTGTCCAAAATATTTATACTGGGCATGGCCCCTTCTTGAACTGGAGAAACACAATTATGAAATTCTCCTTCAATGGGTAAGGGTATAGAGTTGCTGCATTGAAAGTGTCACACTGATGGGTGGTTAATACAAAAAGAAAATACCATATTTCGTTAGTTAAGACTAACAGAAAAATGTTGGGTGTTTTCAGTTAGCAATAGTGATTGTACTGTATATGGTACCATCAAATTTAAAGGTGATCCTAGAGCATGGTCTGTAGATACTTCAAGTAATTAGATGAGGCTGTAACTGCTCTGAGGCAAGGAAGATAAGCCTTGGTTACTGGATCAAGCAATGGGCTACAAAAGGCACTGAGTCTTTGATGTTGTTGATTTAATACTTATCATGGATTTTCTTTTTAATAAAAAAGAAAGATTTATGATAATTTGGAAGGATTGATCTGCCCTCCTATTAGCTTGTCTCTAATTTTTCTGCCCATATCCTTGGAGAGTTTGTGCAAAGATTCTTCATTTTTTTTTTTGTAAATCATACGTATTATAGGTATTCTTAGCTGCTTTGGGACAGTGGTTCTTCCAGTGGATTTTCTGCCTGCAATATCCATAGACTTCCCTATCTATAGGTTCCTGATTCATAGAGAACAGAGGATATTTTGGTCTTGTTTTTATCTGAAGGACCACAAATTTGTCTTGATTTCTATTTTGCTAATTACCCAAGCCCTATGAAAAGTCAGTGATATACTAGAGATTTCTAAATTGACAATTTCTCATTCAACCTTTTTATTCTGAGTCTATATTTTATATCTGAGCCTCATATGTTTTTTCTTCAATATTCATATTTTATGTCTGAAAGTTTCCTGAAGTCAATTTTTAAAGTTTCCTGTTGATTCATCCCTATTTTATTTATAATTTAGAACCTTTGTCCAATTGATATTTAAGAGAAAGTCTTCCAAAATAGCCTTCTGTAATTTTTTTTATTTTTCTTGCCCCCTAAAGGCCACTAAATTGTTAAAATGTATTATCATTATGTTTTAATAAACAGCTGGATTATTTAAGTATTCTCCTGGTCTTTCTTATCCCACTGTTTTTAACCATTTTTTCCCACCTGAAGGTCTAACAATTAAGTGAACTAGTTGGAACAGAACTGATAGTTCAGGACAGTAAATATCTAACAAGTCTGCAACAGATTTTTTATCTTTCTGGGTTAAAAGAATTCCTTAACACTCAGCTCAAGACCAGGGTTTAAATTCAACTTCTGTAGAATAGCCTTCTGATCTAGCAGTTTTAAGTAGATTTGGGCAGTGTGCCCACTCCTTTCCTGTGAAAATTTCCGAGGAAAAAGTAGCTTGTTTAGAAGGTCAGGGGAAGGAGCAGAAGGAATTGAAGGGATGTATTGAGTGGTAAAAATAAAACTGAATGAAAAGAAATGCAAGGAGGGCAGGTTTCAGAAGGTTACAGTGTCAAATGTAGAGACTGCATTTTGGAGTCAGCATTTTATTTTGAGGCCTCAGTTTATTATTTGAAGCAGCTAACTAATGAGTGTTTGGTATTTGTCTCAATATTTAAAGAGCTCCTCTTAACTGTATTGTTTATTCTTACATGTCCAAAGTTCACCATAATGGCCACAGTTATTCTCATTTTTTAAAAGTATATTTACTATTATTGATACAAAAATTAGTGTTGTTTAATAGAAATAGGAAGCAGAAATTCTTCCAGGAGGAGCTTGCAGTTTTGATATAAACCTGTAACATAAAAGTTAATCAATAGTATGTGCTCATGAAAAGTGTTTTGGGTTCTTTAAGCAAGCAGAGGCTAGGACAGAGTTGTATGATCAATAATCTGACAATTACTGATTTTGTATTATGTGCTATACAAAGTGACTCACGCATTGAAAAGACAGAGAGTGTCCTCTTGAAGGTTTTGTAGGGAACCTAAGGCAGAATTTGATTAATTACTTTTGCATAAATTGGTTGCCAGCCTACCAGACTTCCAACCATTAGTCTTTGGGGCAGTGTGAATGGGACTGAAGACTTCTTAGGCCTATGCTTCCATCTGTTCTTTATAGAGGACTTTAGTATTCATTCAGTGATACAAAACAATTCAAGACAAAACAAAAACACGTGAGACAAGACTTTGTACAAATTGTCAAATAAAAGAAAGCAAAGCAAGCAGCAAAAGAATAAGCAGGCTAATGGCAAAAATATTCACTGAATGGTGTGCCCCCAAACCAAAAGTTCTAAGAACTTTATACAAAAATTAGGTCTTATTATTTATCAAGTGAATGTACTTCCAACACTAAAATTTGAATTACTCTATGCAAACACTTAGGACTAATGACCCTATATAAAGACCTATATGGTTACAAAATCCTAGGATAACAAATTAATTTAGCAACAAGAGCTCAATGAAGCAAATCAGAACTCAGAGTGTTGTTGAGACAGATTCACCTGGAAGCAAATTGAAGGACAAATGGAATTTGGGAACAAGGCAGAAAGAGAATGCACCTGTAAGTCTAAGAGTCACAGAGGATGCTGCCAAGTGAAGGCATTCAAAAATGGTACAATGAGACGTCCAGAATTGGCAAAGGATAAGACCATCTCTCAAAATATGACTTAAAAAAACAAAGCTAAACTTATTGCTTAGTGAACTATAGAGCTCTGCTGGTGAGGCATAGTCTCATTGAGCAAAGCCAACTGATGACCACATGTAGGCGTCAGGGGCGTGTTTTGGAGTTTTGTGGGTTATGGAAGCAAGATGGGTTGACATCAGTCTGAGAATATGTCTTTTGTTAAATGTGTTGGGTGTAGAGGTGAAAACAGTAAGTTTTCTGGAGTGAGTCTTTGACTACTTGACTGACTTTTAAAGCAATGAGGCTCTCTGTTGGCTTTTTGTGTGGGTTGTTGATTGAAGTAAGTGTTCCTTACTTTGGGTTTAAAACCAGTTCTGGTGTTTACCTTTACCTGAAACTGAAATTAGAAACTGATTACATGTATTAAAAACCAGTTCAGATATTTACTGGCTGTATGGTTTTAGAACATGTAGTCTTTCCCGGTGAGTGTAGGAATAATTTCATATATTTATAATGGATGTGCACATAAATTTACTGTTATTTTTCAGATAACATTTGTTTCATATAAGCTTTTTATACTGACATAGTCAACTCATGTGTTGATATATTCTACATACTTATTAATAGCTATGTGTCATATTAATGCACCATAGTTTATATAGCTATTTCTCAATTGTTGAGCATTTGGATTTATTTCAGTTTTTCACTGTTACCAAGTCATGCTGTAATACTCCTTTTGAATAATTTCCTGAAAGATATAGTCTCCAAAGGGACGCTAATAAAATTTGTCATGATTTTAAAAAGTTAGATGATTATTTCATTTGTAAGCTAAGTATAGTATAGGTCCATCATTTGACCCAGTTGCCTGGCTGAATTTAATTTAAAAAAGTGTTTGTGGCTTCATATGTTTTTATCTGAGCAAATTAGGCTAATTTGTATTCTTGGTTTTTATCTCTACCTATATTCATACGTGAGCAAATCAAGATTCTGCAGTGTAGAAAAACTGATGGATTTTGACATAAAGACTGAATTTCATAGAAATCCATACATGATGAATGAAAAGCATATAAATTATCTAGGGAGGGGTGGGGGACAGTAGGAATTGCTCATCCCCATTCATGAGAACCAATTATTAAATATTCAGGAATTATATAAACCAGTTATTAAACCTTTAATAGCTTGGAATCAGCCATGATGGGTATATTTACACCACAGAAATTGGCAAATGCTACAAATCAAGGCTTTTGTTTTTTTGTCAGAGAGCCAGTTTATCAGCACATCACTGGATGAGAGCATCAGGCAGGAAACCTGGGAGTTGGAACGTTGCCATTAATTTCATGATTACTTTACATATTGCTAATTTTAAAAAATGAAACTTTATATTTGCTTCTATACCACACATGGTCCTCATTATTTTGAATTGGGAAGATGGCCAGTGAAAAAGACCAAGAAATGAGACTAAAGCTCCCAAGAAAAATGCAAAATACAGCCAAATCCACATACTTGGTTTCATTTATCCTGGTTCATGAACCTCTATTTTGAAAAAATTACTTCCCAGCTAACATCTATTTTCAAAATACATGTTTTAGCAAGAAATGTTCAAAATACAAATTATTATATTTTGACAAAAATTGTGGCAAAAATGGACATCTATTTAAAGTTAGCAGACTACTTAAAGAGGGTGGATGTGGGTATTTTTAATTCTTTTCTCTACAAGAATCCCTCCTCTCCCCCACAAGAATCTACAAAACAAAATAAGAGGGAGGAGAGGCTCCATCTTATGGGAGCAAGAAAGATCCATAATCGCACGCCACTTAGAAGTGACCCTGTTTAAGGAAAAAAGATGTGATTCAAGGATTTGACATCCAGCAAAACTGACTTTCAGGCATAAAGGGCCACAACTATTATCAACATGTAAAAATCCAAGGAATATTGTTCCCATGACCCTTAATGCAAAATCTACTAAAGAATGAATTTCAGATCAGCAAAGATGACATAAGGACTAGGAGTGATCATTAAATGTATATTTGTTTGCGGAACTTAGACTAAATGCGGGACAAAAGGGAGAGAACATCATATGTAATCTCTATTTTCTTTAAATAAATGAATGAATAGATAAACTAAAAAGTAGGAGAATGAGGAGAGCATGTGCCAAATTAAAAAAAAACTTTCATTAAGTAGTCATAGTAGTTGATGGTGGTATTGGTACTGCTACTCTGCGGCTGTTGTGTATGTATTAGAGCATTGAAAAAATGAGTAATTATGGGATATCATAATTCAACCATCCCTGATGCATTAAGAATCAAGATTCTTGATTCAAGATTCTTGGACAAGGAGATATGGATATAATATAGACATTCAGTGGAAACTCTATAGTCCTGAATTTGAATTGGGAATGTCAATATGAATTTATGAGGTATTTTATCATACACACACACCACACACAATTTTATTCTAGCTCTGCCCACTGAAAGGTCTAGAAACACTGACCAACGCAGCAGCACTTTGAGCATTATAATCTTGAAGAACCATATTCTACTAAAAGAAACCAGTGCTTCTTAGAAAAATGCCCGTTCTAGGTCTAAGGTAGGAAATGAACTTGGAACACCTTTGGGGGAAAGAAAACTGTTATAAAGTTATGTTAGTTATTTTTCTGGATTTTTTTTGTTCGTGATACTAGCCAGTTTTTTGAATTTGTAATTTATATTCCTCATTCTAAATAAATATTCACTTTCAAGCCTAATTCTGCATTCTTTTTCTTACAGAGGTTTTCCTCTGCCCCACTCTGCCCCACAGATTATGTAAGCTTCAGGCCCCATAAAACCTGGATTCACACCCGCCTCTCTACCACATACGCATAATGAGAGCCCCTTAAGAAGAAAATGAAACAAATGAGGAAACAATAAATGTAATAGAGGAAAAATATTTAAAGAGATGAGAGAAAAAACTTTTCTCGAATAAAACTTGAATCTTCATACTATTTCCCTAGGGAAAACTGATACATTCCAGTCAATATGAGAAAATACTTAGTAAAGTTATTGAACTTTTAAGAAGAAAGGATCCACACAGAGTTTTCCATAGCAATATTCCATGGAAAAAGACAGATGAATGATAATTGACAAGGTTTTGAAAGAATCACCCTAAGAATTTTTATATCCTGCCAATTTGTTAATTAACTATGAAAGCAACAGAAGATATGCTCAAGAATGTGAGTACTCAGGAAATACAGCAATCCTAATACTGCTTCTTGGAAAACCATATGGCAAAATTTGGCCCACTTTTATTTTATTCAAAATAAGAGCTCAGGTATGGAGAAGTTGACAGTGAAAGGATTTTTGATGTAGTGAATCCAATTAAATATAACACTAAAGCCAAACAACTTTGAATATTGTGAGTACAGAGCAGAGTGTAAATATTTTAAACGCTGACATTGTGAAATTGATAATTAAAAAATGAGAAAATGATTTATTCAACAAATCTGTATTAAGCACTGATTCTGTGCCAAGCACTGTACTAGGTGTTAAGGATACTATAATGATCAAGAAAGAGATTCAAGTTTTGCCTCTAGAAGGCTTACAGTCTATAAATAATGCACCATAACATTATGGTTTGGAGTTATCTATTTCTTTTTCCGTCTAGTTCCCCTTCTAGCAATAGAACTCCTCTCTCCAATTCCCTCTGGTTCAGGTGAACCTGATGACATTCACCCCTTACATACAGGTGACAGTTCAGACCATCCCATCCCTCTGACCACAGTGATTATTTCTGGACTGGGCATATGATCAAATTGGGCCCATTCCTGGAAATTTCCTGACATAGCTGTCTTGAAAAACTGACTTGCACTGGTGTTGCTAAGCTAGCAGGATGTGAATCTGGATCTCAGTGGTCATCTTGGCCGTCATGTAGAGAGGACTGTTCAGAGAGAGAAAGAGCCTTAATGTCACTTAAGTGTCCCAAATCCTTCTGAAATCCACCTACACCGCTGACCTTTCCAATTACAGAACCAATTATCTACTTTTTTGCTTAAACTTGTTGGAATTGGATTTCATTACTTACAACTGAAAGAAGTCCACCAACTTCTAGTGTTATAATAGGGGAAGTTCAGGATGATATGGGAACACATAGAAATAGTACATATATAAATTGTCTTGTAATTTCCATATGCATTTGTAGTATCTTTCAATGTTTATTACATTTTAAACATATTTACTCAAACTGCTTTTGGTTTTATTTCAAAGTTATGACATGTAAAACGTAGAAGGAAGGGAGGAGTGGTAAGAGGAAATCTGAGAATGCTGATTTTCTTATGGCAGGGAATTAAAGGTGAAACATATATTTAAAAAGCATGACTCCAAACCAATAAGTAAAGACAAAAGACCTGATCAGCCTCTTCACAAAAAAGAATAAACACAAAGGGCCAACAAACATATGACAATGTGCTTAATTTCATTAATCATCAGGGAAATGCATATTGAACACAATGGGCTAGGCTACTAAACCACACCCTCCAGAATGTTTAAAATTAAAAAGACAGAGAATATCAAGCATTGGTGAGGATGTGTAGCATCAGGAACCCTCTAAGACTGCTGGTAAGGTTATAAATTGGTACTTTGGAAAATGGACAATATCAACCAGTCCTGAACATGTGCACACTCTCTACCCAGTAATTCTGCTTTAGTTATAAACGCAAAAGAAAGAAGACACAGAAAGAAGAGCAGAAGACATATGAATGTTCATAGCAGCACTATTCATGCCAGCCAAGAACTAGAGACACTGAAATGCCCATCTACAGAATGAATTAATCATTATTCACATAATGGGAAATTGCGCAGTAATGACTATGAATTATGAACAATTATGCAATAATATAATTAATCTCACAAATATAATGTTGAGTGACAGAAGCTAGACCAAAAGAATATATCATGTATCATGTATGATTCCACTTACGCAAATTATAAAAACAGGCAAAACGAACTGATGCTGTTAAAAGTCAGGCACGTGGTTACCCTTGAGCAAGGGGTCATGACTGGAGGGTGGCAGGAGGAGGGGCTTATGGAGTGCTGGATATTCTCTGTTTCTTGATCTAGGTGCTAGTTACACAATGTGTTCAGTTTGTGAAAATTCATTAAGTTATATACTTAATGTGCAGTTTTCTGTATGTGGACTATATTCCATTCAAAGGTATAAAAAGTTAAACACATGACTCCCAGCTCAATGTTTTCCAAAATCTTTGTTCTTAATTTCAAGTGAATTTATTAGAACTTCTAATGGTAAAAAAATCATTTACTTGAAATTCAGCAGTATTTTAAATGTCATCTCATCTTCCTTTTAGTCAGTTAATTTCAAGTGCATTTTAATACTTTTTATTTAAAATGCCACATACAAAACAGTTCTACTTTTTATAAAACTGTTTTTCTCCTTTTTCTTTCTTTTAGCCCTCTTCCATTTGTGTATGTACCTAGGGAGACGACTGGATGATGTTCACCAAATGTTAACTATCGTTAAATCCAGGAGATGGGATGTGGGGTGCATTTTTAAATTTTCTCTCTGGACTCTGCTATCTAGTTTGAACTTTTTATGATGCGCATACATACATATCATTTCTATAAAAACATTAAAACAATTTCTTTATAAAAGAAAAGCTGATCTTATATCTTATGCCTGCATTCAGCCATACCTATCAGAAAGGAAGATTCCTAGGAACCTATTCTACACAAAATCTGATTATAGTGACATAGCTCCATTCAGGCAGTTTGGGAGTCATCTCTGTCATCTCTCAGTGGGGTGCGTTCATGCTGGCATTTTGTACACAGCCTTCTGTTCACATTTAATGGAAATATGTAGGATGATCTCATAGGGGAGAGACTGCCCAGACACTTTCAAAGGTTTTATGTTTGATTTTTAATTCAGCAATGTGGGAAAGAACGATATTCAAATGACAGTGATATTATAACTGGTTTCCATATAAAGCAAAGGGAGGCACCTTAAAGTCCTCATATCAATCCTTTCTTATTATTTTTTAGAGTCTGATATTTCTTGTTCGAGACTGGAGTTTCCCATACGAATTTTCATATGGAGCCGATGGTGGTGCCAAATTCTTGGAAAAACGCCTCAAGGTTTGTTAGATATTTAGGTGCATGAAATTTCACTAATAATCTGGAATTATTTCTGTTGGATCATTTGGTGAATAGATACTCAGTAGCCACTAGCCGCAATCTCATTTGTTATCGATATTAATGACACAGGTGAAGAATTCTTTGTATATATCTATAAAACAATAAGTTACTCCTAAAGATAAAACTTTTACTTTGAAGAATTAAATCACTTCAAGACTGACAGTGCAAATATCAAGATTCAGGTTTTAATAGAGGTTTCAAAGCCAGTGTAACAAATATCTAATTTTGAAATCCCTGGAGTCAATCTTAGAGCACAGAATGTAAAATTAGAAGACCTTCCACTTTCTGTGTCGTGCTGGTTCAATACTGTACAAATTGTTACACTGAGCAGATATCACCAAAAGTGCCTACTGGGAAATCAGGGGAGAAAGATCAAAATTTACAAAAATGTTCCTTGAAAATTGGGATCTCTGAACTTATTAGGTTTACAGTCATAAAAGTTTGTCTGTATTAAAAACTATCAAATATGTATTTACATAAAGTGGGAGGTGAGGGTGATTTAGCTTGTAAGTAAACACCCAACTATTCAGATTCCATTCTAGAATTTAAATGTACACTTACCAGGTGATAGGAGGCTGCCTTGAATATCTACTAAAAAGAAAGTAGAAATATCCTACTTTCTCTTTGTGGCTCCTACGAGTGCTTTGAATTAAAATTTGAATTTGTAGAAACTAGCCAGATTAAAACCCCACTAATTTGTATTAAAAAATGGGAAGGTCCATGTGAGTTAGCATAAGGGTAGACACTTGTTAATTAAAACTATGCCATGCGTTTTCTATACTTAGACACGGCTCTGTGTGGGCAAACCCACCCAAGACTTTCTTCTTTCTTTAGTAGCAGCCCTGTCGTGTCATTTTCATCATTGTGGGACCAAACAGACATAGCAAATATAAGATGCCACAGAATTCCTTTGCATAATTTGTGATGAAAGTAGTTTAAACTTCAGAATGATTTACTGCAGGTCTCAGGGAACCAGCATGAAGAACTACAGAACGTCAGAAAACACATCCATTCCTGTTTCACCAACATTTCCTGTTTTCTGCTACCTCATCCTGGCTTAAAAGTAGCTACCAATCCAAACTTTGATGGAAAATTGAAAGGTTTGTGTCTTTTAATGAATATGTTTGCATCACTTAGTCTGATTATAAAAATGTCATTTTATCTATTGGGCTTATGGCTGATAGTTTAGTTTATCCACTGATAGGAGGCTGATGATTAGAAATTGTCAGGAGAATAGGGCATCCTGGGCTGGTGCTCCTCCTTGGTGAACTGTGGGATTCTATGGGCGCTGGATGTATACACTGCCTGCAAAAATAGGCCGGATCCTGAGTTCACCCAGAAGGCAGTAACCCTCACCTTCTTATCTCTGTGCACTGAGAAGTGCTCCTTAATATTTTTAGGCTTAATTTTCCTTATCTACATGAAAAAGGAAAACAGATGTCTATAGTATTGGAATTCTGTATTAAGTTATGTAATTAGAGATTGAAAGAAATGCTCTTTAAAACTGCTCCTAAAGAATTTAATTATAAATTATTAAAAACTTCACTAAAAATGAAATCTTGTGTGGAAGAAGAAGAGGACCAGTGTCTTAAAAGAAAAGCACTAGAGTGTTTTTCAAATAGTGTATACTTATAGGATGTAATTATGTCTTTAATAGAGGACTGATTGTTACATGATTCCAAAGCAGCTTGACTTGTTAAACAAACAAACAAGAGCAGGAGGGGAGGTAGGAGTCTGAGGAAATGGAAGTTAATCTTTCCCAAAAGATATCCACCAGGTCTGTAGACATACGCTTTGTAGTTAGTACGACATTGTTCAAAGACATGACTTTTTAACTTGAAAGCGTAGTGTTGAATATGCCACTGAATTCAGACATTTGTTTAATTTACTGTGGCCTTTGTGCATCGTGCCAGGAGTGAGACAGTGGCATTACAAGCTTTTCAGCACAATTGTTGTCAGAGGGATTTAAAATTACTTTAAAGAAAGGACAATATAACTTGTATCCAGTTTTACAAAACTGGCAGATTTGAAAAGCAAATGAATTATTTTTGTCCCTGCACCCATGACATTTACTCTCAGATACCTTACATTTAACTTTGGCAGTTAGTACCATAAATACAATACCAAATTTCTCAATCATTAATCAGCATGGTGGTTATATACATTTTATCTTACTTTCATACCACAGACTAGATAGCAGTAAGCATATGGTACATATGGATGACAGGCTCCTATAATTTCACTGTCACACTTATGAATTCCAACCCACTAGTGGATGCAGAGATCTCAGTATTGTGCAATTACCTAATGGCTTTAATGTGTTTTGAATAAATTACATAAAGAAAGCCTTCTTACATAAAGAGAAAGCTTCTCTTTCTTCTCTGGAGTTGGGAGACATAAACAGGCAGAGGAGGGGTGCGCCTTCAACAACAGCCCTTTATTGGAACTAAAAATGATGGTGGCTTGTTCCATTACTGCAGTATACAGCTACAGCTCTTAGATTAACTGATACATTTTGCAATGAAAGAGCTCACGGAGAGAGTTTAAGACAAATCATGCAAATGCAGAATCCTACTTATTATTTTTATTTTTTATTTTTAGATACAGGGTCTCACTCTGTGGCCCAGGCTGGAGTGCAGTGGTGCGATCCTAGCTCACTGCAACCTTGAACTCCTGGGCTCCAGCCATCCTTTTGCCTTAGCCTCCCAAGTAGCTAGGACTAAAGGCACGCACCACCATGTGCAGCTAATTTATTTTTAAAATTCTTTGAAGAGATGAGGTCTTGCTATGTTTCCAGGGCTGGTCTCAAACTTCTGGGTTCAATCAATCCTCCTATCTTGACCTCCCAAAGTGCTGGGATTACAGGTGTGAGCCACTGCACCCAGGCAATTATTATTTTTTTAGAGATGGGGTCTTGCTCTGTCTATCAGGCTGGAGTGCAGCGGTGTGAACATAGCTCACTGCAGCCTTGAACTATTGAGCTCACACAATCCTCCTGCTTCAGCCTCCCAAATAGGACTACAGGAGTGTGCCACCATGCCCGGTTATTTATTTATTTATTTATTTATTTATTTATTTATTTATTTATTTATTTTGCAGAGATGGGGGTTTCACTATGCTGCCCAGGCTGGTCTTGAACTCCTGGCCTCAAGTGATAAATTACAGGCATGAGCCACCATACTTGGCCAGAATCTCACTTTTTAAGACATTTGTTCTCCATCAAATTGTATTCACTTCTATGCATATATTGACCTACACAATTGGTTTACAGTTAACTATAAGTTATGAGTTTACCAAAGTGCCTTGCCTAGGAAAAAGAGTAGTGAAAGGCAGCTTCAATTTCCATAAAAGTTCCATTTTAATGAGACTTTTATATCTTACAAGACTGCTGCTAAAGCCCTCTTTTGTGCAGAAATATCGTACTTTGCCTCCGTGTTTCTTTGGGCAGTTTTGAAAGTCTGCTATCTACATTATTTTTCTGTCCCACGCTGAATCTTACAATTTGGTGTGATTTCTATCCAGGATGTCTTGTCAGCTGACTGTGATGTTCTCCAGAGGGCTGGCATCTCACTGGTTGCCTCTAGTGAAGAAAAGTCTCCGAATAAACAATTATGCAAAAGTTGTTCTTTGATAATAGTTTCTCATATACTCTTTCACACACAGAAATAACTTTCTAGCTCATTATCAATAGTAACCATTGTTATAATAACTATTTGTTCATGGTCCCTCAAAGTATTGCAATTATTATTGTCTTACCTATTTCTAGTGTTATTAAAAACTGATAATAATATGATTAAATTTAACTACTGTTAATTTAAGAACTTCCCAAAAGGAAATGAAAAAGATTAAAGGTACTGAATCACATTCATTTATGCTTCATTCAACCAGCTTTTATTGGGTGCTTACTGAATACCTACCCTAGCACAGCAGATACAATTTTTTAAATAACAAGGAGTTATCCTTTTTTTTCTTTTGAGGTTGCTCTGCGTTATAGTACCATATGTAGAATGAGCAGGTAGCCACATTATAAGATGTGGAGCTGCTTCCTTAGCAGCTGCAGTTAGACTTGAGAATGCATAGTCAAATGCGTGTTTCCAATCACTTATCAGAATCAGGAAATCCTGAGAAAATATCTTCCTTTGTTAATTTATACAGCAATACTATACTAGTGCATCTGCCCTGTGGAGTTCTTATAAAGCATACATCGTATTCTCAATTATTGTGTCAGGTAACCACCACTTTGACCAAGCCCCTAAAGTCCTTGGAAGATTTTGCCCTTGTGGAAAAAATTACTGAAGAAAATTACTGAACATAATTCTGAATCAGCTATTCATATATATTAATTGACCACTTGCAAGGCCAAAGCTTATTAATGCCCCTCGGCAAATCGATTTGAACTGGTTTGCAGATTTTCTGGTTCATGTCTTTACTGTGTTCAACTAACATTAGCAAGAGCTCACCACCTACGTATGTTATGAATATATTGTTCTTATTTTCTGAATCCAAAATTGGAATACCTAGCATTGGTTCCAATGAGAACAAAGAGGGCTACTGCCATCTTCAGACACATTTTTAATCCAAATGTATGGTTAGATGCTGGTTACTTTAATGATAATTAATTACCACACTTGCTGGTGCATTAACACACAGTCGTATCTTATTCCATTCCAATTGTATAAGGAATGTTTGGGGGCAGAAATTTATATACAAGTTCTGAAAGTGATTTTAAAGTGGTTTTATAAGAAGAAAACTTTGTTTTATTCAGAAACTGAAGAATTCATACATTCTAGGTGTATAGTAATATTCTACTAAAGATGAAAAAACGTAAAATCATATAGCAAAAAAGAAACCTATTAGTGTCAGTGAATACAGATACATGGCAGGCAATAAAACACAAAACAGGAACGTGGTAACATAAATACAAATATCAGTATTGTAGTCCAGTGAATACTAGTAACTAAAAAGCAAACCACAATAATAAATCTATATATAGTACAAAGCAAAATTATCAGTGAAAATTGGTACAATGCAAACAGCAAAATAAGTGAATAAACTCCACTGCAAGTACCTGTAAATCACGGTCACTAGAATTTCAAAGTGGCACAAAACATGAAACAAAATAACTTGGAAAGATATCCAGCATCATGCTTGTGTGTGTTATAAAAGAAGTAAAGAAAACAAATTCTAACATAAAATAGTATTTCAATGTAGCCCCAATGTTATAACTGGGGCTATAATAAAGGGGAAAATGCAAACACAGTCTTAAGTTTTGAATCTTTAAGGCCTTCAAAATCACCAACCCCAAAGCCTGAAAACTCTAACTCTGCTAAAATTTAGATTTTTAAAAATTACAGGCAGTTACTGAATTTACTTAGAAATCAAGCAAGTCACTGGACAGATCTTGCTTTTTTACATAGTATGTGTATTTTTCCATATATATATAATGTATGTGTGTGTGTGTGTGTGTATATATATATATATTTTTTTTTCTTTCTTTGAGACAGGGTCTTGCTCTGTCGCACAGGCTGGAGTGCAGTGGCACAATCTTGGCTCACTGCAACCTCCGCTTCCTAGGTTCAAGCGATTCTCCTGCCTCAGCCTTCCGAGTAGCTGGGACTACAGGCATGTGCCACAATGTACAGCTAATTTTTTTTATTTTGAGACGGAGTCTCCCTCTGTCGCCCAAGCTGGAGTGCAGTGGCGTGATCTCAGCTCACTGCAACCTCTGCCTCCCGGGTTCAAGCGATTCCCCTGCCTCAGCCTCCAGAGTAGCTGGGACTACAGGCATATGCCACCCACGCCTGGCTAATTTTTTTTATTTTTATTTTTAGTAGAGGTGGGGTTTCACCGTGTTAGCCAGGATGGTGTCGATCTCCTGACCTCATGATCCACCCGCCTCAGCCTCCCAAAGTGCTGGGATTACAGGCGTAAGCCACTGCACCCAGCCGTGTACAGCTAATTTTTATATCTTAATACAGACAGGATTTCACCACGTTGGCCAGGCTGGTCTCAGACTCCTGACCTCAAATGATCCACCTGCCTCGGCCTCCCAAAGTGCCGGGATTACAGGTGGGAGCCACTGCACCCGGCCCCAATTTTTCCATATATTTGAAATAACAATTTAAGAAATTGTCCCTGTGTTCAGAAGACTTCTCTCGTGATCTGTTTTCTATATTACTTTGCTAAGTCTGTAATGTTAAGCTTTAACCTACTGCTACAGCTTGGGTTATGTGTAATCAATTATATCAAACATGACAACTACATACTCATACTACCTCTCATCTGCTTAAGTGGCCTTTTCTTGCTATTTTATTTTGTGTTGCTGAGTTCCACCACTAGAGGTAGCATCATTGTCACTATCTTTTTGAACTCTGCAGTCCAGTTACCACAGCTTACCCAGTTTTGTACAGTTCTTAGAAGGTGGGCACGCTATGCACGGAGCAATTTTTGGATACATTTTCTGGAGGGAATGCATTATAATAAGCCAGTAAAAATCTGGTCTCTTCCCCATTTATGAGCCTATATATATAAAACCACAAACAAGACTTAAAACATGAACTGGTTATGGCTGGGCACGGTGGCTCATGCCTGTAATCCCAGCACCTTGGGAGGCCGAGGCGGGAGGATCATGAGGTCAAGAGATCAAGACCATCCTGGCCAACATGGTGAAACCCCTCCTCTACTAAAAATACAAAAATTAGCTGGGCATAGTGGTGTGTGCCTGTAGTCCCAGCTACTCAGGAGGCTGAGGCAGGAGAATTGCTTGAACCCAGGAGGCAGAGGTTGCAGTGAGCTGAGATTGCACCACTGCACTCCAGCCTGGGCGACAGAGCAAGACTTCATTTCAAAACAAACAAACAAAAAAGCAAAAACAAAACTTGAACTGGTTATATGAATGGGCTACATACAAAGCATACATGTAAAATCAAGCAAGCTAACTTATAATATCAAGAAAGCTAACTTATAGGTGGAAGACAAGATACATATGAAACGGGAGTGGAAATTTGGGCAAGGAGAATCATTCACTGTGAGAAGAGCAGGTTTCAGGAGTCGCTTAAATGATGGGGAAGTGAGTGATGGCATTATCACTGGGGAGGAAATGGGGGAGATCAAAGGATGTTTTATTCTGTGGCATGGAGGACTGGGAAGGATTCCAAAAATAATAATGGATTTGCTTTTACTTGTAGAAATAGATGATGAATTCATCAAAAACTTGAAAATACTGATTCCTTGGCTACTTAGTCCCGAGAGCCTAGATATTAAAGAGATCAATGGGAATAAAATCACCTGCCGGGGTCTGGTGGAGTACTTCAAGGTATCACTCTCATTTCTAGAGCATTCGTGGGATAGATTTGACATATATTGGATCGTAATTCCTATAAACAAAAATTATAGACCCGATAATATGGGAGCAAAGGTACGAGGAATCTATAAAAAGGATTTTAAAAATCCTTTCTAAAAAGCTTTTTCAAAACCTTTCAGAAAGCTTACTTTCTGAAATTATTCTTTTGAGGAAACTACATATAGGTAACATTATTGTCCCCTTTTATCTTGAGGGAGCTGTATTTTGAAATATGAATGTAAGAGTTGGAAAAGTCTTTTGGGGGGATGGGGTGTTTCCCAGGGTCCATGGTCTATTCTGAATTTTACCTTCATAATTCTGAAGATTTTCCCCAAGGGGATACCTTCCTACTGAAGAAAATACTTCCCCATTTCTTACTCTCTGCACCAAGAGCCAATATGAAGTGGAATTATTTTAAATTTGCATTTACCTGTTTACCTTCCTTAGATAGCACTGAATACTTTTTACCAGCACTGAATACTTTTTACCAACCCGTATATATCCTGGAGAATTTCAGTTACCAACCCAATTGTGGACTGATGCTCCAAGGACTAAAATATCAATTTTTAAAATTCATGTTTTGTCATTTAATATGCTATCATATAGGTTCTGTGTGATCTGTTTACCTTCATGATTGTCAGCAATAAATGCCATGTTATTAATCTAAAATATGAATTTTTACTGCGTGTAACACTGTGGAGGTGCTTACAATTTGGTAGGAGATTCAGGACCTTCACAAGGGTCTGTTCCATAAAGCTTATGACATCAGCAGGGTACAGATTCCTGCGGGTAACTGAAAAGGGCGTTACTCCCGGCAGAGGGGTCTAAGAACATTTTAAAGGGAGTGGCATTGAGTTGAGCCTTTAAGAAGGGCCAGATTGGCAGACAGAGATGTTTGAAAAAGGCATTTCAGGAAAGGGAAACAACATGAACTAAGAAAAAAGGGAATTTAAGTATGAGAAAGATAAAATAGTTATAAGTTCCTGAAAATATTTTTTGAAATGTCAAGAACTTAGAATGCAATTTCATAGAATTAGAGGAAATATTGAATGGAATTGCTTGAACATGAATCTTTTTCTTTTTTTTTAGGCTTATATAAAGATCTATCAAGGTGAAGAATTACCACATCCCAAATCCATGTTACAGGTATTTATTAATGAGGAGGCATGTTTTAAGACACGTGACTAAGGCTAAGATTTCTGGCTGTCAGAAATAACCAAATAACAATATTAGACAGAATAATTTATTGGAAGATTATTTGCCTAATAACTTTACCTATTTATGTGTTCATCTAAACATGTTTCACATAAACATATTGCAGCCTCACTTGTGTTGAGACACAAACACTTTATACCAAAGGGTTTTCATTCTCTTTGCACTAAATTTGTTTAGAACAGTCTTCTATTATGATTTAGATTCACACATGTAACACACAGTAGAAAAGCAGGTGCAAGTTTTAAAAAACTAGTCTCCACAAACATTTTTTTAAAATGAGCCAGGCACGGTGGCATGTGCCTGTAGGACCAGCTACTCAGGAGGCTGAGGCAGGAGGATCACTTGAGCCCAGGAGTTTGAGTCCAGCCTGGGCAACATAGTGAGACCTCATATCTAAAAAATAAGTCAATAAATTTTGGCCGGGCGTGGTGGCTCATGCCTGTAATCCCAGCACTTTGGGAGGCCGAGGCGGGCAGACCACGAGGTCAAGAGATCGAGACCAGCCTAGCCAGCATGGTGAAACCCTGTCTCTACTAAAAATACAAAAATTAGCTGGGCGTGGTGGCGCAAGCCTGTAGTCCCAGCTACTTGGGAGGCTGAGGCAGGAGAATTGCTTGAACCCAGGAGATGGAGGTTGCAGTGAGCCGAGATCGCGCCACTGCACTCCAGCCTGGGCAACAGAGCAAGACTCAGTCTCAAAAAAAAATAAGAATAAAAAATAAATAAATAAATAAATTTTAAAAAGGGAGAAACTAGTTCCCTTATATATTTTTAAAATGTAAGTTCTTAATAGTTCCTTTTTGTTATCAGTGATACACTCTTCTGTCAGCAGCAGTCCTTAGATATATGTGTGTATTTTAGTATTTATAAAATGTACTATGTATTATTCCCCATGAGTTTGGGTTTATGATTTTTTTCTTCCCAGCATTTAATGGCAGGCTAAAAAATATTTTTTGAGAGGAAAACTCTTCCAAATGAAAATTCATTTTAGAAGTATTGTGTATTGAGTAAAAATCTGTTTATGCATTTTTGAAACTTTTGTACTACTTTTTAAAATGTAGTAGAAATATTATAACAGTTTTAAATTATTTTGAGGACTTTGGTTTCTTGCACATTTCTTGCACATGATGCTCTGAAATGTGAACTGCCTGTGGAAGTTTAATCAATATGAACTGCATTTTACATCATATTTTGTACTTTGTCCAAAGGCCACAGCAGAAGCTAACAATTTAGCAGCCGTGGCAACTGCCAAGGACACATACAACAAAAAAATGGAAGAGGTAAGAGTTAAATATTTTAAATTCTGTCTTAAACAAAACCAGTATCCTTCATGCAACTCATTCTCTTTTTTCTTCCATGTTACACTGTACACACATGCAATGAGGTGGCTTTGACTTTTTCCTCAGCCTGTATCACGTCTATTTATTATATTCCTGAAATATTTTTAAAAACATTGTGTGCACAATTTTGAAGGCATTTTAAATGAATTGCCTCTCTCTGTAATATATCCCTATTCACATATTTGGGGGGAGCGCCAGGTCTTTCCACTATTTATAAAATCTAGTAGCCAAAATAGCATGTGGTACCCTCGCCACTACACCTCCTTATATTCCACAATTTTGGTATTTCTCTTAAAGATTAAACCTTTTAGGAAAAAAAAAACAAAAACCCTAAGGGCCATTATTTCTATTTATTACATTTCCTCATTTTAATACTCCAAATTAGGATGGATCTAATAATTATTGTGTATATGTACTACTGTGATAGATATTATTTTCTCTTGAAAATGTTATGAAATTAGGCTGGGTGCGGTGGCTCATGCCTGTAATCCCAGCACTTTGGGAGGCCGAGGCAGGTGGATTGCCTGAGGTCAGGAGTTCGAGACCAGTCTGGCCAACATGGTGAAACCCTCTCTCTACTAAAATAACAAAAAAAAATTAGCCAGGCCTGATGGCACGCACCTGTAATCCCAGCTACTTGGGAGGCTGAAGCAGGGTAATTGCTTGAAACAGGGAAGTGGAGGTTGCAGTGAGCTGAGATTGTGCCACTGCACTCCAGCCTGGGCAACAGAGCAAGAATCTGTCTCAAAAAACAAAATGTTATGAAATTAAAATTGCGTTCAAATTGAAGTCTTAGAATGAAGGAAAATGTAGTATATGGAGTGGCATTATTTATAAGGACAATCAGAATGAAAGAATTCTCGATATAATTAAATCTCAAATGCAGGCATACATACCTCATTTTATTGAGCCTCACTTTCTTGCACTTTTTACAAATTGAAGTTTGGTGGCAACCCTATGTGAAGCAAGTCTATTGACGCCCTTTCTCCAACAGCAAGTGCTCACTTCATGCCTGTGTCACATTTTGGTAATTCTCACAATTTTTCAAACTTTTTCATTATTATTATATCTGTTATGGCAACCTGTGATCAGTGAGTGCTGATGTTACTATTGTAATTGTTTCAGAGTGCCATTAACTGTGCTGTTATAAGATGGTGAACTTAATCGATAAATGTGTTTTCTGACTGCTCCATCAACCAGCAGTTCCCCCATCCCTCCCTCTCTGCAGTCCTTTCTTTTACCTGAGGCACAACAATATTGAAAATAGGCCAATTAATAACCCCACAATGGCCTTTAAGTGTTGAAGTTCAAAGAGACACATCTCTCACTTTAAATCAAAAGCTAGAAATGACTAAGCTTAGTGAGGAAGGCATATGAAAAGCTGACATAGGCCAAAAGCTAGGCCTTTGCACCAATTAGTTAGCCAGGCTGTTGGATGCAAAGGAAGAGTTCTTAAAGGAAATTAAAAATGCAACTCCAGGCTGGGCCCAGTGGCTTACACCTGTAATCCCAGCACTTTGGGAGGCTGAGGCAGGTGGATCACTTGAGGTCAGGAGTTTGAGACCAGCCTGGCCAACATGGTGAAACCCTGTCTCTACTAAAAATACAAAAATCAGCCAGGCATGGTGGCACATGCCCATAGTCCCAGTTACTTGGGAGGCCGAGGCAGGAGAATCGCTTGAACCCAGGAGGCAGAGGTTGCAATGAGCCAAGATCGCACCACTGCACTGCACTCCAGCCTGGGGGACTGAGTGAGGCTCTGTCTGAAAAAAAAAAGAAAAAAAGTGTTACTCCAGTGAACACACAGATTATAAAAAAGTGAAACAGCTTTTTTGCTGACACAGAGAAAGCTTTAGTTTGGATAGAAAATCAAAACAGCCACAACATGCCCTTAAGCCAAAGCCTAATCCAGAGCAAGGCCCTAACTCTGTTCAATTCTATGAATGCTGAAAGAGTTGGTAAAGATGCAGAAGAAAAGTTGGAAGCTAGCAGAGGTTTTTGGTTCATGAGGTTTAAGAAGCCATCTCCGTAACATAAAGTGCAAGGTGAAGCAGCAAATCTTGATGTAGAAGCTACAGCAAGTTATCCAGAAGATCTACCTGAGATCATTGATGAAGGTGGCCACGGTAAACAGAGATTTTCAATATGGATGAAATAGTCTTCTATTGGAAGATGCCATCCAGGACTTTCCCAGCTAGAGAGGAGAGGTCAATGCCTGGCTTCAAAGCTTGGAAGAACAGGCTGACTTTCTTGTAGCTGGTGACTTTAAGTCGAACCCAGTGTTCATTTACCATTCCCCAAATTCTAGGCACTTAAGAATCATGCTAGGCCGGGCACGATGGCTCACACCTGCACTTTGGGAGGCCCAACACTTTGGGAGGCCGAGGTGGGTGGATCACGAGGTCAGATAGAGACCACGGTAAAACCCCGTCTCTACTAAAAATACAAAAAATTAGCCGGGCGCAGAGGCGGGCACCTGTAGTCCCAGGTACTCAGGAGGCTGAGGCAGGAGAAGGGCGTGAACCCAAGAGGCAGAGTTTGCAATGAGTCGAGATCACACCACCAGCCTGGGTGACAGAGTGAGACCCGTCTCAAAAAAAAAAAAGAAAAAAAAAATCATGCTATACCTACTCGTTTGTGCGCTATTAATGGAAGAACAAAGCCTATGTAACAGTACAGCTGTTTACAGCATGGGTTACTGAATACTTTAAGCCCACTGTTCAGACCTACAAAGAAAGATTCCTTTCAAAATATTACTGCTCGTTGGCAATGACCTTATTCATCAAAGAGCGCTGATGGAGATGTATTTAAGGAAATTAATGTTTTCATGCCTGCTAACACAATATCCATTCTACAGCCCAGGATCAAGGAGTAATTTTGACTTTCAAAAGTTAATAAGAAATACATTTTGTAAGGCTATAGCTGCCATAGATAGTGATTCTTTTGATGGATCTGGGCAAAGTACATTGAAAACCTTCCAGGAGAAATTCACCATTCTGGATGCCATGAAGAGAATCTGTGGTTTATAGGAGGCAAAAATATCAACAAGAATGTGGAAAAAGTTGATACCAACCCTTCTGGATGACTTTGAGAGGGGTCCAAGACTTCAGTGGAGGAAGGAAGTGCATGTGTGGTGCAAACAGCAAGAGAACTTAAAAGTGGAGCCTGAAGATGTGACTCAATTTTGTATTCTCTTAACGGATAAGGAGTTGCTTCCTATGGATAAGCAAAGACAGTGGTTTCTGGAGATGGAATCTACTCCTAGCGAAGATGCTGTGAACAGTGTTGAAATGACAACAAAGGGTTTAGAATATTTTTTATTGGTACATAATAGATGTACATATTTTTGGAGTACATATGATAAATTGATACATCCATATAATGTGTAAAGATCAAATCAGGGAAAGTGTGGTATTTATCACCTTAATATTTCTTTATGCTAGGAACATTCGAATTATTCTCTTCTGGCCATTTTGAAATGTACAGTAGATTATTGCTAATTACAGTCACCCTACTGAGCTATTGAACACTGTCTTATTTCTTCTAACTGCTTTATTTGTACCCATTAATCAACCTCTCTTCATCCCCTTCCCCCTACTCTTTTCCTTTCCAGGGCTTTAAAATATGAAATAAAGTTAGTTGATAAAGCATTGGCAGGGTTAGAGAGGATTGACTCCAATTTTTAAAGAAGTTCTACTATGAGTAAAATGCTGTCAAATGGCATCCCAGGCTACAGAGAAATCTTTCATGAAAGGAAGTCTATCAATATGGCAAACTTTACTGTTGTCATATTTTAAGAAATTGCCACAGCCACCTCAACCTTCAGCAACACCACCCTAATCAGTCAGCAGCCATCGACATCGAGGCAAGAGCCTCCACCAGCAAAAAGATTGATGTGCTGAAGGCTCAGATGATCCTTAGCATTTTTTGCAATAAAGTGTTCTTAAATTATGTACATGGTTTTTAGATATGCTACTGCACACTTTACTAGACTGCTACATAATGTAAACATAACTTTTATATGAATTAGGAAATAAAAAAAATCATGTGACTTGCTTATTGCAGTGGTCTGGAACCAAACATGTATTATCTCTGAGGCATGCCTGTAACCAAAGTGAATGGTATGGTTAACTGAGATTACCCTTGTAACTTTTCAAAAAATTGAAAATGTTATTCAAGAACATTTAATATACTCCTAACTTAGTTTCTGGAAGAAAATACTCAATTGGCTCCATTCAAATAAAAATCAGTAAAACTGCTAAAGAATGTATTTCACAGTTTACTTTGAGAGCTTTATAGCATTGATCATTGTTTATTAAACCTCATTGGTTAACATGACTTCAGTGTAGTTAGATTTCCTAGAATTTGGATATACGTAGTTTTCTTAGATTTGGATTCATTCTGTGAATGAACTCAGTTTGCACTTCATGTTGTGTCACACGTCTTTTCATCTTGAAGGACTTGGATTAAGTGATAAATATTATTTTCCATGTCAAAAAGAGAAAAATTTAAAATGATTTTAAGCCACCTATAAAATACCAGTCCCATTTATAGTCATGCCTCGTGGATAGGGGGTGGAAAGATGTGGGCTGACAAAACATATATGCAGGCTCCTGATTATTAACGTATTCTAACAAACTCAACTAGCTAAGTGAAAAATTTTGATACAGTTGCCAATTTTACTCTGCATTGCATAAACAAATACTTCTCTATCTGATACAGATTTGTGGTGGTGACAAACCATTTCTGGCCCCAAATGACTTGCAGACCAAACACCTGCAACTTAAGGAAGAATCTGTGAAGCTATTCCGAGGGGTGAAGAAGATGGGTGGGGAAGAATTTAGCCGGCGTTACCTGCAGCAGTTGGAGAGTGAAATAGATGAACTTTACATCCAATATATCAAGCACAATGATAGCAAAAATATCTTCCATGCAGCTCGTACCCCAGCCACACTGTTTGTAGTCATCTTTATCACATATGTGATTGCTGGTGTGACTGGATTCATTGGTTTGGACATCATAGCTAGCCTATGCAATATGATAATGGGACTGACCCTTATCACCCTGTGCACTTGGGCATATATCCGGTACTCTGGAGAATACCGAGAGCTGGGAGCTGTAATAGACCAGGTGGCTGCAGCTCTGTGGGACCAGGTAAGAACACCTTTAATTCACAACTAAATTCAGCACACATTTGAATGTCATCCATGTGCCAGCCACTGCATTAGATGTTGGAAATACAGATCAACAGGAATTGGGCCCCAGTCATCAAGAATGTTATGACCTGCCCAGATACAAGCAACTAACTATATAATACTGTGTAAAATGTGAAGTCCTACACAACTATTTTCCAGTTAACATTTCAGCATTTAAAAAAATATACATCAGTTTAGTAGTATATATACTTTTTTTTCTTTTTTTGGGTAGGGGGGCAGTCTTGCTCTGTCATCTAGGCTGGAGTGCAGTGGCGTGATCTCAGCTCACTGCAACCTCCGCCTCCCAGGCTCAAGCAATTCTTGTGCCTCAGCCTCTCGAGTAGATGGGACTACAGGTGCATACCACCATCCCCAGCTAAGTTTTTGTATTTTTTGTAGAAACGGGGTTTCACCATGTTGGCCAGGCTGGTCTCAAACTCCTGACCTCAAGCAATCTGCGCGCCTCAGCCTTCCAAAGCGTTGGGATTATAGGCGTGAGCCACCCAGCCTACTTTTTATTATTCTAAAAATGTTATATCTATTAAAAGTTGTAAGAGACAACAGCTTTTATTTAGCTAATTATGACTTGTGTTAACATTATCTCATATTTACAACCTATGATTTGATTAGCATTAGCTTTGTTAGGAGCTATCTGAACCACTATCATAAGTTGTCATATCATTCTCTTTTTTAGTTAAAAACTTCCAAAAGCAGTATCAGATTACTTCAGATTGTCTCTGTACCTGTAGGCAGCAGGTAATAGCTACAATTCTTCCAGCATTAAGAACATACTTATGGCCAGGTGCGGTGGCTCACGCCTGTAATCTCAGCACTTTCCGAGGCCAAAGTGGGCGGATCATCTGAGGTCGGGAGTTTGAGACCAGCCTGGCCAACATGGAGAAACCCCGTCTCTACTAAAAATACAAAAATAGCCAGTCATAGTGGCGCATGCCTGTAATCCCAGCTACTCGGGAGGCTGAGGCAGGAGAATCGCTTGAACCCAGAAGGCGGAGGTTGCACTGAGCCGAGATGGCACCACAGCACTCCAGCCTGGGCAACAAGAGTGAAGCTCCATCTCCCAAAAAAAAAAAAAAAAACCCTACTTATATATACTTTATAACATAATTGTAACGTGCCTTTGAAGGATCTAGCTGAGATAAACTAGTGGTAGCACAATGGGAAATGAATGAAGTAAAAACTGGATCCTCTGAGCCACTTTCTGAAATAGTCCCTCAACCACAAAAGATTTAAGAGGGGTTGAGGTCAATGTCAAAACCCTCCTAGACTTATGTTATGCTAAAACCTATGAGGAATACAGAATTGAGTTCTTCAAAGATTCTGATAAAATATGTAATCTAAACTGAAAAATCTGCAGGAGTATCTGTTCTGAAATGCTCACAAATTAATATTGTAAGCAAAGTTGATTATAATGCTGTTAATAAAGCAGGATATATACTTTTCTTTTTTCTTTTTAATCTGCCTTTGCCACAGGGAAGTACAAATGAGGTAAGTTAAATTTTTTAAAATTCAGAGCTATGTATGTGTAAACATTATGATATTATTTTATAAACTGACTAAGCCATTAAAAGATGTCTTTATGTAGATTAGAACAATCTTTGGTGACTTCTAACATTTAAATTTGTAATTGTGAATTTTTAACATGGTCTTAAAATATTTAACTTTTTCTAGACATCATGTATGATTTGATCTACACACACACAAAAACTAAGAATTGAATATCATCAGTATTTGTTTCATGAATGTGTAGAAAACTTCAAAATTCTTAAGCTCTGAAATGGTGGACTCTGCTGTACTGCAGAGTAAAGCAAGCAGTTATGAAACCTGAGGAAATGTAACTACTGGAGGGTATTTATTTAAATGTAGCTACAACCTTTAGAAGTTGTTTTCAACTTTGGCTTTTGACTGACAGTAATACATACCACTTTAAGCAGGGCCCAGGCCAGTATGTATTCTTTCTTGGCAGACCTCAGGCCTGACCTGTAAATTAGTGTTCATTTCTCCTACCGCACATGTGCAACACTACATATCTCAGAAAAGACTCTAGGCATCCACGAAGGAATCATCTGTTACACTAAGAAAAATTACCACTCTGGAATCATTTAGGTCATTATCTTCAGGAAGCAAAGCTGATCTTGAACAACTATAGAGATAATTCTTTCCTCAGTTTCTACTGTGGCATATAATTGGATTATGTCCTCGAATCAAATACCATTTACTATTTACAAGTCAATAAGAAGTTATTTTATGCAAAATTCAGTAAGCAAGTTCATTAAAAAAGCAAAAGCAAATTTCAGCTTTGTAAATCAAAGCTTAAGAAAAAATATAAGAGAATTAGAATTAAATTGAATGCCTTAGAATCAGAATATAATGGAAAACAATACTATGTTGCACCAATATACATTCACAGATCTGAAGATGGTACCATACAGACGTAATGCCATAAGAAAATCAAGGCCAGGCGCGGTGGCTCACGCCTGTAATCCCAGCACTTTGGGAGACTGAGGTGGGCGGATCACGTTAGGTCAGGAGTTCGAGACCAGCCTGGCTAACATGGTGAGGCCCCATCTCTACTAAAAATACAAAAAATTAGCCAGGTGTGGTGGCAGGCACCTGTAGTCCCAGCCACTGGGGAGGCTGAGGCAAGAGAATAGCTTGAACCTGGGAGGAGGTTGCAGTGAGCCAAGATCGTGCCACCACTGCATTCCAGCCTGAGCGAGAGAGTGAGATTCCAACTCAAAAAGTAAAAAACAAAAACAAAAACAAAAAAAAACCAGATCCAAAGAAAGTAGGTATAGACTCACAAATGATAAAAATTAATGGAATTTCCTGGGAACAGATTACTATTTAAAGGATCTCAAGCTTTTATGCAGCTTTTAAAAATATTCAAAGACTCTTTACGAACTCCAGAACTAAATCAGACAAGTCATTTGTAACTGACTGTCAAGTATGTGAAAGTCAGAGGAGGGGATGAAATCTTAGACACTAGCTAACGGGGCCAGGAAACAAAGATATCTATGAACACTTATATAAAGCAATATACAATACACAGAGATTCCTATGATTCAAACATCATTAAAAACCCACAGAGAACAATAAGAGGTAGTTTTAAATGAGGAAAGCTTGCTGAGGTAATGTTTTTGAATAAGGTTTGTAAGATATTAGCTAAGTCACGGAAACAAGGCAAGAGCGTGTAAAGTGAAGGATCCTACTGTGCTGGGGGAAGGACACCATATGTGCTTAGCTGCATGACTGTATCAGTAAATGATGGAGAATAAAATTGGCCCCACTCAGGAAAACACTGGAAGCCCAGAAAGCAAGTAGCCTAGCTATGCATAATAGTTACTGCCAATCAGAAGTTATGAGGTCTTACAATTCATCTAAAACTGCTAATATTCACAATTTGAATTTTCAGCACACCCCTGGGGCAAAGTAGAAGCTCACTGCTCCAAGAGGTATGCAAGGTAAAAGGAAACACAGTTTGAGAATAAAACATTCACCACACAGGTCAACACACAAAAGTGTTAATGCACACATTGAGGAGTTGAAAATACTTTTGAATTTTAAGATAATAATTTATATATCGATTAAAAAAGATTTCAAATTCAACATGCTAAATTTTATACAGTACGATAAACTAAAAAGGAAAAAATTTTACATCTGTGTGTTTAATAAAATGTTTTATAATTTTGATGCTTTTATTCTAGGCTTTGTACAAGCTTTACAGTGCAGCAGCAACCCACAGACATCTGTATCATCAAGCTTTCCCTACACCAAAGTCGGAATCTACTGAACAATCAGAAAAGAAAAAAATGTAATGCAAATTTTAAGAAATACAGGTGCATGACCAATTGTCAATTAAATATTCAGTTTTATGTCTCCATGCAAACATTCAAAGTGCTTCCATCAGAACGGAGTAAAATACTAAACACCTCTGAAGACTGCAAACTGGATTAGTTCTTTTACTTCAGTGTTTAATAAGCAGATGTATGTATGCATGGTTATACTATTTTGTTAACATGTACAATTTCCTGATTTTTCTTCAAAAATGCTGTTATAAAGTATTTGTCTATTTATGATAACAGTACACGTGTTCTGCTTGAATTTACTAAATTCTACTACTGGGTTATAATTAAATCATGTGATATTCCACGTTTGGATATGCTCATTTAATTTCTACAGAAAAAATTTTAAATTATTTCACATTAGCCATTTGTTAAAACACAGCATCATAACTCAGCAGGCTGGATTTAATCTGTATCATCTTATATATATCACAATCTTATTTTTAAGCACATTTTAGAGTTCCTTAGTTGCTTTATCAAAAACCAGATATTGCTTTTACATGGTTTAATAGAATATAAACCTCTTGATAAAAAATGCACAAAAAATCACTTTGTATATGTGAGTTTCACTGCATTGTATATTTTTTCATTTGGTACACAAAGAATGTATTCTTCATAGGTTTATTCTTTTAATATGTGAACTATTATTAAAGTTTACTCTGGTTCCTAAGATTAAAAACAAATGCTTACTGAATTTGAAAATGAGAGGTGCTGATATAGAATGATGAAGGTTTATCTCTTTTTTTAGACTCAAGATGCATTTTATTTAATGTTGACATCAGTACAAACTTAAGTTTCTATTTTACAAAACATGCTAATTCCTTTAGGTAACTTCTAGTTCTTAATGACTAAAATCTCTAGTGGAGTTTCACTGAACAGACTTCTTAGAGGAAGAAGGAAAGTGTGTTAATGAAAAAAGTAATACTTATCTAGGAGGTCCAAAACAGAGAAACTTCTAAAGACTGTCACAGAAATGGCTACACCATAATTAAGTAGCGATATAAAGTAAGAAGTGACAGGAAAGAACAATTAAGATAGAGGAGTGTGGGAGTTCATAAGATATATATACTGACATCTTAGAAAAGTCTGATCACAAGTTCAGCAAATTATCTTTTCCCAGTGATAAAATTCCACTAGCCACACTTTCATTTTTCAATACCCCTTTTCATTACCCCTTTCAATTATATTGATTCCTTTGTCTATGGCCTTTTGAACAGAAAAATGAAATACAGCACTATGTCTAAAACATGGACTCAAAAACCACGCGCTTAGTTTCCACAAAAATATATTTAATAAGCTTGTTATATAAAATCAAACACTTAACATTGTCAACATTTCTTCAGTTATTCAAACTCACTGATATCTAACTGGGAGTAGTTTGTATTCTGGAAGACTTCCTAAGCTAAAAGTATATTTACATATTTACAACACATGTAAATATAACTGAAGAACTACTTCAAATAATGTTGAAATTCACAGAATTCTAGAGATTTATAGTTATAGTTTAGAAGTATCACCAATTTGTTTGCAATCAAATGTACAGCACTAATTATGAAAAATGTTTTAACTATTAAACCAAAAGGGGAGAAAAACTGGGAGGGAAATATATGGTGTTAAAGTCCTGTGATAAATACTTAGAAAATTAAAAAGTAATAATATACATTCGATTTAATGACCAAAAATTTTTTTTGAATCCCTGGTTGTCATTTTTGGTAGCTTAACCCAGTCTGTCAGAAGGCAGTATGCTATGCTGTCAGGAACTCTCCACTGCCTCGTCAGAGCCATGCTAAATGCAGTAACAGCACTGGCTGAAAATAAGGAAGATGATGTTAGCAACTTTGAGTTTCACGCACCTTCCCAATACAGGCTAAGTATTCCTGCTTATATGTATTCCTGAAAGATTAAAAGGCCCGTCACCCATTCATACCAAAAAATACTTTCTCAACATGCTTTAAAAGGATTCCTTATTTTGTTTTTATTTTTTTATTTTTTATTTTTTGAGACAAGGTCTGGCTCTCTCTCTCTCAGGCTGCAGTGCAAGTGGTGCGATCTTGACCCTGCAACCTCTGCCTCTTGGGCTCAAGCCATCCTCTGACCTCAGCCTCCCAAGTAGCTGGGACTAGAGGCACACACCATCATACCCGGCTAATTTTTTTGTATTTTTTGTAGAGATGGGGCTTCACCATGTTGCCCAGGCTGGTCTTAAACTCGTGGACTCAAGCGGTCCACCCACCTCGGCCTCCCAAAATGCTGGGATTACAGGAGTGAGCCACCACGCCCAGCTGGGTTCCTTACTTTGGAGAGGGGAGACAAACATACATCATATATAAATATTTATCACAATAAGGTTCCAAATCCTATTTTATATTTCAACTACATCATGGTAATATTTAAACCATCCCTTTCCAGACAATATTTCACACTACAGCGGTAAACTTTTTTTTTAAAAAAATACCGCAGATTCTTTTTTTTTTTTAAAGAAGGTACTACTGCTGTAAGAAGTTAACAAGTAATAATTTCCTATTTAACATCTGTTCATAATGACATTTCCGCTGCGTTTTTTTCCATCAAGAATACCAAAACAGTTTCCTAATATACAGTATTTGAAAGTGTTTGCCATATTGGCTCTTAAAATGATAGACTAATTTTTCTCATTCAATAAAAGAAAATTTCTAATAACAAAATACATGTAAAGTTAGAATTTTATAATTTCCACAAAGGAAGCAGCATTTATTAACCAGAGTACTTGTTTGCAATTTTTTATCTGTGAAAATATTTTAAAGCTCTTACAAAACTTAAATTTTTAAAAAATCAGCTCAAAAATTTTTTCCATGTTGTTGGGCATACCACTGCTGTCTCTGCTTTCGGTTTTCCAACTCTGTAAGAAGGGCTTGTCTGTATGCTTCATACATTTTAACAATCTGCTCCAATTCTTTCATGAAGAGCAACTTTAGCATTCCCTGGTATGTATCCAGGTCAGCCAGCTGGAAGAGTTCCCACTTCAGAATGTGGTCATATCTGTTTTAAAACACAATCATATATATGTTCACAACACATACATAAACATGTATTTCTAGCAAGAAACTAGTCTGTTTTTTAAAATGTCAACTTTATTTATAACTAAACAAACCATAAGTTTTAATTAAAAATAACTGGGCACAGTGGTGGCGCCTATTATAGTCCCAGCTACTTGGGAGGCTGAGGTGGGAGGCTGAGGTGGGAGGACTGCTTGTGCCCAAGAGTTTGAGGCCAGCCTGGGCAACATAGCAAGACCCTGTTTCTAAAAATAAATAAATCAGTTTTTTAAAAATCTGAGTTATTAACTGCTATTTACATATAATTCTTTGTTGGTTTGTTTTTTTGAGACAGAGTCTTGCTATGTCACCAGGCTGGAGTGCAGTGGCGTGATCTCAGCTCACTGCAACCTCCGCCTCCCGGGTTCAAGCAATTCTCCTGCCTCAGCCTCCCAAGTAGCTGGGATTACAGGCATGCGCCACCATGCCCAGCTACTTCTGTATTTTTAGTAGAGACAGAGTTTCACCATGTTGGCCAGGAGGTTCTCAATCTCCTGACCTCGTTATTCGCCCACCTCAGCCTCCCAAAGTGCTGGGATTAACTTTGGGAGCCACCGCGCCCGGCCTACATATAATTCTTCTAAGCAAAGGAGAAAACTGCTAATATTACTTCATTTCAATTTAAGTTAAAGAATACCTATTTCTTTAAATTACCCATTATTCTAATATTAACACCAGACAACCTTGAACACAGATTTCAAACTACAGTGGTTCTATAATTTCTGAAGAACATATTTTGTGCTACTTATAAGTTCATCAAAAGTTAACTGTCAGGAACTTAAGAATACTTTAGACCATATTGTGCTTGCAAATGATAATGCACAAAAATGGATGGTCATTTGCATCATTCATGTTGATGCATCTTTTTGAGGAATGCTATTCACAACAGCAAACAAGGAACCAAACAGAAGGAGAAATGAAGAGGAACCCTCAATTCGTGGCTCTAAGTATTCTTGAGGCTGAGTACACAGCATCTAAAAAAACAAACAGGAAAACTAAAGAAGGAAAGAATAAACTTTTTAAAATGAGAGAATGAGTAGACTATAGAAGGCTTCAGTGTGGTGAAGGATTCACAAAAGATTCTGTTTACATATATCATGGAAGACCATTAGTAGTCTTTCAGTGGTAAGTAGATCCCTGCTTAGCAGTAGTACCTTTAGTAGTCGGCTACATAGTTCCATTTCAGTATGTGATGAAGACAGCACTGTAATTAATATTCTCATTTTAAAGATGAAAAACACTAAAACCTAAAGAGGCTCTTTACCTCTTGCAAAAGTGCTTAGTGACTAAAAGTTCAAAAAGGAAGAGAACTATGGACCAAGATGCTTCAAAATAGTGGTTTTCAATGTTAATATCCACTAAGACTAGACAAAGAACTTGAATTAGGGAAACGCATGTTATACCCGAAATTATACCTCTCAAATCATACTGCAGAGCAGACATAATAGGAAGCTTTGATTGCAAACTCTAGCATTATTTTTAATGATCGTTTATAGTATTTCCTACCCAGTGGTTCTTTGATATTATACCATTTTCTTTCAAAAGGACTGTCTAATATTTTAAAATGAGATTTTAAAAAAGGGAGATAGAAAACATACCGAGCAGTTAGTGTGAGCCACTATACTTGGCATTTTGACATGTTTCTATTCAACTTGAGTATGTGTAACAGAAATGTCAGTAATACAACATGCAAAAACTGGAAGGTAAATATATTTAATTGGACTGCCAATTTCACTCAGTTACTTGAGAGCTGCAAATTTATTAATAGATTTAGATTTCTTTGGTAGGAAGCTCTGTTCTTTTTAATGGGAAACTCCAACCACTTGTGAACATAAATTAGAGTGATACTGTAAGAAATACTCAATGAGCCTCCATGAAGAAACAGTTATAAGGTATTTCTTAGAACATCCACCATTCTTGTAACTTAAGATTTTATGTGCTCCTTGGAAACAAATTCATAATTCCTAACAAAAAATCTTAATCTCCCAGAGTTAGCTAAGAGGCAATTCAGCAATGTCTACTAAGTCAAGATGGTTACCATTTATACCAGGTGAACTACAACAATGTTAAACTAATCTATCATCTGTGTACTTTCTAGCAAGGAAAACAAAGAACAAAAATAAGATGGTAAATATTATACTTATTTTTAAGACACGAATATCATTCTGTATAAGTATTCAAGTTTTGTCTAAAGGAAGAAAAAATCTTCAAACAATTTTGTCAGTTTTTTTTTTTTTTTTTTTTTTTTTAAGAGATGAAGATCTCCTATGTCTCCCAGGCTGAAGTGCAGTGGCTAATCACAAGCACAATGCCACTACTGATCGGCACAGTAGTATTAACCTGCTCCCTTTCCAACCTGGGCCAGTTCGCCCCTCCTTAGGCAACCTGGTGGTCCCTGCTCCTGGGAGGTCACCATACTGATGCCAAAGAGTACAGACATCCGACTGGCATAGTGCATCACAGCCCAGAACTCCTAAGCTCTAACAATCCTGACTCTGCCTCTCAAGTAGCTTGGATTACAGGTGCACCACCATGCCTGGCCAAGTTTCTGACTTGCCAATCAGCATTCAGCATCAAGAGTACGATTATGGGTAGAAGCAACAAAATCAGATTAGAGAAAATCCTTCTGGGGGAAGAAAGTGCACTCCAAGAAGGGCACAGATGTGAAAAAACTGCAAAGCATGGAATGGAAATCCTATTCCAAATTCTTTCCTCTGTTGCTTCTACATAGTTACTACCCTTCTGCCTATAATCACCTAAGTGTTCCTTCTTTTTCTGAAAAGTATAAACTCCCATTCTTTCCTTCTTAACTAGCCAAGAAATTTGCTTCCACAAGTTTAACTTTTAGTCATTTATACTGTATATACACAGGTAAATCATTCCGAAAATTGGGTGTAAAACACTCCAGTAGTCCATGCTTCTAGCATCTCTTTCACTCTGTTTTTCCTAGGGCAGTATTCTATTCAAATACTACTTATAAATAAGCCATATATACAAATGCCAGTTGCTATAATGCTACCAAAAATAACCTGTCCACACTGCATGCTGACTTCAAGATCAACAGTGCTGCTATCCTCAGCTCCAGGTATCACCATGTAGCCTAAGTCCCCTGCACCCACCCGCCATAACACTGTGTCCACTCCTCCCTCTTTTTCACCTGTATCCAGAGCAGGGTCAATGGTGACACTGCAGGACTGCCAAGCCACTGGAATAAAAAATACCCCTGCCACACACTGCTGAGGACTAGTGTTTTGGTGTGTGTGTGAGAAATAACAGAAAGTAAATATGTTCTTGACAATGTTTTTGCTGTCAAAGATTAAATTTTATTTTATTATATTTTATTTTGAGATGGAGTCTCGCTCTGTCACCCAGGCTGGAGTGCAATGGCGCAATCTTGGCTCACTGCAACCTCCGCCTCCCGGGTTCAAATGATTCTCCTGCCTCAGCCTCCCGAGTAGCTGGGACTACAGGCGCGTGCCACCATACCCAGCTAATTTTTTGTATTTTTAGTAGATACAGAGTTTCACTGTGTTAGCCAGGATGGTCTCGATCTCTCGACCTTGTGATCCACTCGCCTCAGCCTCCCAAAGGGCTGGGATTACAGGCATGAGCCGCCGCACCCGGCCTAACTTTTAAAATTTTATCCTATAGTTCAGCTTGAGTACAGTTATACCAAGCATTATAGACTTTTGTGAGCAGACACAGGAACATAACTTTACAAAAATTAAATACAAATTTAAAACACAGTCTGTTTCTAAATCAAGTTTTAGAAGTATATGCAAAAATTGTGTTGGTAAATTACTGTGAGAGATAGGATTAAAGAATTTCAGGATTAAAGAATTTCAGATTCTCAATTGTCTGAAAAACAAAAGGAAGAAACATGCAAATTTTTTTTGCAAAAATGTCTCTTTTTGTTGTGATAATTGATTCTCATTATCTAATTCATAGATAACCACTCACCCTTTGTTGATAGAATATTAACCATTTCCATCCTCTTCAGCAACATTAATTAGAATCAACTAGAAAGCAACAGGCTTCCAGACCTCTTGTTTAAGTTTTTAAGCAGTAAAGAAGTATAGTACTTGCTCCCTTTTTGTCAGTCTGGCCCATTTTGGAAGAATTACAACCTATTTGCTAGTTTCCTTGAGTTTTATAGTTAGCTCACAGAACCACAGAATTCAAAAAGACTATAATCTTCAGGAATCTGTTTCTTTCTGTAAGAAACCAGGAATTCCATTTAAGTACTATCTCTTCCCCCAAAAAGGAAAGATTATGCTATTTCTTATTAAACATGACTATAGAGTAGAAATAACATACAACAGAAAGAATAACTCTCCTCAACCATATCCACCCCCAGAAATACTAAGGTTAACAGTTAGGCACATATTCTTCCAGATTTAAGGAAAATAAAAACGCATACAGATATTATGTACTATTTAGAATCAGCATACAAACATACAGCTGTAGGTCAGGTGGTATCAAGGGACAAAGAAAAGAGGAAAATAGGAAAGAAAATGCCATCTGCTATCATTCCTTTTTCTGGCACTAGTAGGGGGGCAGTCAGGGTCTCTCATGCTCTGTCACCCAGGCTGGAGTGCAGTGGCACAAGCATAGCTCACTGCGGCCTCAAACTCCTGGGCTCAAGCAGTCCTCCCACCTTAGCCTCCCAAGTAGCTGAGATCACAGGCATACACCACAGCATGCTGCTAATTTTTAAATTTTTTATAGAGACAGAGTCCTGCTATGTTGCTCAGGCTGAACTTGAACTCCTCAGATCAAGCTATCCTCCCACCTCAGCCTCCCAAGTACTTGGGACTACAGACCATGCAAAAAGCCTGGCTAATTTTTAAAATTTTTCTGTGGAAATGGGGCTCTCGTTATGTTGCCTAGACTGGTCTCGAACTCCTGGACTTAAGAGATCCTCCTGCCTCAGCCTCCCGAAGTGCTGGGATTACAGGTGTGAGCCACTGTGCCAAGCCCAGGTCCTTACTTTTATCACAAGTACTGTATCACTTATTTACAAATTAATCTTCTCCTATGAGAATGTAAGTTTCTTACTTGTATCCCTAATAGCAGAGGCCCGCACACAAAGAAATGAAGATTCTATAAATGTCTGAAGAACTAATATTTCTAATTAATGATTTTCACACATTATAAACTATGACATCCTTTATTCAAGTCACGTATTACTTAGAAGCCGAATATTATTAAGAGTAAAATATGGCACACTACTTGGATCGAGCAGCCCAGAGACTCCATTCAGCCCTTCACTCACTCCTCAAACAAATTTGTGTTGTAAATGTACTTACTTCACAGGGGCTCGTGCGTAAACCTGAAGCCAGTCAGGAATTTCTGCAGTATGATATGGATTTGCAGGTACCAGAAGGGACTGATTTCTTTCAGTTTGCTGTGGCTGGTATGTGACAGGAGGTGGTTGATCATACCGAGGTACACTAAGAAGAAAGGAGTGACATTCTTTAGGATAAAGGTCTTAAAATCTAAACAAGAAATTATAAAGAACAAATAATACTTAAGCATTTTTCAGTGTGCCTTCTGTCCAAACTGACTTACACCACCTGAAAGGTAATGTATTTTTAAGATATTTCTTCTGGCTGGTATTTAGTCTTTTCAAAAACAGGTTCAAAGGAGGATATGAAAAAGCTGGAACTAAGTTTTAACCTTTATACAAAGGCTTAAAACTAGAATAGTAAATTCCCACAAGAAATAGTCATCAGCTGTAAATTCATATCAGAAAGGTTGACAGTTTCTAAGAAAGGATGTTTCCTTCCTCCCGTAGGCTGAAAATGGGGGTTAGGATATGTAGTGACGCAGCAGTGAGTATTGTGTTTGAAATATCTCTATCCAATGCAGATAACTTTTCAACTTTTACCAACTCAAGAGAACATATGGGAGTCAGAGTTGATCAGAACCTATTTTAAGTCACAGAGATTAAAAAAAAAAAAGACCATACTTTAGTTCTAATAGCCTGTGTATGCTGTGGGGAGTGGAGATATTATATGGGAAAGTGTAAGGAAAGCACTGAACCACCTGAAGGTTAATAGCTGAACTCGAAGCGGCCAAAAGGGTCTATTTGAGACCAAAAGGGGTCTGCACCTTCAAACATAAAGATTTATGTGTATATGTGGCCAACAAGCATATGAGAAAATGCTCAACATCACTGCTTATTAGAGAAATGCAAATCAAAAGCACAATGAAATAAATACCATTCCACATCAATCAGAATGGCTATTATTAAAAAGTCAAAAAATAACAGATGCTGGTATGGTTGCAAAGAAAAATGAATGCTTATACACTGCTGGTGGGAACATAAATTAGTTCAGTCACAGTGGAAAGCAGTTGGGAGACTTCTCAAAGAACTTAGAACTATCATTCAATCCAGCAGTCCCATTAATGGGACTATTTCTACAAAGGAATAGAAATCATTCTACCATAAAGAAACACGTGTGCACATGTTAATTGCAGCACTATTCACAATAGCAAAGATACGGTATCAACCTAAATGCCCATCAATGGTGGGCTGGATAAAGAAAATGTGGTATGCAGACACCATGGAATACTACCCAGCCATAAAAAAGAACAAGAGCATGTAGTCTGCAGCAACACTGATGGAACTGGAGGCCATTATCCTAAGTGAATTAATGCAGGAAGAGAAAACTAATACCACATGTTGATAGGTAGGAGCTAAACACTGAGTACACATGGACACAAAGAAGGGAACAATAAACATTGAGGCCTACTTGCGGGCAGAGGATGGGAGAAGCATGAGGATTGAAAACTACCTATCAGGGACCGGGCGTGATGGCTCACACCTGAGGTCGGGAGTTCGAGACCAGCCTGGCCAACATGCAGAAACCCCGTCTCTACTAAAAATACAAAACTTAACCAGGCTTCATGATGCATGCCTGTAATCCCAGCTACTTGGAAGGCTGAGGCAGGAGAATTGCTTGAACCTGGGAGGCGAAGGTTGAGGTGAGCTGAGATCGCGCCACTGCACTCCAGCCTTGGCAACAAAAGTGAAACTCCGTCTCAGAAAAAAAAAAAAAAAGAAAAGAAAAACTACCTATCAGACACTATGCTTATTACCCGGGTGATAATCTGTACCAAATCCCCAAGCCATGCAATTTACCCATGTAACAAACCTGCACATGTACCCCTGAACCTAAAATAAAAGTTAGGGAGAAAAAAAAGAAAATGTGGTGTATATATAACAATGGGGAGAAAAAAATGCATGTGTATATTAGAAAAGGTCACTGTTTACTAAACTGGGATTAAAATAAGGTTAGATTATGCTGTGGTTAACAATTTTAAAAGATCAATATGCAAATGGAACTGAATTCTATCTTCAACTCTTCTTTCCTAAATAGGTTCAAAGGAAAATGTTCTTTGATAGTACAACTGGGGGTGAAGAAGAATTGGGACTTTGAAGTCAGGTACGCCTGGATTTGAACCACAGCTTTAACACTTACAAACTATGTAAATGTAAGCAAAACTCCTCCTATCCCTAAGCCTCAGCCTCCATACTTGTAAAAGTGGAATAATAAATTCATACCACAGGTGGTTGTTCTCAGGATTAAATGACCTAATGTAAGTCAAGAATTTTGTATAAGGATTGGCCTAAGATAGACAACCAGACAACTAGTAATACTACATATGTGAGCTTAAGGGCAGCGTTTATTCTCTCTTGTTCAACTTCTACCAAGTTGCTGAGAGAAGTAAATTAACTAATTATGAAATTGCTTTTAAAAAACTATTAAAATTCTGTAATAACATAAGGTTAATGATGATTGTATTAGTCTATTTTCACAATGTTATAAAGAATTACCTGAAACTGGGTAATTTATAAAGAAAAGAGGTTTAATTGACCCACAGTTCCATAATTGGGAGGCCTCAGGAAACTTAAATCATGGCAGAAGATGAAGGGGAAGCAAGGCACATCTTACGTGGTGGCAGGAGAGAGAAAGAAGGGGGAACTGCCACACACTTTTAAACTATCAGATCTCATGAGAACTCACTACCAGAACAACATGGGGGAAATGGCCCCCATGATTCAATCACTTCCCACCAGGTCCCTCCCTTGATACATGGGGATTACGATTTGAGATGAGATTTGGGTGAGGACACAGAGCCAAACCATGTCAACGAACAGAAAAGTAAACTCTCAAATCTGGTTATCTGGACTGCAACAATCATTGCCACCTGATGACCACACCACAGGTTTGATTCTTTCAAAGGACAACAACCTCAGTAGTTGAATAAACACTGATTGGGTGCCACTACATGGAATCATGGGAAAAAACAGATTTTCAAAGTTGAATTAATAAATCCAAATACATAAAATAATTAAAACAACACAATAATGATAAAGCTTAGTTTTCCAGTTGATAATCCTAAAACACATTTTCATAACTATTTTAATGGTTCTAAGAAAATACAAATGTCCACTATAACCAAAAAACTGTATTATGCCAGATGACACTAAGCAACATTTATCAAAATGCAGATGATATTTTACTCATTTTTAATCTTGTGGCTCAGCTTTTGAAGCTCAAATGTGGTTAATTTGAAATATTTGCAACTTCATTACTAAACTAATACTAGCTTTTATGTACTTTGAAATCCAGTGTGTATTTACACTTACAGCACATCTCAATTTATATTAATCACATTCAAGGGCTCAACAGCCACACGTGACAACTGGCTATCAGGCAGCACAGGGCTAAAAGTCTGGCAACAAAGCAGATCTACCCAGCCCAGTATCAATCAAAACAGCACAAAGAATTACTGGCTATATTTATTAAACAGAAATGGGATGTTTTGTTCAGTCCCAATTTTCACTTTCTTGTCTAGTAATAGCAAGAAACAGAACATACAATCATGTCTGAAATAGAATAAACAGCAAAATGTTATAATTCAATTGTACATTCTGACTTAGGGGGTAGGTCTGTTATTATTTGTAAAAATTTAAGTGTAAGAAGGCAGAAGCTTTAATTATTTAATTTTCTGGACACCTATAACAAAAACATTCTGGCATTACTACAGCAGAATCTGATCATAAGAACAATGATCTTGTTTTTGAGGTTTTTTTAAAGAGAAAAGTATTTTTTTAACTTATTAAAGTCATTTATTACTAAATGTATGTCCAGAGAAAAATGTAAATTTTGAAATATAAGGCTTTCAAATCTCAAGCTTTAGGATGCTATTCTCTTAGATGAAAATATCAGTTCAAAACCTAACATTAGACAATCCCGAAACAAAAAGTTGAAAATAAAGTTGATACTGTACCTAGGAGCACAGGGATGCCTGTATTGGGCCTTCTTATTTGTGTGATCTACATAATAGGTTCCAAATTCGGATGACTCAACTCGTTCCCATCCAGGAGGAAGTCCTTCTCGCTCAAGAGGATGGCTCCAGTGAGTTGTATTTGTGTTATGATCTATATAATATTTTCTCCCTCTCATTGTCCAGTCCACAGACCAGCCAGGAGGAAGGGGTAAATCTTCAGAACCATGGTTAGTCAAATTTCCTAAAGATGTAGCAGCAACTCTCCCAATACCTACGGGGAAAGAGAAAATGATAGAGAAGAAACAGAACAATTATTCAATGCAAAAAATGTGCCAGCTAGCAAAGTCACAACATTAACTATCCTGATTGTACTCTTCTATTTAAATTCATGATTATGCCCATTATGATGGTTTTCATAAAACTAGTCGGTATTACTATTAAGGAATTATAAAAAGGGGGAGGAACTAGACTTTGAAATTAGTAGAGGGTTTTTTGGCTGATGCTTCCATCAACAGGCCATACAAACACTTAACAACAGGTTGAGCATCCCTAATCCAAAAATCTGAAATTTGAAATGCTCCAAAATCCAAAACTTCGAGAGCTGACATGTTGCCACAAGCAGAAAATTCCACACCTGACCTTATGTGATGAGTCATAGTCAAAATTCAGTCAAAACTTTGTTTTATGCACAAAATTATTTAAAATATTATGTAAAATTACCTTCAGGCTATGTGTAGAAGGTATATATGAAATATAAATGAATTTCATGTTCAGATTTGGGATCTCTTCCCAAGATATCTTATTATGTACATACAAATATTCCAAAATAAAAAAAAAAATCCAAAATCTCAAACACTTCTGGTCCTAAGCATTTTGGGGTAAGGGATAATCAACCTGTGGCAGTAAAGCTACTTAAGTATGTATACTGCCAAAAGAAAAGTGGGAAAAAGAAAATTTCCCCTGATTAAAGATTTGACATTTCAGCTTTAAAAAAAATGTAAAAATGAACTTGTAAAACCATTCCCGGTTATAAATTCTTAAAAGTAATCTGGCTGTGCCCTAGAATTATTAAGTAAGCTTAAGGTAGCAGGGTTAAGGTCACCATACAAAAATTAATATTTATATATTAACAAACAACAACTGGAAACAAAAGTTATTGAGATAATATAATTTATAATAGCTCCAAAGAATTGTGCAGGACCAATATGCTAAAAACTACAAAACACTGATGAAAGAAATAAAAAACCTATCACATTAACGGATTGGAAGATTCGACATAAAGTTAAGATGTCAATTCTCCTGAAATTATCTTTATCTTTATAGGAGTCCCCCCCTTATCCATGGGGGATCCATTCCAAGACCTCCCGTAGATGCCTGAAACTGCAGATAGTACCTAACCCTGTGTATGCTGTGTATTTTCCTATACATACGTATCTATGATGAAGTTTAACTTATAAATTAGGCACAGTAAGGGATTAACAAAAATAAAATTGAACAATTATTATAATAAAAACTGGGTGAATGTAATCTCTCTCCCTCTCTCTTGAAAGATCTTGTACCATATTCATCAATTTTCAGACTGCAGTTGCAGAGGTAACTGAAACTGTGGAAAGCAAAACCATGGATAAAGCGAGACTACTGTCATTCCAATAAAAATTCCGGCCGAGCGCAGTGGCTCACGCCTGTAATCCGAGCACTTTGGGAGGCCAAGGTGAGCGGATCACCTGAGGTCCGGAGTTTGAGACCAGCCTGACCAACATGGTGAAACCCCGTCTCTATTAAAAACACAAAAATTAGCCGGGCGTGGTGGCGGACGCCTGTAATCCCAGCTACTCGGGAGGCTGAGGCAGGAGAATTGCTTGAACCCGAGAGCAGAGGTTGCAGTGAGCTGAGAACGCGCCATTACACTCCATCCTGGGCGACGAGAGTGAAACTCTGTCTCAAAAAAAAAAAAAAAAAAAAATTCCATGGAGTTTTTGTAGATACAGATAGTTATTAAACAGATTTTAAAATGTATACTGAAAGGCAAAAGAGAACTAGAGTAGCCAAAACAATTTTTTTGAAAAAGGGATAAAGTTGAAGGACTCACACTACCTGATTTTTAAGGCTTACTATAAAGCTACATTAATCAAGACAGTATGGTATTGTCAGAAGAACAGACAAATAGATAAATGGAACCAAACAGAGAATCCAGAAGAACACCCACACAGACATGGTCAACTGATTTTTTTATAAAGGTGAAAGGGCAATAGCGGGGAAAGGTTTTTCCAACAAATGATGTTGCAACAACTGGACATCCATATGCAAAAAACCTAATCACAACCTATACCTGCCACCTTACATACAAATTAACTAAAAATAGATCATATATCTAAATTTAAAACTATAACGCTTTTACAAGAAAAAAATAGAATAAATTTTCATGAGTTTAGTTTAGACAAAGAGTACTTTTTTTTACCATGATGCTGAAAGTTCAACTCATAAAGAAAAAATACTGATTAAATTGAACTCTGTCAAGATTAAAAACGCTTGTGAAGGACACTAAGAGAAAGAAAATCAAGCTGTAAACAGGGAGAAAATGTTTGCAAATCACATTATTAGCCAAAGAACTCTGACCTAGAATATACAAAGAATTCTCAAAACTCAACATTAAGAAAACAACCCTGAGCCTGCTGCAGTGACACGCACCTGTAGTTCAACCTACTCAGGAAGCTGAGTAGGAGGGTTACTTGAGCCCAAGATTTCAGGTCTGTAGCACACTATCATCATGCCTGTGAACAGCTACGGCACTCCGGTCTGTGCAACAGAGTGAAACCCCTTCTCTCAAAACAAAAACAGAAGAAGAAAACAAAACGACCCAGTTAAAAAAAAGGGGGGTAAGAATTTTTAACAGGCACTTCACCGAAGACAACATATTGATGGTAAATAGCACGTGAAAAAATGCTCAGGATCATAATTAGCCGTGAGAGAAATGCAAATTAAAACCATAATGAAATGACAATACACGTCTATGAAAATGGCCAAAAAACCAAACAAAACCTGACAATGCAAGTGCTTACATGGATACAGAACAATTGGAATGCCCATACACTGCTGGTGTGGATGCAAAATGCTACAGTCACTCTGGAGAACAGCTTAGCAATTTCTTATAAAGTTAAACATATGCTTTTCATATGCTACAGCAATCCCATTCCCAAATATTTACCCTAGAGAAATGAGAAGTCATCTTCACACAAAATCCCATTTGTGGATATTTACAATGACTGTATTCATATTTGCCCCAAAGTGGAAATGACACACATGTCCTTTAACAGAATGGATAAACAAACTGTGGTGCAACTGTACAGTGAAATCTACTCAGGAATAAAATGGAACTAATTATTGGTACATGCAAGAATCTCAAAGATGAATCTCAGAAGTATCATGCTGAGGGAAAGCAGCCAGTCTCAAGTGGCTACAAATTGTACAGTTCCATTTTTATGAGATTCTTCCAAACACAAAACTACTAGGACAGAAAACAGTGATTGCTAGGAACTGGAGGTGAGGGACAGGAGTTGACTATAAGAGGACAACCTAAGGGAATTTTAGAGGGTGTTTGAAATGTTCTGTATTCTCATTACACAGGCATTACATGAAATCTATACATATGTTAATACTCAGAACTGTGTAACTTGAAAAAAGTTAAATTTACTATACTTTTTAAAAGAATAATCTGGCTGCATAATTTTATTCTCACACAAGAATACTAATAGTTGGCCGGGTGCGGTGGCTCATGCCTGTAATCCCAGCACTTTGGGAGGCCGAGGCGGGCAGATCATGAGGTCAGGAGATCGAGACCATCCTGGCTAACACGGTGAAACCCCATCTCTACTAAAAATACAAAAATTAGCTGGGCGTGGTGGCGGGCGCCTGTAGTCCCAGCTACTTGGGAGGCTGAGACAGGAGAATGGCGTGAACCCGGGAGGCGGAGGTTGCAGTGAGCCGAGATTGCGCCACTGCACTCCAGCCTGGGCGACGGAGCAAGACTCCGTCTCAAAAAAAAAAAGAATACTAATAGCATATGTATAACAAATCACCCCGAAACTCAGTGGCTTAAAACAAGAAGTATTTATTTGGTTCACCACAGGTTGGTGATACTGGCTGAGCTCAGTAAGTTTTTTCCTTGATATTTGGTACAAGTTATCTTTACTGTCTCATTACTTGATGAAAGTTATCTCTTGTATAACTTTCAATATGAAGCCCTACTGATGATCAGACCTCCATTTCTTCTCTGACTTAAGCTGCTATTTTTTTTACCCTTAGCTCACTCTGTTCCAGCTACACTCACCTCCTGGATGCTGTTCTCAAACACGGCAGGTACTGGCTGTTTATTCTCCCTAGAAGATTCTTCCTTCAGATATTCTCTTGGCTCACTCTCACCCTCTTCAAGCCTCTTCTCAAATGTTTCAATGAAGCTTATTCTTACTATGGCAGTCTACATCTGCTGAGCTTCTACTTACCGTTTTACTTTTTTAAAAAGCACTTTAACCTTTTAACTTATGTAATTTTAGTTTGTTTATTTACCTACAAGAATCCCACAAAGAAGATTCTTAGGACAGGAATCTTTGTTTTGTTCACAGATACATCTCCAGTCTCTAGAACAGTGTCTACAGAATAAAGCACATAGTAAGTGTTAAATAAATAAGCTGCAGTAATAAAGACAGTGTAGTATTAGTGGAGGAGATACACACATCAATGAGACAGAAACTGCATAAATATTTTCCTTGATTTTTGGACTTATTTTGCCTCTTTCACTCCCATATTTTACTAGTTCTGAAACGAAGGTGTTTTTTATAATCAAGAGAGTAAATCTGTTAGCCACTAGGCAGCAAATACAGATGTATTATCATTGCTGGTGCATGTTCTAACACAGTCCTAGGAAGACAGTATGTGGTTCATACTATTATTAATCCTCATTATTTGTAACAGTTGCACCCCAGACAAAATTTTAACATAAATTTGAATCCCTGTGCCTGAAAGGTACAAGGATACAGCATTTAAATGAAAAGTTAGTGTGTTAACAGAAGACTGCCAGTCAACCCAAGGCCCTAACTGCCAAATTTAGAATATCTCAGAATGGTCAAAATAAGAAAGACTGGGTGACCATTGAGGTGTGAAGGAGTACCATGCCAGAGCAAAACATCTACTAGTCAAAAGTTCCCAGCTGACTTTGAAGAGCTTTTAAAATTACAGTTGGCTGGAAACTAAGGCAAAATGAAAACATCAAGTTTACCTTTAAAGAAAGGCAAATGAAACAGACCCCAGTGACAAAAGGTAATTTAGAAGAAACTTTAAAATTAAGGTAAATGCTTCAATTCAAACTCAGATTCTAAAGAAGGATATGTAAGTGTATGGATAAATACGGGTTATTGGCATGTGGTTTAAGAAACTGTTTTTATTTAAATACAACATACAATGCATATGCATAAGGCTAGTCACTGCAGCAACATCTATAGTTGCAAAAGGCTAGAAATCAACCAAATGTCCAATAATAGCAAACTGGATGATTACACTATTACACGCACAGAACAGAGTACTATATTATATAGCTGTAAACATGAATGAAGATGATTTCTATTTATTGCCCTGGAATAATATTCGGGATGTATTATGTGAAAAAAGAGTCTGGACAGTACACCACCATATATACATATATGTAGTAGCCAGCCAGTAAGGTGAACCTGGGCCCCAATTATCCCTGTCCTCCTGGGATTCACACCCTTGTCTGTGTGACCAATAGTTTATGGCAGAAAGGATGGTGTGTGACTTCTGAGATTAGGATATAAAAGACCGTGCAGCTTCTGCCTTGGTCAAGTGTACTTGCTCTCTCATCACTCACCCTGGGGGAAACCAGATACCATATCATGAGAAGCCCATGAGTGAGGAATTGAGGCCTTCAGCCAGAACTGAAGCCTCCTGTTAACAGCCTTGTGAGTGAACTTAGAAGCGGATCTTTTGGCCGGGCGCAGTGGCTCACACCTGTAATCCCAGCACTTTGGGAGGCCAAGGTGGATGGACCACCTGATGTCAGAAGTTTGAGACCAGCCGGGCCAAGACGACAAAACCCTATCTCTACTAAAATTACAAATAATTAGCTGGGCGTGGCGGCACATGCCTGTAGTCCCAGCTACTCAGGAGGCTGAGGCAGGAGAACACTTGAACCTGGGAGATGGAGGATGCAGTGAGCCGAGAGCGCGCCACTGCACTCAAGCCTGAGCAACAGAGAGAGACTCTGTCTCCAAAAAAAAAAAAAGAAAGAAAGAAATGGATCTTTCAGCCAGAGCGAAGCTTCGGATAACTGCAGCCCCAGCTGACGTGTGTGAACTCCAACTTCATGAGAGATCCTGAGTCAGAATGACCTGGCTAAGCCGCTTCCAAAATCCTGAACCACAGAAACTGAGATAATAAATGTTTATTGTTTTATGCCAATGAGTTTGGAAGTAATGTGTTTTACAGCTACAGAAACCTAACACAATACATATGAAAGAGAATAATATGAATACATATTTTACATATATATGTAATTTGTATCTATTTTCATAAAGTGTTGCAATGAAATATGTAACAAAAATTAATAAAATTGGGTATTTACAGGGGGAGGAAGGAAATGGGGTGGAAGAGGACAGGGGTAGAATTAATTTTCTAAATGCATTCTGTTTTATCATTTTGATTTTGCAACCTTTTAAATATCCTATGTAACTTACAACAAAATTAAATCAAAATTTAGAAAAAGCAATCCCTAAAAAGTGAAAACAAAATGAAGTAAACAAATCTAAGAGTACATGAAGCAGCTAAAGCATACTTCAGAAAAATTAATTCAAAGTGAATTTTATGTATTACTTATTTATTGTTATTTATTTTTGAGACAGGGTCTCACTCTGTCACCCAGGCTGGAGTGCAGTGGCACAATTACGGCTCACTGCAGTCTCAACCTCCTGGGCTCAAGCAATCCTCCCACCTCAGCCTCCCAAGTAGGTGTGACTATGGGCATGCACCACCAAGCCTGGCTAATTTCTTTTATTATTTTTTGTAAAGACAGGGTCTCACTATGTTGCCCAGGCTGGTCTCAAAACCCTTAGACTCAAGCATTCCTCCCATCACAGCCTCCCAGTGTGCTAGGATTACAGGCATGCGCCCCTGTGCCCGGCCCAAAGAGAATAAATTGTACTTCCTCATCGGGAAATATCCTAAATTTAAAAAATAAACTACAAAGAAATCTTCTGTTTTATTCAGTAATCATATTGTCGATGATACTATTTTTAAAGCTAGTTATGCTACAGATAAAGCAAATGAATAGTTACATAATTGTCAACAGGAACCAAGATTTTCAGTATGAGAAAAAAATAAAAACCTAAGGCAAAAAGAAGGTAGTTCAATGTGAATGTACTTACTGCCAACAAACTGTACACTTAAAAATGGTTAAGATGGTAAATGTTGTTATGTGTATTTTATCACAATTAAACATTTTTTTAAAAAGCTAAAAGTAAAAACTTGGAAATCTTAAACTGCCAACAGTATGAACTCATAATGAATTTCTATTTCCAGAAAGCAACAAAACATATTTCCCAGATATGTCCATTGAAAAGGTCTACAAGCATTAATCCACCAAATAGCAATGAGTACAAGAGTGCAATCCCTGAATACTATTTCCCCATCGAAAGGAACCAGGGATCCTTAGAATGGTTGAGTACAGGACTGAGGCAGAAAATGCACAATATGAGCCTGGAACATCTAGTCACATTAGAAAGCAAAGAGAAATAAAAAGGAACCAACATTGAAAGGGCTCCTGCCACCAAAGCAGCAGCAATTTAAACATCAAAAGGAATTACCACACCAATAATTAAAACTAAGTATAAAAATCTTAAAATCAACCAGCTCATCTTGGAGAAACGGCTTCTGGGTCAGGGAAAATACATGATAATATGGAACATGAGAAAAACATCAGACTTTTGAAATTGAAAAAAAAGGCTGGGCACAGTGGCTCACGCCTATAATCCCAACACTTTGGGAGGCCAAGGCGGGTGCATCACCTGAGGTCAAGAGTTCAAGACCTGCCTGGCCAACATGGCGAAACTCCATCTCTACTGAATATACAAAAATTAGCCAGGCGTGGTGGCACGTGGCAGTGATCCCAGCTATTCAGGAGGCTGAGGCAGGAGAACTGCTTGAACCCGGGAGGTGGAGGTTGCAATGAGCCAAGATTGTGCCACTGCACTCCAGCCTGGGTGACAGAGGGAGACGTCTAAAAAAAAAGAAATTGAAAAAAAAATGAATTGAAATTGAGGTACAATCTACAAAACATTCTGTACTCCTCAAAACTGTCAAGGTCATAAAAAACAAAAGACTGAGAAACTAGCATAGATTAAATAAGACTAAAGACATACAACAATGAAATGCAATGCAGTACACTCTGGAATGAATCCTAGAACAGAAAATAAACATTAATAAAAAAATGATAAAATCCAAATAAAGCTTGGCGTTAAAAATCCATGAGTTCATGGTTACTTTTGTAGGTGGCTAGGGTATCAATTCATCATTCTGAAATAGCAAACAAAGGAAAAGATCTAGCATTCAACCCTTCTTTCCTATATGAACAGCAACCAAATAATTGATAAAGTCCTTAATTATAATATTCCAACTAATAAAGAAGAAATGACAGAATTCAAGTATCAAAATTTGCAACACTTAGACATACTTTGGAGATATTTCAGGTTTGGTTCCAGATTACTGCAATAAAGTGAATATTGCAATAAAGCGAGTTACGTGAATTTGTTTGTTTCCCAGTGAACCTTAAAGTTATCTTTACGGCCGGACACGGTGGCTCACACCTGTAATCCCAGCACTTTGGGAGGCCGAGGCAGGTGTATCACGAGGTCAAGAGATCGAGACCATCCTGGCCAACATGGTGAAACCCTGTCTCTACTAAAAATACAAAAATTAGCTGGGCCTGGTGGCGCATACTTGTAGTCCCAGCTACTCGGGAGGCTGAGGCAGCAGAATTGCTTGAACCTGGGAAGTGGGGGTGGCAGTGAGCCGAGATCATGCCACTGCACTCCAACCTGGCAACAGAGTGAGACTCCATCTCAAAAAAAAAAAAAAGTTATATTTTACAATATATTGCAGTCTATTAAGTGTGCAATAGCATTATATCTTTAAAAAAAGTACAGGTCTTAATAAAAAAAATTGTATTGCTACAAAAATGCTAATGATTATCTGAGCCTTTAGTGAGTTCACAGCATCTTTTTGCTAGTGGAGGGTCCCGTCTCCATATTGATGGCTGCTGACTAATCAGGCTGGTGGTGTTTGAAGGCTGGGATAGCTGTGGCAATTTCTTAAAAACAACAATGAAGTTTGCTCCATCAATGGACTTTACCTTTCATGAAAGATTTTTCTGTAGCATGTGATGCTGTTTGACAGCATTTTACCCACAGTAGCATTTCTTTCAAACTGGCCTCAATCCTCTCAAATTCCACTGCTACTTTATCAATTAAATTTATTTAATATCCTAAATCATTAGTCATTTCAACAATATTTACAGCTTCTTCACCAGGAGTATATTCTATCTCAAGAAACCACTTTCTTTGCTCATCCATAAAAAGCAACTCATCTGTTCAAGTTTTATCATGAGACCAGCAGCAATGCAGTCACATCATCAGGCTCCACTTCTTATTTTAGTTTAGTTTGCACACAAGTGCAATTCCTTGTGATGTCCCAAAACAATTACAATAGTAACATGAGCAATCACTGATCACAGATCACCATAACAGGCAGAAATGAAAAAAGTTTGAAATATTGCAAGAATTACCAAGATGTGACACAGAGACATGAAATGCGCACGTGCTGTTGGACTGCCACAAACCTTCAATTTGTAAAAAACACAGTATCTGCGAAACACAATAGAGCAAAGCACAATAAAATGAGGTATGCCTGTAATAGTGCTAGCCAATGATCATTAATGGCTGCCAAAAACCAATAATAGATAAAAGGCTTATGGAGAACTTCATGATGATGGATGAATTAAGCTGACATCTGTACCCATGGCTGCATCTTAACATCACAGACAAATCAGTCATTATATGTCACTGGAACCTATGCAATAGAAAGTACACAACATTATCTATGCAGTATTCTGGCAAAAAGGATGCAAGAACAAAAACAGATGCAAGAACAAGTAGATCACCCTTGTTCGGTACCCTTTCAAAAGAAAGCTAACATATAATTTTTTAAAGATGGTGACAATAAAACAGAACAAAACAAGCCTTTTGGTGAAACTGACCTTAGGCTTCTATTAAACTGCAATTGAAAGTTTAATATGTATAGTTTAAGCAACTTCAGTACTTAAAGAGAAAATATTTAAACAGAAAAGAAGCCAATGTATGAAACACATGTACACAGCAAATGACTTTAATATCACATCGTAGAAACACAAAATTACTTTACATTCTAATATGTTCATTATGTTAAAAATGCTTTACAGCCAAAACCAAGCATAACAATGTAACAATTTTTTCTAATGTATAGTCAATTCAGTGTATTTATATGAGTTACTTATAAAAGCCATAATATTTTGGCTAACAGAGCTTCCCTCAGGAAATATATAATAGAAACAAAATTCTAAATACTGCATTATTAAAAACAAAAGCTGCCTTTTTTTTTTTTTTTGAGACAGAGTCTAGCCTCGTCCCCCAGGCTAAAGTCAGTGATGCAATCTCGGCTCACTGCAACCTCCACCTCTCAGGTTCAAGCGATTCTCCTGCCTCAGCCTCCCGAGTAGGTGAGATTACAGGAACCTGCCACCATGCCTGGCTACTTTTTGTATTTTTAGTAGAGATGGGGTTTCACCGTGTTGGTCAGGCTGGTCTCCAACTCCTGACCTTAGGTGATCCATCTGTCTTGGCCTCCCAAAGTGCTAGGATTCCAGGCGTGAGCCACTATACCCTGCCTAAAAACAAAAGCCTTTATAGTAATTAAAAACAAGACAAGGGCCAGGTGTGGTGGCTCATGCCTGTGATCCCAGCACTGGGGGGCCGAGGTGGGTGGATCACCTGAGGTCAGGAGTTCACGACCAGCCTGACCAACATGGAGAAACCCCATCTCTACTAAAAATACAAACTTAGCCGGGCATGGTGGCATATGCCTGTAATTCCAGCTACTAGAGAGGATGAGGCAGAAGAATCACTTGAACCCAGGAGGCAGAGGTTGTGGTGAGCCAAGATCGTGCCATTGCACTCCAGCCTGGGCAACAAAAGTGAAACTCCGTCTCAAAAACAAAAACAAAAACTATACAGGTTTAGAGCGTATTAAAAGTTTGTGGCAATTTCATCTATTAAGAAAACCCATACTTCCATATATGTACTGAACTTGCCTAAATCTAGAACCACATGTACTCTTACATTTAAACAACATTAGGTACCAAAAGCCATATCTGACTATAAATTTGGGATTCATATTTAAAGGAAGCACAAAGACCTCTCTGTAAATACTCTCATTTTTAAAGCCTGACAATTTGATAAAGGAGCCATGAAGTACCCAAAAAGTTGCAAATAGGCACATCAGCTTTACTAACGCTATTAAAAAACTCCAATGCCCTGTAAAGCCATGATTCCTAAACTTTCTTAGAGATATCTATTAATAATTTCAAAACATACCCCAACTGTATTTTTTTTTTTTTTTTTTTGAGATGGAGTCTCACTCTTGTCGCCCAGGTTGGAGTGCGGTGGCGCGATCTCCGCTCACTGCAAGCTCTGCCTCCTGGGTTCATGCCATTCTCCTGCCTCAGCCTCCTGAGTAGCTGGGACTACAGGCACCCGCCACCACACCTGGCTAATTTTTTGTATTTTTAGTAGAGACGGGGTTTCACTGTGTTAGCCAGGATGGTCTCGATCTCCTGACCTCATGATCCGCCCGTCTCAGCCTCCCAAAGTGCTGGGATTACAGGCGTGAGCCACCGTGCCCGGCCCCAGCTGTACTTTCTGAAAGCACAATGTGTGATATATTTTTTCAAATTATTATTTGGGATAATTTTACAAAATCTATTGAGATAAATGTACAGTACAAAACAATGCAAACCACTGTTCTAAAGCATAAAGCATTACCAAAACAGATCCAGAAGATTAAAAAATAAAAAAGCTATGTCAAGCTCTAATAAATCATTCCTCCAGTATGAGTTCAGCCAGAAAGCTCAAACTTCAATAACTAACATCCCAAGTATGTGGGAAAAGCACAGAACACAAAACACTCACTTTTTTTTTTTTTTTTTTTTGAGACGGAGTCTCACGCTGTCGCCCATGCTGGAGGGCAGTGGCACAATCTTGGCTCACTGCACCCTCCACACCGCGGGTTCCCTGGTTCAAGCGATTCTCCTGCCTCAGACTCCTGAGTAGCTGGGATTACAGGCACACACCACCATGCCCAGCTAATTTTTGTATTTTTAGTAGAGACGGGGTTTCACCATGTTGGTCAGGCTGGTCTTGAACTCCTGACCTTGTGATCCACCTGCCTCGGCCTCCCAAAGTGCTGGGAAATACTCACTCTTACAAAGGACATGTGCAAACAGTTATGGATGTGTATTCTATCCCCAGCTCTTTCCATATGTCTTATTTCATAGCCAAAACTGCTCTAGGAGGTAGTACTATTACCACCAATTTACAGATGAGAAAACAGGTTCAAGTGAATTATTTTACCAGTGGTCACACAACAAGTGGTATAAGGTCAAATGCAAACCTGTTACTAACCATGTAATCTCAGCAACAAAAGATCAATTGTTATTTATTCTTTAAAGAAAAATATGACTACCACTAGTAAAAGAAAAAGCAAGCCACCAATTTTGATCCAAATCAGTGGGAAAAAATGGTAACTTCAGTTTTTGAGTGACAAGAACAAAATTACCTTTCTGTAATTTCAAGTAGTCCTTGAAAGTAATAAACTGGATTCACAATTAATCCTCAAAACAGCTTCTATTTGCAGGAATTAACTGCACAAACACCTTCTATTAATACAAAGTAAAACATTCACACACTAAACATATGACTTAGTCGAAGACACAGATAAAGTATTATTTTCTCTCTCAGCTATCAGTAGATGTGCCAAAAAACTTAATCTCATACAACCAGGCAGATATTTATGAGATCTACCATTATGAATAAGACTCAAATAGGCCGGTTTCCAAATTTTGTAGTGGCTACAGAGAATAAAATGGATCTAGAGCTCTAACACAGTTCCACAGGGTCCCTAGTAATGGATGCTACACATTATTAGCATGTGTTATAATCAAGATGTTGATAAAAAGATCTAAGTATTAAACTCAACCAAATGCTTTCTCTCTTCCTCTGCAAAATAAATACAGAAAAGGTGGTGTCTCTAAAGATTATCAACCCCTCCTCAAAAGATTCTGGTTACACAAATATTTACACATTACCCGAGTAACTGCAAATCCAGTATTTCTTGATAAAGCTCACACTTTTCAGTCTGATTTTTGTATCCTGATTTCTTTAGTCATCTTTAAACGTTTAAAAATGTTTTCGAGACAGAACTAAAATTTAAGCGCAAAACAAAGGAATTCAGTCTGCCTTTAGTATTCCAACTAAAGACTTCCTGTTAACAGCAGGATTCCTTTCTTTGGAACATACAGTAAGTGCGTGACTGGTATGCGGCCAAGAACATTAAAGGTCAAATTTTCTAATCTGAAAGTTCTACAGCTAAACGTAGAACTTTCTAGGCTCTAAAACTTTCTGAGATTATACAACTTGTTTTTGTGCTTCTACTAAATACAATAAGCTGAATTTAACCCTTGACACAAGGTGTTTCCTGAAAATCTAATAACTAATTGACAGGAATTACTATTGCCATTAAGTCATTACAAAACAAATTTTCCAACCTTTTTATGCTTATGACAATCAAAATTCAATGTTTCTGAAAATAGATCTATCGCACAAACCTATCCTATCCTCCTACAAACTTACTTTCTCCTTTCTATTCATTCAAATTCCTTGAACCTTATTCAGCATAAATCCTAAAAATATGTTTTAAGTCTTCTCAAGGTGAATTCAAGAAACTTTCAGCTACTGTCTCATATTCAGATTTTTCCCTTGTGGAAGAGGCAGTTATTAGGCTTTTCTGTTTGGCATGTAATTGGTTATTAATCTTTCCCTGCAACTTTAGAGATTCCTTCAAAAAAAGTACTACTTTTTTCTACAAGGTAAAACATTAAATCTATATTGCCCTGATAAAAATTAATCTTATCAAATGAAGTCTCTCAAGCTCTCAAGCAGTGTATCAACTGCTGTAAAGAATTTTTTTTTTTTTTTTTTTTTGGTTGGGAGAGATACCTTATTACCTGAGATTCTTCAACTACCTGCAACCTTCTTTAAACCTAACGCAATCTGATATAAAAGAGCCTGGGATGAGACTTCGAAGGCAGAAGTCTACTGTCTCATTAAAACAAGGTCTTGGCTATTCCATGAAATCAAATCTTATTTCAGTGCATGTGTGTTCCAATAAAACTACTGTATTGCAGGAGGCAAGTCTATCTGGCCTATGGGTGTAGCTTGCTGACTCCTGCTGAAGCCTCCCTCATAAAATTAAAAACACCCTCAAGATTAAAATTACGGTAGGGGCCCGAATTTTGATAAAATATTTTCCTTCTCTTTTTCCACCTCCATGTATGACTGCTTGCAAAGTCATTTCAACAAATGGCAGTCACTAATAATTGTCTTCCTGTGGCAGCCCCTGGGCAGGCTGCCCATAAGATTAACAAACCTGTTTCTTTTAAAGAACAATAATCCAGACTGGGTGCTGCGGCACATGCCTGTAATCCCAGCACTTTGGGAGGCCAAGGCAGGCAGATTGCTTGAGCTTGGGAGTTTGACCAGCCTGGGCAACACTGAAATTCAGTCTCTACTAAAAATACAAAAAATTAGCCAGGTGTGGTGGTGCATGCCTGTAGTCCCAGCTACTCAGGAGGCTGAGGTGGGAGGATTGCTTGAGCCCGAGGTCGAGGCTGCAGTGAGCTGTGATCATGCTACTGCACTACAGCCCGGGCAACAGAGCAAGATCCTGTCTCAAAAAAGAAAATAGAAGAGAAGAACAAGAAAACAATGATCCTAGATCACACAGACCCCCTTGATAGTTTCCAGAATTTGGACTGGCCAAACAGGCCAGGCCACTTTGATCACTGGTGATCTCACCTCCTGCAAACTCTTCTGCTAAGCTATAGGTTTAAACAGTAACCTGCCATTTTTTCCCAGCTTTCTTTCCATAGTAACTGGCAGTCACAAACACTACTGTAAAACCTAAGACTGGTCTTCGAGATATTTTTCAGACTTTGCTTACAAGTGGACCAACTGACACCAAATGGACCAGTGTTCCATGAACTCAACCAAGGAACTGACTTGGTCTTGTGACTCCCCAATTTCCCAGCAACTGATTCAGCACATGAAGACAGCATTGATAACCCTATGATCTCATACCAGTCCAATCACCAGCACCCATCCCCTAGCCCCCTGCCTGCCAAATCATCTTTAAATATCTTAGCTTCTCCAGTCTTGGCGGTGATGACTCTGAGAAACATTTCCCATCCTCCTTACTCAGCTGCCTTGCAATAATTAAACTCTTTCTTCTTTACAGTATCTGCTGTCTCAGTGTTCTGCTCTATTCGGATAGCAGACAAGAGCCCAGTCAGGTGGTAACATTGTTTTATAGCATTTTTTGGATACATAATTATTTGCACATGTTTATGGGGTACATGTGATATTGTGATACATGCAAAGAGTATGAAATAATCAAGTCAGGGTATTTAGGGTATCCATCACCGTGAGTATTTATCATTTCTATGTGTTGGGAACATTTCAAGTCCTCTCTTTTAGCTATTTCAAAATGTTAACTGTAGTTACCCTACTCTGCTATCAAACCTTAGAACTTATTCCATCTAACTTTATGTTTGGACCCATTAACCTACCTCTCTTTACCTCCCCTCCCATCCTTCCCAACCTCTGCTATCATTCTATCTCCATGAAATCAATGTGTTTCGCTCCCACATGTGAGTAAGAACATGAGACACTTCTCTTTCTGTGCCTGATTTCCCTTAATATAATGACCTCCAGTTCCATTCAAGCTGCTGCAAATGACATGATAAACATGGGAGTGCAGGTATTTCTTTGATATACTGATTTCTTTTCCTTTAGATAGATACCCAGCAGTGGAACTGCCGGATCATATGGTAGTTCTGTTTTCGGTTTTCTGAGAAATTTCCAAACTGTTTTTCATAGTGCCTGTCCTAATTATTGTAACATTCCCACCAACAGTCTGTAACAGTTGCCTTTTCTTCACACTCTCACCAGTAGTATATTTTTTTGTCTTTTTAACAATAGCCATTCTGACTGGGGTAAGACACCTCACTGTGGTTTTCACTTACATTTCCTTGACGATTAGTGATGTTGCACATTTTTTCACATACCTTTTGGCCATTTGTATGTCTTCTTTTGAGAAACGTCTATTCATGTCCTTTGCCCACTTTTTAATGGGGTTGTTTTTCTTACTGTTGGCTTCCTTGCATATTCTGGATATTAGTCCCTTGCTGGATGAATCTTTTGCAAACACTTTCTCCTATTCAATATGTTGTCTCTTCATTCTGTTGTTTCCTTTACTGTGCAGACGCCTTTTGGTTTAATATAGTCCCATATGTCTATTTGTTTTTGTTGCCTGTGCTTTTGAGGTCTTAGCCATAAAATCTTTGTTAGATCGATGTCCTGAAGTGTTTCCCCTACATTTTCTTCTAGTACTTTTATAATTTCAGGTCTTAAGTCTTTAATCCATCTCAAGTTGAATTTGCATATGGTGAGACAAGGGTCAGATTTCATTCTTCTGCATGTGGATATCCAATTTTCCCAGCATCGTTTATTGAAGAAAGTGTCCTTTTCCCAATGCACGTTCTTGGTGCTTTTGTAAAAAAATCAGTTGGCTGTAAATATGTGGATTTATTTCTGCATTACCTATTTTTGTTCCATTGGTCTATGTGTCTTTCTATACCAATACCATATTATTGTGGTTACTATAGCCTTATTTGTGGTTACTATAACCTTGTATGTGGTTACTATAGCCTTATTTCGAAGACAGGTAGTGTGATGCTTCTAGCTTTGTTCGGTTTGCTCAGGATTACTTTGGGTATTTGGGCTCCTTGTTGGTTCTGTGGAAATTTTAGGATTGTTTTATTTCTGTGAAAAATGACTGGTATTTTAATAGGGATTGCATTCAATCTGTAGATTACTTTGAGCAACATGGTCATTTTAATGATGTTAATTCTTCTGACCCATGAGCATGGGATGTCTTTCCATTTGTTTTTGTGCTCTTCAATTTCTTTCATCAGTGTTTTGAAATCTTGTTATTTATTTATTTATTTATTTATTTTGAGACGGAGTCTCACTCTGTTGCCCAGGCTGGAGTGCAGTGGCGCAATCTCAGCTCACTGCAAGCTCCGCCTCCCGGGTTCACACCATTCTCCTGCCTCAGCCTCCCAAGTAGCTGGGACTACAGGCGCCTGCCACCACGCCCGGCTAATTTTTTTATTTTTAGTAGAGACAGGGTTTCACCGTGTTAGCCAGGATGGCCTCAATCTCCTGACCTCGTGATCCACCCTCCTTGGCCTCCCAAAGTGCTGGGATTACAGGCGTGAGCCACCGTGCCCAGCCTGAAATCTTATTTTTTTAATGACATACTTGAATCTGAAAACGTATGCAATTAACTTGTACTTTATTTTGAAGTTGTGACTGGAAAGTTGCTTTAAAGTCTGTCTTTAAACTTAGAAAAATTATCTCAAATTGCTCCTAAGAGAGGATCAGTAGAGATTTAGTTCTTATAGTATTTCCTCAATTATATTTGGCAAATTAGATTTTCAAAACAAGAGTTTAACTTGTTATTAATTCCTCATATTTACATACTTAAACCTCAGGTAGAAAAGTATTACAAGCTATCAGTGACGTCTACAATATAGGTGGGAAAGGTGAACGCAAAGAATAACACATATTCTATATTAACAGTAAACATAGCTATTTCTGTTCTCCCTCAGCTACCAAAAACTGTCTTAAGCCTCCAGATTTAAAACCGCTGGGTTCATTCACTCATTCAGCCATTTATTTTTGTGAGCATCTCTTAGGCAGTCATGTGCTGTGCTAATCCTATCTGACTCTTCCCTCTCCTTTGTCCTTCAAACCCCGTTAGTGGCCAAGTCCCATTAATGTGGGCGTGTCCCACTTCTCCTCTTTCCAAATTTCTGAAGTATAGGTCAAGTCCTCATTAACCACTGAATATGCACCAAATGGAAGATTACGCAGTCATTAAAACCACTCATAAAAAGTATACAACATGAAGAAAATCATTCAAGTAAAAAGAACAGAAAACTGTACAAAATATTATATAATCACATCCATGTAAAAAAAGAATTTGGCATGGAAAAAGATGAAGAAAATAACATACTAAGAGGATCTCTGGTGGACAGGTACTTTGCCTTTACGTTTCTGCATTTTGCAAATTTCCTGTAATAAGCAGTTATTATTCTAGAAGAAAATATAAATGAGCTTTATTTTTAAAACTTACTATTTTAGTTAGATAACAAATTATTCCTGAGGTTCAGAACTGCATATCAGAAATAACCAAAATAAACACTCAAGCATGCAGCTAATTCTTTAACCTAATTCCTTAAAAACTAAAAGGTGCTTTTACCCATGCCTCTTACTGCATTTCCACATGCCTAGAAAACCTCTCCTCTACAATGTTCCAGTGAGACTCTGATGTCAGCTTTCATAAAATAAGTTGTTCTTACCAACTATTCCACATTATTTTTAAAACTTCAGTGATCTGCTTTCTCCTAAACTCTAATTCTCATTTTTCCTTTAAAAGCATCCTAGATTTGCGTTTTCCTATTACCACTGGTACCCACTGGTACCTGCAATCCTCTTTTCTCTAGGAATCTACCCTTAATTCTAGTACAAAACTAATCTTTAAACACTGCTTTCATAAAATCACTTGTCTTTCCGAAATGTGCAAGAGCTTCCACTTGACTCAAATCTAAGCCTATTGTTGAACCACAAATCTCCACTCAACCTTACATCTTATTTCTTCAAACCAGGCAGAACTACACTGTTCCTTATATTTAAACCATGCCTACTCTGTTTTCATTGTGCTATTCCCAATTTTCCACGTAAAATGTCCTTCTTCTGGCCCTTGTTAATCTAAAGGCCAAGCTCAAGGCCCACTCCAAGTCCTACCTCTTCCATGAATCATCTCTTTAAGTATTCCAGCCTATACTCATCTCTCTTCTGATTCCCTGTTGCACTTACAGTTAGTATCACAAAGTATAACAATTTTTCTGTGACCATTGTGTATAGATTGGTTTTGTTTCCACAAATAAGGTACTAGACAAATAAGGTACCAGAAAGCAGAGACCAACAGACCCAAGGAAAACGCTAGACACATAAACAGTTAATATTAAATGAATAAATTTTTTCTACAGTCAAAATACTAATGCTCCAAACCATTTTTAAGTCGCCTTATTTGAAGTTATGTGAGCCAAAAAGTAAATCTGTCTCACATTTTATTTTTATCCTGCCAAAATTTAAAGTCTATAACTTGGTAGAAAAAAAAAATCAGACAAGAAAGTTTAATTTTCATCTCACTTCATTTTATCTGGTAAAACCAGGACTTCAGGAATAAAGTAGAATTGTACATTTCTCCCATCTCTTCTGCTCCTTTCAGAAGTATCTCCAACTCAGGAGATATGGAAAGTACCTTCTTTTCTTAAATTATATGGTAATTTTTTTTGTCTGTTACAAAAATAATAAAAAGACATGCTCAACACATAATTAACCATATGACAATAAGTCTTTTTGATCAACTCAGGAAATAATTCTTGAACTACTTTTTGTTGAGAAAAAGGGCAGGATCTAGCGAAGTAATGTGGTTGCTCAGGGTATCACTGAGCATGCCCAGTTGTTCCTACTCTTCTTTCCTTTCCCAAGTTTGTCAAGTGTCTCTGAGGACTCCGTCAAGTGTCTCTGAAGACTTACCCTTCCCATTATTCTACCAAACCTAAACCTAAATTCAGCCCAACTGGAGACATTAAATTCTCTAGGTTTTCAAGGGTCACAGCATTAAGAGTCTAGACAGCCTTGAGATAAATACCAAGTTTACATAACATGAGTTAATAAAATAAATGGTCACAAGGACTCTTCCATTCAGTGTAGATTAACAACTATTTGCACACAGGCTTAAGCAGGATGAGCAAAGTGGAAAAACATTTCGCTAGTAGTATTTGTTCGTGTCCCAAGAAAATCTAGAAAAGAACATCTTTTTAATTGACATGTCAATAAATATAAACTACTATATTATTTATAATGTTAAGCTACCTGAAGCATGCCTCCCCTGATTCTGTGGCATTCTTTGGAAGAGATCATGGTTGTATTCATAATATCTGTAGTCTTCATGTGCACGATCTCCAAGTGGCCGCTTTCTCTGACCATCAAAAAAATTGTCTGAATAATAATATCGGGAACCAGAGTCTCCATTTTCAACAGCAAAACTAACTTCCGTTACAAATGACTGAGAAGAACCATACTCTCTAGGGACATCTGCTAGACTTCTGGCAAGATAAGAAGGTGCAGATAATCTGTTGCTTTCTCTTCTCATTATTTCATGAGGTGTTCTTTGAATTGGAGTTCTAAGGAAACTCTGGTTTCTTGAAACTACATCTCCAGAAGTTGAAAAGGCATTAGGGCTTGAATCTGGAAGACAGATATCAGTTCGTCTTGGAATTGTTGGACCATGCCGGATGAATGAAGGCATAAGATCTACAATAAAACAAAGGATAAAATTACCCTTTCATCATTAAGTAACAAAAGTTTTCGAAATTTGTTCATTTATGTCTACCACCCCAAAATCAAAATGTCAGTCAACTTAAGAAAACACAATTTTAAATTTTGGTTTAGGATGGTACTTGGGCATTTTAAATTGAGGAAGATTAATATTTTCCCAATCAAATGAATTTATATAACTTGCATTAATGGACTATGCGTAAAAGCTCAGCTAGAATAAAATGTATTCTGCATACTACCATACATAATATGATAAAATATCAATAATCTTATCTATGAACTACACATTAATGAAATGCTCATGAATTAATGTATAAAAATAGGAAATAATATAACAAATTGATAGTTTCTAGTTAAGTAGTTTATTTTGTTGTTCTCACTTCATTTTAGAAACTGCCAAAAATCCTTCTTGAAGCAAACACAATTTCAAAAATAGAACTTAATGCTACTCCCAAATATGTAAAAGTGGATTCCTTTAAAAATTAAAAAATTAGTAGCTCTTTCTTCTCTTGGAATTACCTAGCACTAGCACAGTAATCAAAAGCTAGAAAGCCAAAAATTTATGTATGAAAATTGAAAATAAAAAGCTCTCATTTCAAAGAAGCACACAAATGTAGAAGTGGCTCAAAAAACCAAGCCTGAAACTATGTAATTATAATTCAAAATAGTAGATAATAGAACAACAGCTTTTAGGATACAGTACTTTTAAACACGAAACTTGAAAACAGCTTAAGACATTCCCAGTTAGAAAGCAAATACCTTTAAAACAAGACAAAAACCTGAATATGCAGACCCTCTTATTATTCATCAAGTAAACAATATTGGAGACACTCATATTAATAAGCTTCAGAAACTAACACTGGACAGAAACAAATATCTGAATAAATAAGGCTCAACACTTGATGTAACGACAACAAAACAAAGTAGATCAAAAGTTATTTGCTTAACTGTGACAAACATTAACAAAACTGCACGTTCTACACATGTACCCCAGAACTTAAAGTATAATAAAAAGTGTGACAAACATAATTCACGATTTCAAGTAATGTCTGATAAACTTTATTTGCAGCAAACAGCAAGCTATCACTTAAAAACAGCCAGAAACCTAACTGCATGTGTGACTGAAAATCAAGTTGTTAAAAAAAAAAAAAAACAACTTAAAAATCAAGTTTCGAGTTACTGATGTACTCAACTGACATATATTTTGTTGAAAGTATTGCAAGTACCACCATAAATCTGGAAGGCTGACAATGTGGTTATGATGGAAAAACATGCTCTCCCATCTGTGTGATCTTGGGCAAATACTAGAAACCTAACTTTCCCAATTACAATATGAGGTAATACTTAAGTCACAAGGTTACTACCAGCTTCCAAGAAGGAAACTTAAGCAAAGGGCCCAGGGCGCAGTAAGAGCACCAAAATACCAGCTCCATGCCTCACAAATGTCCTGAACACACAAGAATTAAAAATTCAAGAGATTCAACTCAAAAATCAAATACTTACATTAAGAAGAAAAGCAGCGGGGGACCGGAGGTGGGGATTGGGAGTGGGATCTACCCTATTAAAAAAAAAAACTTTTCGAGGGGGGGGTTCTCTAATACGATAGAAATTATTTTGAGTTGCCTTCTTGGAATCTCACGAATATAGCCAAATACAAAGGCTTTTGGCTCTCTGCTCTGCTGTGTAAGAGTGATGAGGCTTTGGGTGGCGGCTACAAGAACGACGGTATGCTTTTCACCTTCTCAAGTCTGCATCCGGCAGCAGGACTAAGGAATTCTGCCCCAGAGTTCGCACAACTTGCAGCACAGTCGAGAGACACCCGCAATGTTTGCAAACATGACGCACATCTCGACGCATCTAAAAGAGTAAAAAGTGTCCCTGTCTAATTACTTTTACTCCTATAGCATTAGGTGATAAGCAATTTAAATGTTTCCTACTCTCTCTTCCAGTAATCAAAACCAACAACTCTGCCTGGTGGGGCGAGGAAGTCTGTTATTTTTAGGGGGTGCTCTTGGGGGGGTTAGGCGCGGGGGGGACTAACCCAAGTTTCTTACTCTTATGGGCTTTCAATCAACGAATACCACTTCAGACACAAGAAAATCTCAAAACCAGTATTTCACGCGACCAAGGACGAAGGAGAAGCCCTGGAGACCCGCCGGCGCCCCCGCCAGGGTCCCCGGAGCACCTGGCCGCCTGGGCCAGGTGTGGGCACGCCCCGCCTGACACTCACTCCGAAGCAGAGGCGACGTCTCCTTCTTCACGTACTTCCCCTGCACCTCGGCCGGCTTGGACACTTCGTTTTTGGTTTTCTTTCGGGACAGCATCCTTCTCGACGAGGCCCGAGGCCGCGCTGAACTGCCTCCCTAGGGCTCCGCGCCGGGCGCCGGCCGTCTCCGCCGCCACCTCCGCCGGCGCCGCCGCCTCCTTCCCTCCCGAGCCGCCGCCTCCGCCGCCGCCTGTCCGGAGCCCGGGGTCGCCCGCAGGGACTGCCGCATGTTCAGGGCGCTAAGCGCGCCGGCCGCCGCTCAGTCGCTGGTCAGTTCCTTCCCGGAAGTCGGCCCGCTCTGCGACGCTGCTCGGGGACGCCGTGAGGAAAGCCCAGCGACGCCGGGCCAGGGCCAGGGCCATGGTCCGCCGCGGGCCGCCGAATAACCGCTACCACTACCGCCGCCGCCGCCTACATCCCGTAAACTTTCCCCGCGGCCGCTGGGAATTCTGGGAAGCTCGACGCAGCGCGGGCCGCCGCTGCCCCTCCCCCACCGCGGCTCCAGGCGCGGCTCCGGCGGCGGGACTCGGGTGCCGGCGCTCTAGGCTACCGGGCCGTCCCCGCCGAGCTGCGGCTGTCCTCACTCATCCTCAGCGAGAAGCAGGTCCTGCCGACTGAGAAGATGAAGGACGAAACCTGCCCCGCTGAGTGCGGGAGTTCGTCGCATGCGCATGTCGTGGAACCTACTCTCCACGAGTTTTTATTGTTGTTGCTTTTGTACCCCCTCGGGATCCCTAGCGGAGGCAGTGACTCTCTTTCCCCCCAAGACGTTGTTCCCTGTTTGAAGGTGTTCTTCCTAATGTTTCCTAGGCTGCTGAATTCAGCTCTCTAAAAAATGCGGAATGCTAACCATGACTCCCAGGCAAGTGCTACACCAAAGCATCTATTCTGCTGGAAACGTTCATGCTGATTAACTAGAAATAAGTTGATCCTCTACTGAGTATCAGGGAGTGCGTTTTTCTATAACAGGAAAAAACGGAAGAATGCAAGATGGAATTTCCAGTACCTCTTTTTAAGATACAATTGGTGTTAGCATATTACAATTATTTTATTGCATCATCACTATCATTAGTATGATTAATAGCCACATATTTCCTCCTGACGTTATGTGTTATGATCTTAGAATTTTGAAGACTTTGACCACTGCGAGTCGGGACCGGGAATTTTCTATCTAAAATAATAGACTCTACTTCCTTCTATATAACTTAGCAAGACTGCCAAATGTACAGGATAACATTTGGAAAATAAGATTGGATTCATCCCCTAGTGACCAAATTAATGCTTTAATAATGAGGAATGCTTTCCCTGAGATCTAAAACATCTCACAAGAGATCTAAGACATATATCACAATTAACAAAAGACATGGAATTTTTTACCACGTAAGATTAAGAAGATGGTCAAATGTTTTACCATGAGCAAACAAAGGAGACATTTGATCTAGTGTCTGTCTCCATATGTTCCCTTGGTGCAGATCTCCCACAATTCATTCATTAACCAGGAAATACTCATTACCCACTGCGCTAGTCGTTTGTGATAGAGCAATAAGCAAAACAGACAAAAATCCCTACTGTCATGGGAAAGAGAAAAAAATGACAAAAAATAAGCAAAACATACTATGTTAGATAGTGATAAGTGATGAAGTGAAAATAAGAGAGGACTCACAATTTTTGAGAGGGTAATAGAGGGACCAGAGAAGGCTCATGAGGAGGTGACATTGGAGTTAAGTGACAGAGTGAGGAAATTGGCCATGCAGCTAACTGGAGGAACAATATTCCAGGCAGAAAGAACAGCAAGTGCAAAGTCGCTGCAAGTGGCCATGTTCCTGGCAGATTGGAGGAACAGTAAGAGGGTTTATGTACTGGAAAAGACGGGGAGACGAATGGGGAATGCAGTTAGAGAGTAACAATAGCCACGGCACCTAGGGCTTTGTAGGCCATTGTAAGGAATGTTACTTTGAGCAGAGGAGTGACATGATCTGAGTTAATGTTTTCATAGGACTGCTTTGGATGCTGTGTGGAGAGTAGACAATGGAGCTAAGGGCAAAAGGGAGATCAGTCAGAAGTTATTGCTGGCTTGGACCCAGGCAATAATAGGTGGAGAGGTAAGTGGACATATTTTAGACATATTTTAAAGAAAGCCAACCAAATTTGCTGACATTGAATATGGAGTGTGGGAGTATCAATCACTGCCATGGGTATGAAAATCTTAATAAACAGAATTGGAACTCACTAGAAGCAGAGTGTACTCTGAGAGAAACATTAGAAAAACAGTTACTTGTTCCTGTGGTTCAGAAATAAGGACGAGTCCTAAAGCGTTGATAGTGTGCAGGGAGAAGAAAGAGTGATGAAACTTAAGTGAGAGCACAATGGGGTTTTGTTACACATCAGGGTATGAAGGCGGGAGCTGAAGGAGGAAGGGGGAGCCAAAGAAGTGCCAGGTTTCTGCCTAAGGCTTACCTCAGAGAAGGACAAAAGGATATTAGCATCTTGTTAATAAAGGCAACTCTTCACACCTGGAGTTTTCCCAGAGCCTGAAGTACGGGGACACCTTTCACATGTGCGGAGGAAAGAATCCTAGAATTTTATAGTTGAAAAAGAATTCTGAGATTGCCTAGGCTCACCTCATCAACATCAAAAAGGAACGAGAAAAATTAAGTGTTTTGTCTCAGATTACATTCCTGGTTAATGACAGAATAGCATCAGAACTGGAGTTTTCAATTCCCTTTTTTTCCCCCCTGAGGCAGAGTCTTGCTCTATCCCTCAGGCAGGAGTGCAGTAGCACTATCTCAGCTCACTGCAACTGCTGCCTCTCAGGTTCAAGCGATCCTCCTACCTTGGCCTCCTGACTAGCTAGGATTACAAGCGCCCGCCACCACACCTGGCTATTTTTTGTATTTTTAGTAGAGACTGGATTTCATCATGTTGGCCAGGCTGGTCCCGAACTCCTGGCCTCAAGTGATCTGCCCGCCTCGGCCTCCCAAAGTGCTGCAATTGTAGGCGTGAGCCACCAGGCCAGCCTCAATTTCCGTTTGGGGCTCTTTACTGCTACGGAACATTCAGAATCCCACTAATGTGAGTCCAGACTGTTTCTAACAGTTGTTTTGAAAGCCGTCTGTGTTCCTTAGAGAGTACTCCCTTTTACAATGCTATTTAATTTCTGTGGATTATAGCAGAGAGAAAGCCTTAATTAGGTGCTCTATTTAAGACAACTAATTTGCCTTTTTATCAAGGAGGGTACATTCCAGAATCAACAATGTGCAGGCAGCATTAGCTATAGCAATGCACAACAAATATGTGAACTTTGAATTTGAATCCTTAAATCTAAAAGCTTTGAATTCATGTTTGTTTTCTAGAAATTCCTTGACTTCTGAGAATTTTTATTAAGGAATTCAGATTTGCTGTAGTTCTACGGAGCTGTAATTCTCCAGACATTGCCTTCAATAATGCTAATACTGCATTCCATAATAGAGATTTTTTTTTTCCCCTTACAGTTACATTCTTAGTGGAGAAAACTGGCAATTAGGGAGCTTCTCATGTTTTAACAACTTTTTTAAAAAATTAATTTAGTATTAAAATTTATTTTAGTGGAGCCTATAAGGTATGACCCTGGGCTAACCTCATAGCATTCTGAGTTCTTAGTTGTCTCATCTGAAAATGAAGAAAGTGAACCATTTGTTTTTTTTTTTTTTTTTTTTTTGAGACAAAGTCTTGCTCTGTCGCCCAGGCTGGAGTGCAGTGGCATGATCTCGGCTCACTGCAAGCTCCGCTTCCCGGGTTCAGGCCATTCTCCTGCCTCAGCCTCCCTAGTAGCTGGGACTACAGGCGCCTGCCACCACACTCGGCTGATTTTTTGTAGTTTTAGTGGAGACGGGGTTTCACCGTGTTAGCCAGGATGGTCTCGATCTCCTGACCTCGTGATCCACCCACCTTGGCCTCCCAAAGTGCTGGGATTACCGGCGTGAGCCACTGTGCCCGGCCAAACCCTTTGATTTCTAAAGTGTCTTTCAGTCCTGGAGTTTTCTGCCATGTAGGCAGAAGGGAATATGCAAAAATAAAAACTTACCTTCATAGGATAAGAGAAATGTTGGTGATTTTCTTTCTTTAAAAAGTTTGTTCTTTATTCAAGTATTAAAGAAAATATTAAAATATCAGCATTATATAAAATCATGATTAGCATAAAAATAAAATTTCGTGCCAGATTGTTACTTTCAAAGACAGCTAAGGTCTTTATGCTATGTTGACTTCCTCGTTGGAAGCATGTAAAATTTTAAAGGGTGAACTATTCAGTGAAAGATTATCCAAGAAAGACAACCAAAATGGAAATAAGCCCTACATATGGCGCCTCAGAAAAAAAAAAAAAAAAAGGAAAAAAGGAGAGGAACTTCTAGTCTACTCTCCAGCTCACTCTTCTTCTTCACATAACAAGATAAACTTAATCTGTCTCAGGAAGATGTAATAATTATGCCAATTATAGCTCTTCAAGTCTCCAAAATTTTGCTATTAAAATATGGGAGGGGGCTGGGCGAGATGGCCTGCGTCTATAATCCCAGCACTTTGGGAGGCCAAGGCGGGTGGATCACCTGAGGTCAGGAGTTTGAGACCAGCCTGGCCAACATGGTGAAACCCCATCTCTACTAAAAATACAAAAATTACCGGGGTGTGGTGATGTGTGCCTGTAATCCCAGCTACTCTGGAGGCTGAGGCAGGAGAATCGCTTGAACTAGGGAGGCAGAGGTTGCAGTGGGCTGAGATCGCACCACTGCACTCCAGCCTGAGCAACAGAGTGAGACTCTGTCTCAAAAAAATAAAAAATAAAATATGGGAGGGTAAATTCCTAAGTGTCCTTTAGGCAGAAACTTTGGTTGTTTCCTATGAAGGATAAGGGTGTGTAATGTCTACACAGATCTGAAGATATTATATAATTGCTTAATATTAGCAATTTAGTAGGGTTCCTAAACTCCTGTTATGTAAGATGAATCATCCCCCCAGTAACATAAAGAATTAGTATCACAATTCTTTTTTTTTTTTTTTTTTTGAGACGGAGTCTCGCTCTTTCGCCCAGGCTGGAGTGCAGTGGCGCGATCTCGGTTTACTGCAAGCTCCGCCTTCCGGGTTCACGCCATTCTCCTACCTCAGCCTCCCGAGTAGCTGGGACTACAGGCGCCCGCCACTGTGCCCAGCAAATTTTTTTTTTTTTTGTATTTTTAGTAGAGACGGTGTTTCACCATGTTAGCCAAGATGGTCTCGATCTCCTGACCTCGTGATCCACCCGCTTTGGCCTCCCAAAGTGCTGGGATTACAGGCGTGAGCCACTGCGCCCAGCTTAGTATCACAATTCTAATCAAAAGGAGTCAAGCTGGGAGATTCGGTGTCTCTGAGCTTAGCTTTTGTTCTTATGTACTGTTATTGCCTAGACTTAGAGGTCCTCTGAAACCTTGACAGAAAGCCAAAATGAGTCTTCTATTTTTGGCAGCACTGGCCTCGGACTTCAGTTGTCTGTCCTTCTGGTTCTTTCTGTATCTTGACTTCTCTGACCCTAGAAACTTTTATTTTGCTTCCAGAATTGGGCCGTATCTTCAGCCACTTTCAACTTTATTTTTAAACTATTCTTTGCAATTATCAGTTTTTACTTGGCTTCGTGATGTTGTGAAATATATATTTGGTCTTCATCTGTTTCCTGACATAGAGTTCTTAAACCCTTGTAATCTCCAGAAGAGTGTCTTTTGTATGCTAATGAGATGACTGGTGGCTAGATAGCTTCAGAATAAGGGCTGGTCACCCAAGAAAGACCAAAGTAGGATTAGAGGGTGGGGACTTTCAGCCCCACCACCAACCTTCTGGGACGGGAGAGGGGCTGAAGGTTAAGTTGACCACCAATAGCCAATGATGTATTAAGTCATTTCTACATAATGGAGCTTCCATAAAACCACAAATGACTGGCTTTTGAGAGTTTCTGGATGGCTAAACACACAGGTTCCTGGAAGCTGCCATTCCTAGGGAGGGCATGGAAGCTCCATGCCCCTTTTCCCATACCTCTCCCTATGTGTCCCTTCCATCTCGATGTTCACAGGTATCCTTTATTCTATTCTTTTTAGTAAACTGGTAAACACAGTTTTTCCCTGAGTTCTGTGAGCTGCTCTAATAAATTAATAAAACCCAAGAAGGGAGTTGTGGGAACACCAATTTATAGCTGATGGGTCAGAAACACAGGTCACAATGTGGGGCTTGCGATTGGCATCTGAAGTGGGGCAATCTTGTGGGACTAAGCCCTCAATCTATGGGATCCTATCAGGTAGATTGTGTTAAAAATTGAATTTAATACATCTATTTGAAATAGTTTCAAGGAAGAAGTTTAAACAGAACTTCTTCAGTAGAGCCAGAATGTAAAAAATTAAGAAAAAAATGGAAATGTCCCATTCCATGTGGAGACTGGCCACATAAATATATCTCCTCTCCCTCCTGGAACCCCAGTTAATTGACAGTGAAAGAATATAGAGAGAATAAACTTATAATTATTATGAGAACACAAAATAGGCCATCAGATCAGTAGATGTGACATTAATAAATGTCTAGAAGATGAAGAGTGATAGGGTTGCAAGAGGTGGGAGGAGATCAAGAGACAATGAAGCAGGATGAAGTATTTTAGTTCACAGCCTAAGATGCTCATGGAAGCACATATTGCCAAAGGCCGAGGCGAGGCTTGGGATCACGTGCACCTGGTTTAATTAAGGAAGATAGGACACTAACGTGGAGCCGAGAAGAGCCATTAATTGAAAGTTAGACGTACACCCCCATAGAATTTCAGGTGTTAGGCACCTATTCCCTTGAAAAGGGATATTCAGGTTCTGTTTTTGGATAAATTAAATGGCCCTATGATAAAAATTTTAGCATTCTGACATTTGTATATCCTACAAACCAAAGAACTAAATCTCATAGAGCAGCGTCCGGGTAGTAGGCCCTGATCCCTCAAATAGCACACTCACAAGTGTTTGCTTTTTTGTTTTGTTTTGTTTTTGTTTTTGAGACAGGGTCTCACTCTGTCACCCATGCTGGAGTGCAGTGGCACAATCACGGCTCACTGCAATCTCGACTTCAACCTCCCGGGCTCAATCCATCGTCCTATCTCAGCCTCCCAAGTAGCTGGGACTACAGGTGCATGCCACCACACCTGGCTAATCTTTCCATTTTTGTAGAGACCAGATATCACCATGTTGCCCAGGCTGGTGCCAAACTGCTGGGCTCAAGCGATCCTCCCACCTCAACTTCCCAAAGTGCTGGGATTATTAGAGGCATGAGCCATCATGCCTGTGTTTGCTTTTTTAATGTATCATTCTAAAATATAAGTATGCAATCAAGGATCACCAGAAATTTCAGGAAAACTTGCAACATGAGTGATAGCAACATAAACAGAAAAATAGACTACAAATAAAACAGGTAATTCAGAGTATAAATGAGTACTTTAAGCAACAATGCTTATTACTATCAACAGGATGATTTGCAAGAAGATATTGCACTCATAAAACAATAGGAAGCTATGAAAAAGAAACAGATCAGAACAATAAAGAGCTGTTGGAAATTAAAGATAGGGGTTGCCAAAGTAGAATTTTCAGAACAAAGTTAGGAAGATAAAGTTGAGCAAATCTCCCAGAAAACAGAACAAAAAGACTGAGATGGGAAATCTCAAAGAACAGAAAAGAGAAATAGGCTTTATACAAAAGGCCCAATATCCTGAAAACTTAAGTTCCAGAAAGAGTTAACAGAGAAAATTGAGAAGTATATGGCAGACTCACTTCACAGCAATAACTTAAACATACCCTGAGAATGACCCTATGATCTCAGAAGAATGTGTGTTCGAAATTCCAAGCTAAGGAATTTGGGAGTAGCCAACCCAGAGATTCATTCCTTATCTATGAGGAACATCTGAATCCCCAGCCCATCCCATGGAAGACAGGCCTTCCAGGAGGATTGAGGTCCTTTGTTTTGGGTTAAATGAAGCTTGTCAGGTGGAGGTTGTTAGGAGGAGGGTGCTAAGGGAAAATGCTACATAAACTGCGCACTTTTTACAGAGGGCAGTGGTTCTCCTGTCCAGCCCACTGCCACTGGACTACCCTGTATATGAGTCCCCTCAATAAGTCCTATGTCTTGTTTGCTGGCTCCAGTTTCTTCTTCGGCCTCTCAAACACGGTGCCATTCCTACTGAAATCAGTAGGGGTCTGGTGACAAGATGCCATCATCAAAAATGAACACAAGATATTTTTTCAGAGAGGGAGGAATTTCCCAATTGATAGGGTATCCCAAGTGCCCTTCGAAATAAATGAAAAAAGATCCATGTCTCAATGTGTTGTGAAATTTCAGAACATTAAGGGTAAAAGGAAGACCCTGAAAGGTTCCAGTGAAAAGATCTTAGCATTCTGACATTTGTATATCCTGCAAACAGAAGACAAAAGTATCAATTATGAAGGAATGAGAATCACACTAATGTCAGATTTTTCATCAGCAACAAGGATTTCTATAAGACTATGGAGCAATGCCCTCAAATAAATGAGGGAAAATTAGTTGACAATTTTATACCCATCAAAAAAGGTGAATCAAAATCCAAATGTCAATCAAAAATGAAAGAATAAAGACATTTTTTGGAAATAAAGGGACTCAGAAAGTATACTTTTCATGTATCCTATTCTAGTAAGTTACTTTAGAAGATAAGTTTTTAAAAAATGAGAGAATAAACTCACACAAAGGACAAAACAAAAACAGAAAAATAGGGACTCAAGAAATAGTGAATCTAACTCAGGAAAGTAATTTTAGTCTCAGTATCATGGTTGTATAGCAAGCCTGGAAGCCAATCAATCCAGAGTGAAATTGGCCTTTAGAGGACTCTAAAAGGAAGCTACCTAGGAAAAGATGAGATTTAAGAAATCTGTGTTAGAACAAATTACGAAGGTGATAAAGGCAGAAGATTCAGTGAAAAAAGAAAAGCAATGGGACATGAAAATTCAGGGAAATACAGCATTTTGGGACCTTCTGAGAAGACCTACTTTGAGAACAAAGAGATTAGATTTGATTTTGACAAACCAAGAGATTAGTCAAAATTTGAAACTCAGGATTGGAGAAGTAACTGTAAGTGAACAGGTGGTAATCATTGAATACATTTAACTACAGAAAAGCCTAAACAATGGTGAGAAATAGGGTTTTTAAAGAAACCAGGCCAGGCACAGTGGCTCATGCCAGTAATCCCAGCACTTTGGGAAACTGAGGCGGGAGGATCCCTTGAGCCCAGGAGTTTGAGGCCAGCCCGGGCAACACAGGGAGACCTTCCGTCTTTACAAAAAAAATGCAAAAATTAGCCAAGTGTGGTGGAACATGCCTGTAGTCCCAGCTACTCAGGAGGCTAAGGTAGGAGTATCAATTGAGCTCAGGAGGTTAAGGCTGTCATGAGCTGTGATCGTGTCACTACACTCCAGGATGGGTGACAGAGTGAGCCCGTTTCAAAAATAAAAAATAAGGAAACCAAACTTTGTTATGCATTTTCTCATGTTACCGCATCTTAAAAAATTTCAGTTTAAAGAGCTCAGTATCTTTAACAACAACCAAAATTATACATTGAGTCAAGACAGGTCTAAACAGGACATTGAATGTCAAAATCCTGTGCCTTTGGCTGGCAATGCTGTTTATTTCGTGCTGATCAGGATTGAGGAACTAGAAATAACAATGTAGACAAAGAGCAGATTCAGTGGAGTGAGGAAATGGGAGGGGATGAACAGGAGGTTGTGGTCAGAGGGGAATTTCAGAGTTTTAAATAGTTATCAGGTGTGACCAAATTAGCTCGTAGTTGGAGTAGAGGTGGAAGTAATGAAATTGAGAAAGGAATGTAAAGGTCGCATGTTAGAAAACATGGAATATGGTAAAACAAACAACAAACTAAGCCATTGAAACAGGATGAAGGGACTGTCCTGCAAGTAGTAGAGAAGGAAGAGGAACGGCGACATAAATAAAAGGCATAAAAATAGATTTCTTTCTTATGATTCATGTATTACTCAGAGGCTTCTGAATTCCTAGAACTTCTATTGAGATTTCCAAATCAGTTAGTAATAATATTCAAATATTGTATTTCACTGATGTGCTTTACTGTTAATTTCACAGTGCTATTAGAGGCCTAATGTCTTCAGATAAATTGATGTCAGAGCTTCCACAATAGTCTGTTGTCAATTTAGAGTATGGGTAGCTTTGCATGTTAGGGCCAAATGATCTCAGATGTAATTAGTTAATAGAACTGTGGGTGATCAGAAGTTAAGGATCTTGAGATGGAGAGAATGAGCTGGAAGTATCCAGGTGGGCCCAATGCCCAACGTAATCACAAGAGTCCTTATAAAAGAGAGTCAGGAAAGTGGTGACAGGAGACGTGAGGATAGAAGCAGGAGGTTGATGAGGTGAGCCAAGCAGGCAGCCAGTCTCCAGAGGCTGAAGAAGTCAGGGAAGCGGATTCTGCCCTCAGAGCTCCCAGAGGCAGCCACCCTGCCAACAACACCTGGGCTTTAGCCTCCTGAGACTGATTTTGGACTTCTCATCTCCAGAATTGTAAGATAATGAATTGGTGTTGTTTTATGCCAGTAAGTTTATGGTAGTTTTTACGGTAGCAACAGGAAACTAATACGAAAAGTTTGCAAATGGTTTCAGGGTTTTGATTGCCAAATTTTATCAGCAGTGTGTGAATGCCTGTCTTTAAATTTTTAACTGACACATACATATTATGGAGTACAGAGTGATATTTTGATGCGTATGTACAATATGTAATGATCCAATCAGGGTAATTAGCATTATCTGTAACTTCAAATATTTATAATTGCTTTGTGGTGGGAACATTCAAAGTCCTCTCCTAGCTATATGAAAATATACAATAGACTACTAACTATAGTCACTCCACAGTGTCATAGAACACTGCAATTTATTTTTCCTAACTGTAGTTTTGCATCCATTAACCAGCCTCTCCCTATCTTCCCCTCTCCCCTACCCTTCCCACCCTCTAGTAATCACTATAGTTTTTTAGTGTCCACATATGAGTGAGAACATGCATTACTTATTTTTCCTTGCCTAGCTTATTTCACTTAATATAATGTCCTCTAATTCCATCCATGTTGTTGTAAATGATATGATTTAATTCTTTATGGCCAAATAGTATTCCATTGTGTATATATACCACATTTTCCTTAGCCATTCATCTGTTGGTGGATTTCATGTGCGTCTGTGTGAGGAGACCACCGAACAGGCCTTGTGTGAGCAACAAGGCTGTTTATTTCACCTGTGTGCAGGTAGGCTGAGTCCGAAAAGAGAGTCAGCAAAGGGTAGTGGATTATCATTAGTTCTTATAGGTTTGGGGATAGGCGGTGAAGTTAAGAGCAATGTTTTGCGGGCAGGAGTGGATCTCACAAAGTACATTCTCAAGGGTGGGGAGAATTACAAAGAACCTTCTTATGGGTGGGGGAGATTACAAAGTACCTTCTTAAGGGTGGGGGAGATTACAAAGTACATTGATCAGTTAGGGTGGGGAAGAAACAAATCACAATGGTGGAATGTCATCAGTTAAGGCTATTTTTACTTCTTTTGTGGATCTTCAGTTACTTCAGGACATCTGCATGTATACGTGCAAGTCACAGGGGATGCGATGGCTTGGCTTGGGCTCAGAGGCCTGACAGTGGACACTTAGGTTGATGCCATATTTTGGCTATTGTGACTAGCACTGCAATAAACTTGGGGGCGCAGACGTCTCTTTGATATACTGACTTCCTTTTCTTTGGATAAATACCCAGTAGTGAGATTGCTGGATCATATAATAGTTGTATATTTAGTTTTTGAGGCACTTCCATGCTGTTTACCATAATGGCTATATTAATTTACATTCCCACCCACAGGGTGTAAGAATTCCCTTTCCTCCACATCCTCACCAGCATTTATTATGTTTGTTTTTGATAATAACCATTCTAACTGGAGTGATATGATATCTCATTGTGGGTTTTATTTGCATTTCCCTGATGATTGAATGTCTCTTTAATCTTTACCTTTTTTTAATGGGTATGTCCTCATTTAAATAGCTTGTAAACTTTTCTAGGGTATGAAACATGTCCAATACTTCTCTTTTTCATCTCATACAGGTATCCTGAACCTGATAGATCCACAAAAGTGTTAACGGTGTTGACAAATTTCAGTAGTGTTGATAAACTTCAAAAGAAACTTGACCTGAGTTTTTAAAAAGGAATTGCATGAATTTTACTTTGAGCCTTCTGAGTTAGGTTGAGTATGATACTGCATGTGTTAGAGTTAAAAAAAAGTTCCTTCAATAGGATAGGATGTCAATAAACAAAAAAAGTTTTTGAAAGTAAGCTTAGCAGTGCCATTTTGTTACCAAAATGAGAGAAGCAATTTGAAAAAAAAAAAAGAAATAGAAATATACAATACAGATTAATATGTAGAAATCGAACATAGATCATGCTTAACCTATCACAATTGTACATTTTTCCTCATTCTTTTTCCACCTATGTTGTTCTAACACATTATCAGATCTAAGAGTTTTGGGGAGTATCTTTAGTTTTTAAAAATATGATTATGTCATCTGCAAAGAATAAGTTGATTTCCTCTTTTCCAACTTGGATGCCTTTTATTTCTCTTGCCTGGTTGCTCTGGCTAGGATTTCCTGTACCATGTTTAATAGGAGTGGTGAAAGTGGGCATCCTTTTCTTGTTCCAGTTTTTAGAGGAAAGGCTTTCAGCTTTTCTCAGTGCAGTATGCCTTTGGCTATGGGTAGTCATATATGACCATTATTATGTTGAAATATGTTCTTTTTATGCCTAGTTCGTTGAGAATTCTTATTAAGGTATGTGGAATTTTATTAAATGCTCTTTCTACATCTATTAAGATAGTTTTTGTCCTTTATTCTGTTGATGTGACGTACCATGTTTGATTTGTGTATGTTGAACCATACTTGCATTCCTGGGATAAATCCCACTTGATCATGGTGTATTATGTGCTGGGGTTTGGTTTGCTAGTATTTTGAGGATCATTGAATCTATGTTCCTCAAGGATACTAGCCTACAGTTTTCTTTGTTGTTGTTGTATCCTTGTCTGGTTTTTTTGTACTGGGGCAATGTTGGCTTTGTAAAATGAGTTGGGGAGAATTCCCTCTTCAATCTTTTGGAATAGTTTGAAAAGAATTAGTATTGGTTTTTTGTAAGTTTGGTAGAATTTCGTAGTGAAGACATCTAGTCCTGGACTTTTCTCTGAGAGACTTTTTATTACTGTTCCAATCTTGGTTGGTTGTATGTGTCCAGGAATTCATTTCTTGTAGGTTTTCCAGTTTGTTGGTATATAGCTGTTCATCACAGTGTCTGATCTTTTTCATATGTGTGGTATCAGTTTTTTTCTACAAGTATATTTAAGACAGCTGGCCAGGCGCGGTGGCTCACACCTGTAATCCCAGCACTTTGGGAGACCAAGGCGTGTGGATCACGAGGTCAGGAGATCGAGGCCATCCTGACTAACATGGTGAAAAAAATACACACACACACAAAAATTAGCCAGGCGTGGCAGTGGGCGCCTGTAGTCCCAGCTACTCGGGAGGCTGAGGCAGGAGAATGGCGCGAACCCAGGAGGTGGAGCTTGCAGTGAGCCGAGATCATGCCACTGCACTCCAGCCTGGGTGACAGAGCGAGACTCCGTCTCAAAAAAACAAAACAAAACAAAAAACAGCTTTATTCTAGTTTTAGGATAAAACTTGAAGCGGATATTTCTGTTAGAAAGGATTAACTGTGCAATGTTCACAGATGAGTGAATAGCCGTTACAATGAGTAAACAATATCTTAATGCAAACAATATGGATTAATCTTATAATCATCATGTTACATAAAAAAGCAATGCAAAATAATACATTTCACAGTTGCTAACATGATGAAAAATAAAGGAATTATAAAAGCTAGGCTAATTATTTTCATTTTTAAAAATCTATTTTATTTTTATTTTTGTGGGCACATAGATATATTTATGGGGTACATATTTTGATATAGGCATGCAATGTGAAATAAGTATATCATGGAGAATGGGGTATCTATCCACTCAAGCATTTATCTTTTGAGTTACAAGCAATCCAACTACACCTTTAAGTTTTCTTAAAACGTACAATTAAGTTATTATTGGCTATAGTCACCCCATTGTGCTATCAAATAGTAGGTCTTATTCTTTCTTTCAATGTTTTTGTACCTATTAACCATCCCTACCTTACCCCTCAGACCCCCACCACCCTCCCAGCCTCTGGTAACCATCCTTCTCCTCTCTATCTCCATGAGTTCAATTGTTTTGATTGTTGGATCCCAGAAATAAACGAGTACATGCAATGTTTGTCTTTCTGTGCCTGGCTTATTTCACTAAACATAATGATCTCCAGTTCCATCCATGTTGTGGCAAATGACAGGGTATCATTCTTTTTAAGACATATATACTGCGTATATGTACTACATTTTCTTTATCTGTTTATCTATTGATGGATGCTGAGGCTGCTTCTAAATCTTGGCTATTGTAAACAGTGCTGCAACAAACATGGGGGTGCAGATATCTATTCGATATACTCATCTCCTTTCTTTTGGGTATATATCAAAGAGTGAGATTGCTGGATCATATAGCAGGTATATTCGTTTTTTTTTTGAGACGGAGTCTTACTGTGTCGCCCAGGCTGGAGTGCAGTGGCGCAATCTTGGCCCACTGCAAGCTCCGCCTCCCGGGTTCACGCCATTTTCCTACCTCAGCCTCCCGACTAGCTGGGACTACAAGTGCCCACCACCACGCCTGGCTAATTTTTTGTATTTTTAGTAGAGATGGGGTTTCACCGTGTTAGCTAGGATGGTCTCAATCTCCTGACCTCGTGATCCACCCGCCTCGGCCTCCCAAAGTGCTGGGATTATAGGCCTGAACCACCACGCCTGGCCTATTATTAGTTTTTTGAGGAACCTCCAAACTGTTCTCCATAGTGACATTATTAATTTACATTCCTACCAACAGTGTATGAGGGTTACCTTTTCTTTACATCCCTGTTAGCATTTGTTATTGCCTCTCTTTTGGATATAAGCCATTTTAACTGGGGTGAGATGATATCACGTCGTAGTTTTGATTTGCATTTCTCTGATCAGTGATGTTGAGCACCTTTTATATGCCTGTTTCCCATTTGTATATCTTTTTTTTTTTTTTTTTTGAGATGCAGTTTTGCTCTTGTCGCCCAGGCTGGAGTGCAATTATGTGATCTCGGCTCACTGCAACCTCTGCCTTCCGGGTTCAAGTGATCCTCCTGCCTCAGCCTCCCAAGTAGCTGGGATTACAGGCGCCCATCACAACGCCCAGCTAATTTTTTTTTTTTTTTTTTTTTTGTAGAGATAGGGTTTCACCATGTTGGCCCCACTGGTCTTGAACTCCTGACCTCAGGTGATCCACCTGCCTTGGCCAAGTGCTGGAATTACAGTGAGCCACTGCCCCAGCCACTACTTGTATATCTTTAGAGAAATGTCTATCCAAATCTTTTGCCCATCTTTTGATTGGATTATTAGATTTTTTTCCCTATAGAGTTGTTTGAGCTTCTTACGTATTCTGGTTATTAATAGCTTGTCAGCTAGGTAGTTTGCAAATATTTTCTCCCATTCTGTGGGTTGTCTCTTCACTTTGATAGTATCCTTTGCTGTGCAGAAGCTTTTGAACTTGATATGATCCCATTTGTCTATTTTTGCTTTGGTTGCCTGTACCTGTGGAGTATTGTTCAATAAATTTTTGCCCAGATCAATGTCCTAGAGATTTTCCCCAATGTTTTCTTGTAGGAGTTTCATAGTTTGAGGTCTTAGATTTAAGTCTTTGATCCATTTTGATTTGACTTTTTGTATATGGTGAGATATAGGGATCTAGTTTCATTATTCTGCATATGGATAATCAGTTTTTCTAGCACCATTTATTGAAGAGGCTGCCTTTTCCCTAATGTATGTTCTTAGCATGTTTGTCAAAAACAAGTTCACTGTACTTGTATGGATCTGTTTCTGGTTTCTCTATGGTGTTACATTGGTCTATGTGTGTGTCTCTCTCTCTCTCTTTTTTTTTTCTCGCTCTGTTGCCCAGGATGGAGTGCAGTGGCACAATCTCAGCTCACTGCAACCTCTGCCTCCTGGGTTCAAGCGATTCTTCTGCTCAGCCTCCCTAGTTGCTGGGACTACAGGTGCCTGCCACCAAACCTGGCTAATTTTTTGTATTTTTAGTAGAGATGGGGTTTCACTGTGTTAGCCAGGGTGGTCTCAATCTCCTGACCTCATGATCCCACCTGCCTCCACCTCCCAAAGTGCGGGGATTACAGGCGTGAGCCACCATGTCCGGCTGGTTTATGTATCTGTTTTTATGCCAGTACCATGCCGTTTTAGTTACTATATCTCTGTAGTACAATTTGAAGTTGGGTAATGTTGTTCCTCCAGTTCCCTGCCCCCCTCCATCTTAGGATAGGGATTGCATTAAATCTGTAGCTTGCTTTGGGTAGTATGGACATTTCAACAATATTGATTATTCTAATCCACGAACATGAAATATTTTTACATTTTTTTGGTGCCCTCTTCAATTTCTTTCATCAGTGTTTTATAGTTTTCATTAGAGATCTTTCACTTCTTTTGCTTAATTCCTAGGTATTTAATTTTATGTGTAGCTATTGTAAATAAGGTTTCTTTCTTAATTTCTTTTTCACATTGTTTGCTGTTGTCGTATAGAAATGCTACTGACTTTTGTATCCTGTAACTTTACTGAATTTATCAGTTCTAATAGTTTTCTTGATTTTGATATTCAATTTGGATATTCAATTTGGATATTCAATTTGGATATTGGATCTATTTAGTCTGTAGTGCAAATTAAGACTGTTTCTTTTGACTTTTCTGTCTGGATGATCTGTCCAAGGCTGAAAGTGGGGTGTTGATCTCCAACTATTACTATATTGGGGCCTATCTTTCTCTAGCTCTAATATTTGCTTTATATATCTGGGTGCTCCAGTGTTGGGTGTGTATATATTTAAAATTACTATATCCTCTTGTTGAATTGACCCCTCTATCATTATACAGTGACCTTCTTTGTCTGTTCTTGTAGTTTTAGTCCTTGTCAGGAAAAAAAACAAAACAAAACTCGCTCTGTTGCCCAGGCTGGAGTGCAGTGGCATGATCTCGGCTCACTGCAAGCTCCACCTCCCGAGTTCACGCCATTCTCCTGCCTCAGCCTCCCGAGTGGCTGGGACTACAGGCGCCCGCCACTGTGCCCGGCTAGTTTTTTGTATTTTTAGTAGAGATGGGCTTTTACTGTGTTAGCCAGGATGGTCTCGAGCTCCTGACCTTGTGATCCACCCTCCTTGGCCTCCCAGCCTCCCAAAGTGCTGGGATTACAGGCATGAGCCACTGCGCCCAGCCCTAGTTTTGGTCTTAAAATCTACTTTGTCTGATAAGTATAGCAACTCCTGCTCTTTTTTAGGTTCCATTAACATGGAATATCTTTCTCCATCCCTTTATTTTCAGTCTATGTGTATTTTTATAGGTGAAGTGTTTCCTGTAGGCAACAGATTTGTTTTTTCATCCATTCAGCCATTCTACATATTTTGATTGGAGAGTTTAATCCATTTGCGTTCAATGCTACTATTGATAAGTAAACACTCACTCATGCCATTTTCTTATTTGTTTTCTGGTTATTTTGTGGTTTATTTTCCTTCTTTCTTTCCTTTTTTCCTTTATTAAAGGGGATTTTCTCTGGTGATATGGTTTAGTTTCTTGCTTCATTTTTATTTTCCTTTTTAAATTTATTTAAAAATATATATATATAGCTTATTGCTTTCTGCTCCTGTCAGACATGCCTTACCTGAAGTTTCTTGCTTTTTATATTTTGTGTATCCATTATATATTTTTTGTTTTGAGATTACCATGAGGCTTGCAGATAGTATCTTATAACCCATTATTTTAACTTGATAACAACACTGTTTGCATAAACAAACATGCAAAAATAAAACTAATAGAAATTTTGCACCTTAACTCCATTCCCTGCTTCTTAGCTTTTTGTTTCTGTGTATCTTATTGTACTGACTATGTCTTGAAGAGTTGTTCTACTTATTATTTTCAGCTGGTTCCTTGTTTAGTCTTTCTACTTAGGATAAAAGTAGTTTACATACCAGTTACAGTATTATAATCTGTGTTTTTTTTTCTGTCTACTTACTATTATGAGTGAGTTTTATGCCTTCAGGTGATTACTTATTGCTCATTAATATCCTTTACTTTCTGGTAGAAGTACTCCCTTTAGCATTTCTTGTAGGGCAGTTCTGGTGTTGATGAAATCCCTCGGCTTTTGTTTATCTGTGAAAGTCTTTTTTTCTTCATGTTTGAAAGATGTTTTCATTGGATATAGTATTCCAGGGTAAAAGTTTTTCTCTTTCAGCACTTTAGATGTCATGCCACACTCTCCTGGCCTGTAATGTTTCCACTGAAGAGTCTGCTGCCAGATGTACTGGAGATCCATTGTATGTTACTTGTTTCTTTTCTCTCACTGCTTTTAGGATCCTTTCTTTATCCTTGACCTTTGGGAGTTTGACTATTACGTACCTTGAGGTAGTCGTCTTTAGATTAAGTCTGCTTGGTGTTCTATAACCTTCTTGTACTTGGATATTGATATCTTCAGGTTTGGGAAGTTCTCCGTTATTATCACTTTGAATCAATTTTCTATCCATATATTTTTCTTTACATCTTTCAGGACAATAGCTTTAGATTTGCCCTTTTAAAGACTGTTTTCTAGATCCTGTAGGCATGCTTCATTGTTTTTTATTCTTAATTTTGTCATTAATTTTTGTCATAAATTTTGTCATAAATTTTGTCACAAATATTTTCAAATAGCCTGTATTCAAGCTTATTAATTTTTTCTTCTGCTTAATCAATTCTGCAATTAAAGGACTCCAGGCTGGGAGCGGTGGCTCACGCCTGTAATCCCAGCACTTTGGGAGTCCAAGGCAGGTGGATCACCTGAGGTCAGGAGTTTGAGACCAGCCTGGCCAACATGGTGAAACCACATCTCTACTAAAAATACAAAAGTTAGCTGGGTGTGGTAGTGCACGCCTGTAGTCCCAGCTACTTGGGAGGCTGAGAAGGGAGAATCACTTGAACCTCGAAGCAGAGGTTGCAGTGAGCCGAGATCACACCACAGCATTTCAGCCTGGGCAACACAGCAAGACTCCGTCTTAAAAAACAAAACAAAACAAAACTCTAATGTATTCTTCAGTATGACAATTGCATTTTTCAGCTCCAGAATTTCTGCTTTTCTTTTTAATTATTTCAATCTCTTTATGAAATTTATCTGAGAATTCTATATTCCTTCTGTGTTGTCTTGAATTTGTTTCCTCAACACAGCTATTTTGAATTCTGTTTGAAAGGTCACATATCCCCTTCTCCAGGATTGGTTCCTGGTGCCTTATTTAGCTCATTTGGTAAGGTGATGTTTTCCTGGATGGTATTGCTATCTAGTAGATGTTCTTTGGTGGCCAGGCATTGAAGAGTTCAGTGTTTATTGTAGTCTTCATGGTCTAGGCTTATTTGTACCTGCCCTTCTTGGGAAGGCTTTCCAGGTATTTGAAAGGACTTGAGTGTTGTGATCTAAGCTGTATCTGCTTTAAAGGGCACCCCAAGCCCAGTAACACTGTGATTCTTGAAGACTTATGAAATATCACCTTTATGGTCTCGGACAAGATTCAGGAGAATTCTCTGGATTACCAGGCAGAGGCTCTTTTTCTCTTCCTTTACTTTTTCCCAACCGGAGTCTCTGTCTGTTCTGAGCCACCTTAATCTGAAGGTAGAATGACACAAGCACCCCTGTGGCCACCACCACTTTGACTGTGCCAGGTCAGACCTGAAGCAAGGATAGCACTGGGTCTTGCCCAAGGCCTGCTGTAACACACTCCCTGCCTACTGCCTATGTTTGCTCAAGGTCCTGGGGCTCTATAATCAGCCAGTAGTAAAGCCAGCCAGGCCTGTGTCCTTCCCTTCAGGGAAGCAAGGTTGCCTTGGCCCTAAGTGGGTATAGTGATACCATCTGGGAGTTGGGGACTAGAGTCAAAAAACTTAGTCTACCTGGTGTTCTATTGCACTGCGACTTAGCTGGATAACAGTCTTTCCCACTCTTTCCTCCCCTTTCAAACATAGAGGAGCCTCTCCCCATGGCCCCCACCACAGACCCATGAGGAATGCTGCCGGACTATAGCTAGGACTCCAATTAGCTTGTGGTGAATGCTGCCTGTCCTGGGACTCACCCGTCAAGGCAGTGGGCTCCCTTCTGGCCCAGGGCAGGTGCAGAAATGCTGTCTAAGAGTCAAGTTCTGGAATTGGGGGACCCCAAGAGCCTACTTGGTGCTCTGCCCCTCTGTGGCCGTGCTGGTATTTAAGGTATAAAACCAAGTCCCTTTTACTTTTCCCTCTGCTTTTCTCAAGCAGAAGTTTTGTCCCATAGCCACCACAGCTGGGAATGTGCTGAGTTTCATCTCAAGCCAGAGAGTCTTAGGGGTTCACCCAAGGCCTCATCATAGTACCTGGGTATCGCTGCTGGTTATTCAGGCCCAAGGGCTCTTCAGTTAGCAGGCGATAAATGCTGTCAGGGCTGGGTCCTTTTATTTAAGGCAGTGTGTGTTCCCTTCTTGGCCAGGTTGTGTCTAGAAATGTCCTCTAGGAGCTAGAGCCTGGAACGGGGGCCTCACAACTCTGACCAGTGCCTTATCCTGCTGTGGTTGAGCTGGTATCCAAGATGCAAGGCAAAGTTCTCCCCCACTTTTCCCTCTCCTGTCCTTAAGTGGCAGGAAGGGGCCTCTTTTGGAGCCACAAGCTGTGTAGCCTGGGGTTTTGAGAGGGCGTGATGCCAGCATACCATTAGCCACCCTAGCTGGTCTCGTAATATGTCACATGTCCCCCCAGTCCACTGTCTCTGGGCCTAGTTCATCACTAGGACTCACCTAAGAGTTGCAGTCCTTATGTGCTCAACTGCCATTCAAGTTCACCTGGAGACAGAGCACTATAGCCCTCAGTGGCAAGGTTTACAGGAACTCAAGTTCCTACCACTGGGATCAGTGATTCCCTCCTCTGGCTAGGGCTGGTTTAAATGCTCCCTCTGTGGGCAGGTGTCAGCTGAGTTTGGTCCTTTCTGCTCTAACAGGACAGCACTGAGTTGAGTGCCTCACAATTGCTGTGTTCTCCTTCCCCCCATGCCCAGAGATGTTCTCCGTACCACACCAGCTGCCAAGGGTGGAGGAGGGGTGGCAGAGGGGTGGCATCAGCTATTTGGGACTGTTTTTTCTATCTCTTCAGAGTCTCTTGCAGTGATATGAAGTTAGAACTAGGTATTATGAGGGCTCACCTGATTTTTGGTTCTTAGGAAGGTGTTTTTTTTTCTGTGTAGATAGTTGTTAAATTGGTGTCTTTGTCAGGGAATGATTGGAGCCTTCTATTCTGCCATCTTGCTCCGCCTCTCCATGATCTAGGCTAATAGTTATTTTTAGCAGGAAAAGAGTTTTGAATCAAGAGAAGTGAGATGGAACCTGGTAATACTTCTACCTTCCTAAAAAACTGGGGTGATTAATTATTTTAATCTATTTGTTAAATCTTGTGCTTAAGTTTTATGTACTTTTTCTATGTGACTATTACATTTTACAAAGAAAAAGTTAAAAAGAAGAACATCTATCTGCTGCATTATTTAGCCCATCAAAGTTAACTGTTAAGTCTCATTGTGATGCCCTAAAGGGGAGAAACTATATCCCTCATTATCCTTTTTCTCTCTCTCCCTTTCTCTCTCTCTCCTTGAACATATTTGATTTACAGAAAATGGATTAAACTCTATACACTGTCCTGTAACCTAATTCTCACTTACAGGTCTCTTGAGGCACATTCCATATCAGTACATACAAATCTACTTTTTGAAAATTATTAATATATTAAATTTTTATGTAGAGGTAGCATGATTTAACCACTTCTGCATATGGACATTTTAGTTGTACCAGGTATTTTTATATCAAATAATGTTGCCATTAATATAGTTTTAAATACAATTTGATGCTTTGCCAGTATATTTACAGAGTTTGCACACAAAGTGTACTAATTTTATATTGTGACAAATGCCAATTCAGTGTCTGAAAAGGTGGCACCAATACACTTTTCTGACAAGAAAAGGATAAAGAAAACCTATGAGATTTTTCAGAAAATTTCCTTGAAACTTTTCATATTTATAAATACCAAACACTTTAGATTTTCAAACTGATTAATAAATCCATTTTAAAATCAAAATATTTTTATAAAACTTTTTTTGCATTAACTATGAAAGCAATACAAAAACGTTTCTTAAAATATAGGAAGAAAATTATCTCACAATATCCAATTACAGAGAACCATTGTAAAGGTTAGGAGAATACCACATGCAGAATCTCTCAGAATAAATAAATAAATAGCGCCTAAGGAGAGACAGCTAGGTAAGAATATTATGGTGAAATGGGATGGTGTGCTATTTTTAATGATTAAATTTAAACTGTTGTCTTTGAACCCAACAGAAGATAAAAAATTTGAGTAGAAATTAAAGGATTTAAGGTACAGATGAAGGTGTCATTTTTCTCACATAAGATATACTAGTTCCTGAAAGGTGCTCAGATTTAAAATATTAAAATATTAAGGTAATTAGGTAATATTTAACTATAGTTCTCAATACTCGACAAGATCTATGATTCCTTTAGGTGAAAGATGAGAATAATGATATTCCAATGCTTTTCCTAGGTCTCCGCTGTCCATAACCTATTTTCTTATTAGGAATTGACAAGGTTCAAACCATTTTTGTTATACTTTATACTTTTTTTTTTTTTCACCCAGGCTGGAGTGCAGTGGCGCAATCTCGGCTCACTGCAACTTCCACCTCCCGGGTTCAAGTGATTCTACTACCTCAGCCTCCTGAGTAGCAGGGATTACAGCCACGTGCCACCACACCCAGCTAATTTTTGTATTTTTAGTAGAGATGGAGTTTCACCATGTTGGCCAGGATGGTCTCAATCTCTTGACCGCATGATCTGCCCGCCTCGGCCTCCCAAAGTGCTGGGGTTACAGGCATGGGCCACTGTGCCCAGCCCCAGTTTGTCTTTATTGGTGTAATTTGTTTAACTTTTCAAGAACTCTATCACCCAGGCTAGAGTACAGAGCACCATCATAGCTCACTCTAGCCTCAAACTCCTAGGCTCAAGCAATCCTCCCACCTCAGCCTCCCAAAGTGCTGGAAATGTAGGAGTGAACCACTGTGTCTGGCTTGATGTCAACTTTTTTTTTTTTTTAATTAATTGACTTGTTTCATGTTGTAACATATGACCTATCCTGGAGAATGTTCCACATGCTGATATATTCTATATCTGTTAGATGAAATGTTTTGTAATTGTCTGTTATAATTTGGGCCAATGTGCAGTTTAAATGTAATGTTTCTTTGTTAATCTTCTGTCTAGATCTAATACTGAGAGTAGGGCATTGAAGTCCCCAACTACTGTGTCAGTCTCTCTCTCCCTTTAGACTTAATATATTTACAAATCTGGGTGCTCCAGTGCTGGGTGCATATATGGTTAGAATTATATCTTCTGGTTGACTTGATCCCTTTATCATATAATGGTCTTCTTTATTTTTTTTACGGTTTTTAATTTAGTCTGTTTTACTTAAGTATAGCTGCTCCTGCCCACTTTGGGTTTCTGTTTGCATGGAATACCTTTTTCCATCCCTTCCCTTTCAGTCTATATTTGTCTTTATATGTGAGATGTATCTCTTGTAGGCAGCATATAATTGGGTCACTTAAAGTTCATTTATCCCATCTTTATCTGTTGTTGTTGTTGTTGTTGTTTTTGAGACAGTGTTTTGCTCTGTCACCCAGGCTAGAGTATAGTGCCATGATCTCAGCTCACTGCAGCCTTGACCTCCTGGACTCAAGGAATCCTTCTACCTCAGCCTCCCAAGTAGCTGGGATTATAGGTGCATGCCACTATACCCAGATAACTTATTTAATTTTTATTTTTTGTAGAGACAAAGTCTCACTATGTTGCCTAGGCTGGTCTTGAACTCCTGAGCTGAAGGGATCCTCCCGCGCTGGCCTCCCAAAGTACTGGGATAACAGGTGTGAGGTGCTGCAGCTGGCTTCCATCTATATTTTTCAAGTAGAAAGTTTAACTTGTTTACCTTCAAGGTCATTATTTATGTATGAAGATTATTCCTATCATTTTCTTTGTTGATTTTTTGCATATCTTTTGTTCCTTCCTTTCTCTTGTTTATCATCGTGGTTTGGTGGCTGTCTGTAGTGGCAACATTTGAGTCCTCACTCTTCCTTACTTATGTGTTTGTTCTACCAGTGGGTTTTCTACCTTTGTGTCTTCATGATAGTAGATATTGTCCTTTTGCTTCCAGGTATAGGACTACCTTAAGTACTTCCTCTAGGACTACTCTAGGGGTGATGAATTCACTTAGCTTTTGCTTGTCTGAGAAATACTTTATTTTTCCAACTATGAAGGATAACTCTTCGGGGTATATTATCTTTGGCTGGCAATTTTATTTCTTTCAGCACATTGAATATCTCATCGCATTCTCTCATGGCTTGTAAGGTTTCTGCTGAGAAATCTATTAGTCTGTTTGGGGTTCTCTTATAAGTCACTAGATGCTTTTCCCCCCCTTTTTAAGAACTATGTTTTTATTTGGCTTTCTTTAGACAGTTTGACTAAAATGTGCCACGAGGACAACCGTTTTGAATTCTATTTGCGGATCTCTGAGCTTCTTATATCTGGATGTGTAAATCTTTTGCTAACCTTGGAAGTTTTCAGCTGTTATTTCATTACAGAGGCTTTCTATCTCCACCTCCTGAAATACCAAAAATTTGAATATTTGGTTGCTTTATGGTGTCCCATATATCATGTAGGCTTTGTTTGTTCTTTTTCATTCATTTTACTTTGTCTGCCTGGATTATCTTAAGAGATCTGTCTGCAAGTTTTGAAATTCTTTCATCTGCTTGATCTAGTCTATTGTTAGAGCTTTCAAATATTTATTTCATTCAGTGAATTCTTCTGTTCCATAATTTGTTTGGTTCTTCTTAATGATATCTCTCTTCAGTAGATTTCTCATTCATATCCTGAATTGTTTTTCCGATTCCTTTGTGTTGTTTAATCTGTGTTCTCTTGTATCTCACTGAACTTATTTAATTATTTTAAAATTTTTATCTGGTATTCATAAATTTCTTTCTCACTAGAATCTGTTACTAGATGTATTAGTTGATTTTCATGCTGCTGATAAAGACATACCTGGTAGTGTGTAATTTATACAGGAAAAAGGGTTTAATTGTCTTAGAATTCCACGTGGCTGGGGAAGCCTCACAATCATGGCAAAAGGCAAGGAAGAACAAGTCACTTCTTACATGCATGGCAACAGGTAAAGAGAAAGAGCTTGTGCAGGGAAACTTTGCCTTATAAAGCTATCAGAGCTCCTGAGACTTACTCACTATCACAAGAACAGCACAGGAAAGACTTGTTCCCATGATTCAATTACCTCCCACTGGGTCTCTCCCATAACATGTGGGAATTCAGGATGAGATTTGGATGGGGACTTGGCCAAACCATATCATTCCACCCCGGCCCCTCCCAAATCTCATGTCCTCACATTTCAAAACCAATCATGCCTTCCCAACAGCCCCCCAAAGTAACTCATTTCAGCATTAACTCAGAAGTCCACAGTTGAAAGTCTCATCCAAGGCAAGGCAAGTCTCTTCTGCCTATGAGCCTCTAAAATCAAAAGCAAATTAGTTACTTCCTAAACACAATGGGGGTACAGGCATTGTATAAATGCAGCCATTCTAAATGGGAGAAATTGGCCAAAGCAAAGGGGCAACAGGCCTCATGCAAGTGTGAAATCCAGCAGGGCAGTAAAGTCTTAAAGCTCCAAAATGACCTTTTTTGATTCCATGCCTCACATCCAGGTCACACTGATGCAAGAGGTAGGTTCCCATGGTCTTGGGCAGCTCCCTTCTGGCTGCTTTCATGGGCTGGCATTGAATATCTGCACTTTTCCAGGCACATGGTGCAAGCTGTCAATGGATCTACCATTCTGGGGTCTGGAGGATGGTGGCCCTCTTCTCACAGCTCCACTTGACGGTACCCTAGTAGGGACTCTGTGTAGGGACTCTGACACCATGTTGCCATTCCGTACCACCCTAGCAGAGATTCTACATGAGAGCCTTGCCCCTGCAGCAAACTTCTGCCTGGACATCCAGGCATTTCCATACATCCTCTGAAATCTAGGCGAAGGTTCCCCTACCCCAATTCTTGACTTCTTGCACTCGCAGGCTCAACACCATGTGGCAGCTGCCAAGGCTTGAGGCTTGCACCCTCTGAAGCCATATCCCAAGCTCTACATTGACCACTTTCAGCCACAGCAGGAGCAGCTGGGATGCAGAGCACCAAGTCCCTAGGCTGCACATAGCATGGGGACCCTGGGCCTGGCCCGTGAAACCACCACTTTTTCCTCCTAGGCCTCCAGGCCTGTGATGGGAGGGGCTGCCATGACCACCTCTGACATGCCCTGGAGACATTTTCCCCATTGACTTGGGGATTAACATTCAGCTCCTTGTTACTTATGCAAATTTCTAAAGCCAGCTTGGATTTCTCCTCAGAAAATGGGATTTTCTTTTCTATCGTGTTGTCAGACTGAAATTTTCCAAACTTTTATGCTCTGCTTCCCTTCTAAGACTGATTGCCTTTAACAGCACCCAAGTCACCTCTTGAATGCCTTGCTGCTTAGAAATTTCTTCTGCCAGATACCCTAAATTATCTCAATTCAAAGCTCCAGAAATCTCTAGGGCAGGGGCAAAATGCCACTAGTCTCTTTGCTAAAACATAACAAGAGTCACTGGCCAGGCACGGTGGCTCACAGCTATAATCCCAGCACTTTGGGAGGCTGAAGCAGGTGGATCACCTGAGGTTGGGAGTTCGAGAGCAGCCTGACCAACATGGAGAAACCCTGTCTCTACTTAAAAAAAAAAAAAAAAAAAAAAATTAGCCAGATATGGTGGTGCATGCCTATAATCCCAGCTACTCAGGAGGCTGAGGTAGAAGAATCGCTTGAACCCAGGAGGCAGAGGTTAGTGAGCCAAGATCATGCCATTGCACTCCAGCCTGGGCAACGAGAGTGAAACTCCATCTCAAAAAAAAAAAGTCACCTTTGCTCCAGTTACCAACAAGTTCCTCATCTCCACCTGAGACCACTTCAGCCTGGACCTTATTGTTCATACCGCTATCAGCATTTTTGTGAAAGCCATTCAATAAGTCTCTAGGAAGTTTCAAATTTTCCCACATCTTCCTCTCTTCTTCTGAGCCCTCCAAACTGTTCCAACCCCCTGCCTGTTACCCAGTTCCAAAGTTGCTTCCACATTTTTGGGTATCTTTTCAGCAGTCCTCCACTCTATTGGTACCAATTTACTGTATTTGTTTTCATGCTGCTGATAAAGACATACCTGACACTGGGTAATCTACACAGGAGAAAAGGCTTAATGGACTTATAGTTCCATGTGGCTGGGGAAGCCTCACAATCATGGGGAAAGGCAAGGAGGAACAAGTCATATCTTACATGGATGGAAGCAGGCAAAGAGCTTGTACAGGGAAACTCCACCTTATAAAGCCATCAGATCTTGTAAGACTTATTCACTATCACGAGAACAGCATGAGAAAGACCTGCCCTCAGGATTCAATTATCTCCCACAGGGTCCCTCCTACAACATGTAGGAATTCAGGATGAGATTTGGGTGGGGACACAGCCAAACCATATCACTGGAGAATTGTTTGTTTTTTAAATTTTTTAAAAAACTTAGGTTCAGGGGGTACATGTGCAAGAATTACTGTGTTGCTTTGGAGGTATCATATTTCCTTTTTCATATTTTTTGTCTTTATGTTTATGCATCTTATATAATGGTTACATCTACTAATTTTTTGAATTTATTTTTGTAGGAGAGGACTTTTTTCTGAAGATGTTTCTGTGTTGTTGGTAGGGTAAAGCACTTTGGTTTTGATTCTAGATGCATGCAGTAGTGTGGTCTCCATATAAGTTCTTCAGCTGTAAATAGCAATGGTGGTTTCCAGTGTCCTCAGGGGAAGTTTTGTCACTGCAACTTCCGCCTCCCGGGTTCACACCATTCTGCTGCCTCAGCCTCCTGAGTAGCTGGGACTACAGGTGCCTGCCACCACGCCCGGCTAATTTTTTGTATTTTTAGTGGAGACAGGGTTTCACTGTGTTAGCCAGGATGGTCTTGATCTGACCTCGTGATCCACCCACCTTGGCCTCCCAAAGTGCTGGGATTATAGGTGTGAGCCACCGTGCCTGGCCCTCTTTTTCTCCTTTCTTAAGGTAAAGCCTGTGGTTATTGATTTCAGACCTTTCTTCTTTTCTAATATAGGTGCTTAGTGGTATAAATTGTTCTGTAAGTACTACTTTAAAAGCATATTGATTTTGAAATGTTTTTATTTTGATTCAGTTCAAGATAGTTTAGTTTCCCTTTAGACTTTTTTTTCTTGAACCAATGAGGTTTGAAGTGTCTTCATTAGTTTCCAAATTCTTGGTATTTTCTAGCAAGATTCTTGTTAATGAATTTTAATTTGATTTAATAGTGGTCAGAGAATGTACTTTGTATGACTTGAATCCTTTTATTTTTAACTTTAGGTGTGGTGGTACATATGAAGGGTTTTTTGTTGTTGTTGTTGTTGTTTGAGATGGAGTCTCACTCTGTCACCCAGTCTAGATTGCAGTGGCACAATCATCTCAGCTCCATATGAAGGTTTTTTACACAGGTAAACCCATGTCACAGGGGTTTGTTGTACAGATTATTTCATCACCCAGGAATTAAGTCTAGTACCCAATATTATCTTTTCTGTTCCTCTCCCTCCTCCCACCCTCCACTCTCAAGGAGACCCCAGTGTCTGTTTCCTTCTTTGTGTCTATGTGTTCTCATCATTTAGCTCCCACTTGTAAGGGAAAAAAATGCGGGATTTTGTTTTCTGTTCCTGAGTTAGTTTGCTAAGGATAATGGTCTCCAGCTCCATCCTTGTTCCCACAAAAGACATGATCTTGTTCTTTTTTATGGTTGCATAGTATTCCATAGTTTATATACCACATTTTCTTTTTCGTTGTTGTTGTTTTGAGATGAAGTTATGCTCTTGTCGCCCAGGCTGGAGTATAATGGTGCGACCTTGGCTCCCTGCAACCTCTGCCTCCCGGGGTCAAGGGATTCTCCTGCCTCAGTCTCCTGAGTAGCTGGGATTATAGGCGCCTGCTACCATGCCCAGCTAATTTTTGTATTTTTAATAGAGATGGGGTTTCACCACGCTAGCCAGGCTGGTCTTGAACTCCTGACCTCAGGTGATCCACCTGCCTCAGCCTCCCAAAGTGCTGGGATTACACAAGTGAGCCACCATGCCAGGCCTGTACTACATTTTCTTTATCCAATCTGACATCGATAGGCATTTAGGTTGTATGTTAGTCTGCTCTCACGCTGTTATAAGGAGATACCTGAGACTGGGTAATTTATAAAGGAAAGAAGTTTAATTGACTCATAGTTCCACATGGCTGGGGAGGTCTCAGGAAACTTACAATCATTGCAGGAGGAGAAGCAAACACATCCTTCCTCACATGGTGGCAGGAGAGAGAAGTGCCGAGCAAAGTGGAGAAAGCCCCTTATAAAACCATCAGATCACATGAGAACTCACTATCACAAGAACAGCATGGGGGTAACTGTCCCTATGGTTCAATTACCTCCCACCAGGTCCTTCCCACGACATGTGGGGATTATGGGAACTATAACTCATAATGAGATTTGGGTGGGAACACAGCCAAACCATACCAGATTAATTCCATGTCTTTGCTATTGTGAATAGTGCTGCAGTGAACATTTTGCGTGCATGTGTCTTTATGGTAGAATGATTTACATTCCTCTGGATATATACCTAGTAATGGGTCTGCTGGGTCACATGGTAGTTCTACTTTTAGCTCTTTGATTAATCACCATACTGCTTTCCACAGTGGTTGAACTAATTTGCCCTCCCACCAGCAGTGTATAAGTGTTACCTTTTCTCTGTAACTTTGCCAGCATCTGATATTTTTTGGCTTTTAATAATAGCCATTCTGACTGATGTAAAATGATATCTCATTGTGGTTTTGATTTTCATTTCTCTAATGATCAGTGATAGTGAGCTTTCTTTCATATGCATGTTGGCCGCGTATATATCCTCTTTGAAAAGCATTGTTCATATTCTTTGCCCACTTTTTAATGGGGTTGTTTCTCTTGTAAATTCAAGTTCTTTATAGAGGCTGGATATTTAGACCTTTGTCAGATGCACAGTTTGCAAATGGCTTCTCCTATTCTGTAAGCTGTCTGTTTATTCTGTTTAGTTTCTTCTGTGCAGAAGCTCTTAAGTTTAATTAATCCCACTTGTCAATTTTTGCTTTTGTTGCGATTGCTTTTGGTGTTTTTGTCATAAAATCTTTGCCCATTCCTATGTCTGGGATGGCATTCCCTAGGTTGCCTTGCAGGGTTTTTTTATAGTTTTGAGTTTTACATTAAAGTCTTTCATTCATCTTGAGTTAGTTTTTGTAGATGGTATAAGGAAGGGGTCCAGCTTTAGTCTTCTGCATATGGCGAGCCAGTTATCCCAGCACCACTTATTGAAGAGGGAGTTCTTTTTCCCCATTGCTTGCTTTTGTCAGCCTCGTCAAAGATGAGATGGTCATAGGTGTGCAGCCTTATTTCTGGGCTGTCTATTCTGTTCCATTGATCTATGTGCCTGTTTTTGTATCAGCACCATGTTGTTTTGGTTACTGTAGCCCTGTAGTATAGTTTGAAGTTGGTAATGTGATTCCTCCAGCTTTGTTCTTTTGGCTTAGGATTGCCTTGGTTATTTGGGCTCTCTTTTGGTTTCATATGAATTTTAAAATAGGTTTTCCTAGTAGTTCTGTGAAGAATGTTGTTGGTAGTTTGATAGGAATGGCACTGAATCTGTAAATTGCTTTGAGCAATATGGCAATTTACATGATATTCTTCCTATCTATGAGCATGGGATGTTTTTCCATTCATTTGACTTCTATGAGCAGTGTTTTATAATTCTCATTGTAGAGACCTTTCACCTCCCTGGTTAGCTGTATTCCTAGGTATTTTATTTTTTTGTGGCAACTGTGAGTGGAATTGCCTTTCTGGTTTGGTTTTTGGCTTGGCTTTTGTTGGTGTATAGGAATGCTAGTGATTTTTATACATTGATTTTTGTTTTCTTTTGTATCCTGAACTTTTGAAGTTATTTATCAGCTAAAGGAGCTTTTGCGCTGAGACTATGGGGTTCTGTAGTTATTGAATCATGTTGTCTGCAACAGAGATAGTTTGACTTCCTCTCTTCCTATTTGGATGCCCTCTATTACTTTCTATTGCCTGATTGCTCTGACTAGGACTTCCAATACTATGTTGAATAGGAGGGGTGAAGGAGGGCATCCTTGCCTTGTGCAGGTTTTTAAGAGGAATGCTTCCAGCTTTTGCCCATTCGGTATAATGTTGGCTGTGGGTTTTTCATAGATGGCTCTTATTATTTTGAGGTATGTTCCTTGAATACCTAGTTTATTGAGTTTTTAATATGAAGTGGTGTTGAATTTTATCAAAAGCCTTTTCTGTGTCTATTGAGATAATCATGTGGGTTTTGTTTATGTGATGAATCACATTTATTGATTTGTGTGTTTTGAACCAAACTTGCATCCTGAGGATGGAGCCTACCTGATTATGATGTATTTGCTTTTGGATGTGCTGCTGGATTTGGTTTGCCAGTATTTCATTGAGGATTTTTACATCAATGTTCATCAAGGATATTGGCCCGAAATTTTCTTTGTTGTTGTTGTTGTTGTTGTTGTATCTCTGCCTGGTTTTGGTATCAGGATGATGCTGGCCTCATAGAATGAGTTGGGGAAGAGAACCCCCTCCTGAATTTTTTTGAAATAGTTTCTGTAGGAATGGTACCAGCTCTTCTTTCTACATCTAGTAGAATTCAGCTATGAATCTATCAGGTCCTGGGCTTTGTTTGGTTGGTAGGCTATTACTGATGCCATTTCAGAGCTCATGATCGGTCTGTTCAGGAAATCAGTTTCTTCCTGGTTCAGTCTTGGAGGGTGTATGTGTCCAAGAATGTATCCATCTCTTCCAGGTTTTCTAGTTTGTGTGCATAGAGGTGTTTATAGTAGTTTGATGGTTATTTCTATTTCTGTGGGGTCAGTGGTAATATTCCCTTCATCATTTCTAATTGTGTTTATTCAGATCTTCTCTCTTTTCTTTATTAATATAGCAAGTGGCCTATCTGTCTTACTAACTTTTCAAAAAACCGCCTCCTGGATTCATTAGTTGATCTTTTGAATGTTTTTTTGGTATCTTGATTTCCTCCAGTTCAGCTCTGATTTTGGTTATTTCTTGTCTCCTGCTAGCTTTGGGGTTGATTTGTTCTTCTCTTATTCTGTCAGTTGTAATGTTAGATTGTAAATTTGAGATGTTTCTAACTTTTTTTTTTTTTTTGAGACGGAGTTTCGTTCTTGTTGCCCAGGCTGGAGTGCAAACAGCATGATCTCGGCTCACCGCAACCTCCACCTCCGGGGTTCAAGTGATTCTCCTACCTCAGCCTTCCGAGGAGCTGGGATTACAGGCATGTTCCACCACGTCCAGCTAATTTCGTATTTTTAGTAGAGATAGGGTTTCTCCATGTTGGCAAGGCTGGTCTGGAACTCCTGATCTTAGGTGATCCACCTGCCTCAGCCTCCCGAAGCGCTGTGATTACAGGCATGAGCCACTGTGCCCAGCCGAGATGTTTCTAACTTTTTGATGTGGGCATTTAGTGCTGTGAATTTCCCTCTTAACACTGCCTTAGCTGTGACCCAGAGATTCTGTTATGTTATATCTTTGTTCTCATTAGTTTCAAAGACTTCTTGATTTCTGCCTTAATTTCATTATTTACCCAAAAGTCATTTAGGATCATGCTTCATTTCCATAAAATTGCATGGTTTTGAGCGATATTCTTAGTCTTGTGTTTTTATTGCACTGTGTTCCAAAAGTGTTTGGTATGACTTTGGTTCTTTTGCTTTTGCTGAGGATTGTTTTATGTCCAATTATGTGGTCAATTTGAGGAGAATGTATATTGTGTTTTGGGGTGGAGAGTTCTGTAGAGGTCTATCAGATCCATTTGGTCCAATGTTGAGTTAAGGTCTGAATATCTTTACTAATTTTCTGCCTTGATCTGTCTAATACTGTCAGTGGAGTGTTGAAGTCTTCTACTATAATTGTGTGGGAGTCTGTCTCTTTATAGGTCTCTAATAACTTGCTTTATGAATCTGGGTGCTCCTGTGTTGAGTGAATGTATATTTAGGATAGTTGTGTCTTCCTGTTGAATTGTACCCTTTACCATTATGTATCACCAGTGAAGCCTGCAATATAGCAAAGATAGTAGCCTGCCTTTCCCTCTGAAAGTTCTGCTCCAGGGAATTAGGGACCTGTTGCCAGCCCAAGCAGACCTGTAGGAGGTGGCTGGAGACCCTGGTTGGGACATTGCTCCCAGTGAGGAGGAATGGGATCTGAGACTCAGTTAAAGTAGTCTGGGCTGGACACAATGGCTCATGTCTGTAATCCCAGCACTTTGGGAGGCTGAGGCAGGCAGATCACTTGAGCCCAGGAGTTTGACACCAGCCTAGGCAACATGGTGAAACCCGCCTCTACAACAAAAAATGCAAAAATTAGACAGGCATGGTGGTGTGTCTATAGTTTAGCTACTTGGGAGGCTACGACAGGAGAATCACTTGAGCCCAAGAGGCAGAGGTTGCAGTGAGCTGAGATAGAGCCATTGCTCAGTTTGGGCAATGGGAGTGAAACCCTGTTTCAGAGGCAATCTGGCTACATTTTGGTAGAGCGGTTGTGCTGTGCTGGGGGTCTCCTTCAGTGCCGGACACTCCAAAGCTCAAAGGCCAGAATAGCTAAGTGACCCAAACAGCGAAGATGATGGCCTGCACCTCCATCTGGGAGCTCCAGCCTGGGGAGGCTTGAAACTTCTCTCAGCTGAAGAACACTCGTGGGGATAGCTTCAGACCCTTCCTGGTGATCAGGAGTAGGATCAGGGACCTGCTTGAAAAAGCAGTCTGGCTGTGTTTTGGTAGGGCAGCTGTGCTGTGCTGGGGATCCACTTCAGCCCCTGGTCATCTTGGACTCTCCAAAGTCCAAAGGCTAGAATAGCTAAGTTACCCAAACAGTAAAGATGGTGGCCCACCCTTCCCTCTGGGATTTCTGTCCCAGGAAGTTTTCAAATCTGTGTTTGCCAGACAGCACTGGTGGGGGTGGCTGGAGGCCCCAGTTGAGAATTCCTGCCCAGTGAGGAGGAACAGAATTGGGGACCGGCTTAAAAAAGCAGTCTGGCCATGTTTCACAGGGCAGCTGTACTGTGCCGGGGTACTGCTTCTGCCTGGTCAGAGGTTGACTTGGACTCTCCAAAGCCTAAAGACTAGAAATACTATCACCCAAACAGCAAAGATAGCAGCCCACCCCTCCCGCTGGGAGCTCCATCCCAGGGAGGCTCCAAATCTCTGTTGGCTGGAGAACATGGGCGCAGGTGGCTGGAGGCTCTGGTGATCCTGCCCAGTGAGGAGGGATTGGGGACCTGCTTAAAAGAGCAGTCTGACCACGTTTTATAAAGCAGCTGTGCTGGGGCATCCCTTCCGCCCCTGGTCAGCTTAGACTCTCCAAAGCTTGGAGGCTGGAACGGCTAAGTTGCCCAAACAGCAAAGATGGCAGCCCACCCTTCCCTGCTGGAGTTTTATCCCAGGGAGGTGCAATGCTGCTACCAGTGGCTGTCTGGAGTTCTAAGCCAGTGGGTCTTCATCTTGTGAGGTTTGTGGAAGTGGGGCCTGCAGATTGTCACTGCTCAGCCCCCTGGATTCAGCCTTTTTCCTAAGGATATGTACAGAGGTCAAACCTCCCGCTTTGCTGGAGTTGCAACTACTTTTGCTGGGAAGTCTGGAGAGTCCGAGTATCAAGGCTTTCCTGGGTCTCCACATGTGCCTGAGTGGCTGTTCTGTTGAGACTCCATGTAGCTGTGTGTGTCAGTCAGAAGGCCCTGGTGGAGTGGGTTCACAAGGAGATCTCCTGACCCAAGGATTGCAAAGATCCATGGGAGAAGCATGGGTTCCTGGGGTTGTACATTCATGTGCCACTACCCAGGGTCGGGGGAGGTTCCCTTGGCTCCATGTTGCTCCTGGGTGGGCCATCATCCTGCCTTACTTTTCTCCATCCTCCATGGGTCAAGTTGCTTCCTTGATTAGTCCCAATGTGAGTAACTAGATGTTTAAGTTGAAGGTGCTGTATTTACTTGCTCTTTCTGTTCCTCTCCATGAGAGCTACGTATATTACCTGCTTCTAGTCAACCATCTTGGCCACCTCCAGCACCTAGGATCCTTTAAAATGTATTGAAACTTGTTTTATACCCCCGAACGTGGCTGATCTTTGTTAATTTTCCATGTGTTCTTAAAAAGAATGTGTATTCTGCTGCTGCTGTTGAGTGGAATGTTTTATAACAAGTTTGTTGTCAATGTTCAATTCTTCTACATCTGTGGTAGGCAAATTAAATATCACACAAAGATTTCCATGTCTGAATCTTTAGAAGTTGTGAGTATGTTATTTCAGTTGACAAAAGGGATTTTGCAGACATGATTCAGGTTAAGGAAACTTAGATGGATATTTAGATGAAGCCTAGGTTGTCCAGGTGGGTCCAGTCTAATCACATGAGTTTTTTTGTTTTTGATTTTGTTTTAACCTATGAGTCTGCCTTTTTATTGCAAGACAACAGGTAGAAGAAACCACACAAACATATAAGGCAAACACTCTTAGAACGATCATCCAGGTTATGAAATAGAAGTTTTCCAGCAATCCCAGACTCTTCATGTACACCTTCTTCACTTTAACCTGTCCCACTATAGAGATTAGTTTTAGTTTTCTATATCATCTAACTAGTTTAATAATTCCATCAGAGATGGATCAGTTTAAAAATTGGAATCTGTTACATAGAAGCTATCCGCATTGGATAGAGCAGGGCTCAGCAGACCCTACGTTTGAATGACTAAGTTGACTTGCTCAGATTGTCCTGGGAGGGAAGACACAAATGCAAGAAGTGTCTCCATAGTACTGCTTTGCTTTTATCATTGTCATCTCAGCCATCGCCTCTGGAGGCCTGTGAAATTGGAGCAGCCAGCCCTGGAAGTGGTGCCCAAAGCCTGTCTCACTGGCTTCATCTTTTGGAGGGGTGGGCAACAGCATTTGTCAGAAATCTTGACAGCTGAGGATCCTTTTCCTCTGAGCTAGAGGTCTTGGCTGGGCTCCAGGGGAGGCTTGAGCTGCCCCACGGAGACCATGGTGCTGAGCTGTCCCGAGGCACAGCTTGCAGGTGGGAAGGCGACCAAGTCTGAGTCCTTGTTCTCACTCTGATCACTGTGCTGCTGCTTGTGGCATCTCAGAGTCATCCCTGACAAAGGCGGCGCCGCAGGTCTCACAGCGAAAGGCCCTCTGCCTCACGATCTTGGCCACGTGTCGGGAGCTGCTCTGTGAGCCCTTCCTTGCCCGGAGAGGCCCAGTTCTCTGTCTTGGCCTCATCCTTGTGCACCCTGTCGATGCGCTTGGCCAGGCTGCTGGGCCACTTCGCGTCGGAGCTGCAGAAGTCACACTTGAAGTTTCAGTCCTTACAGTGGACTCCGCTGTGTATGCACAGGGCGGCTGCGCTGGAGCAGGAGTTGCACTCAGGACACTTCTCTGGGTGGTCGGCCTGGTGCAGCCAGCTATGCTCCAGGAAGTCAGCCCATCCTGGCCCTGGAAGGCACAGTGCAGACACTTGAAGGTGTGCTTGATGCGGATGTGCGATTTGAGATTCGCCTTCATGGTGCAGCGGACGTCGCTGCAGAACTCGCACTCGAAAGGCTTCTCCCCCAGTGCACGATCATGTGCCTTTTCAAGTCTGAGCTGATTTTGAACTTGGCGCTACAGAGCCAGCACTGGAAGGAGATATCCCCAGTGTGGGATCGCAGGTGGACGGTGAGCTGGCTGGAGTTGCGGCTGACATAGGGGCAGAGCTGGCATTTGTATGGCTGCTCGTCCGAGTGGATCCGTAGGTGCTTCTTGAGGCTCCTGCTGTCCACGGCAGCATAGTCACACAGGTAACACTCGTGCGGCATCACATGTGCATGGTCAGGTTGTCCTTCCGCTGAAGCACTTGTCACAGAACTCACACTTGAGCGGTTCGTCACCCGTTGTGGATTCTGAGATAGCGGTCCAAGTCTTTCATGCCATGGAGAGTTTTGAAGTGGCAACCTGGGTAGCAACAGTCGAATGTCCTCTCTCCAAGGGCGGCTGTTTCTTCCCTTGACTCTGAGGGAAGAGTGATGACAGGGGCCTTCTGCTTTCAGTCACTGCTTTCAGTGGAGAGGCAGGTTGCTTTTGGAATATCATTATCCAGTTCTGAAGCTGCACAACTCGCTCCTTCCCATCCTTCGGGCCTTCACTCGAAGGTCCGCTCCTTGGTGAGGATTTCCCTGGACAACGCATTTGAAACCTAACCCCAGGGCAGGGAGCCACCTTCCAGGTGCGCAGCCGAAGCCCAGTGCCAAGGAGGCCGGGGACTTGGGTGCCCGCGTACACCGAAAACAGTCTCTGAGGGGTCCTCAGAGCATCTTTCCAGCATGTTTTTAACAGCAGAGAAACTTTCCCAGCTCTAATCAGAGGGAGAGGTCATTATGGAAAAAGGGTCAGAAATATAATGTTGTTGACTTATAAAGATGGAAAAAGGAGGCCATGAGCCAAAAAGTGTAAGTGACCTCTAGAAGCTAGAAAAGACAAAGAAGTAGAAACGAATGTACCTTGCTGACATCTTGGGTGTGTGTGTGTGTGTGTGTGTGTGTGTGCGCGCACGTATGTTTCTCAATGAAATGTTAAACTTCGAGCCTGTAGTACTATAAAATAATAAATCTGTATTTTTAAATGACTAAATTCTTGGTAATTTGTTGCAGCACCAAGAGAAAACTAATACATTTGCCAACGTAGTTGGCATTTCTTGTGAGTGTGTGTGTGAGTGTGTGTGTGAGTGTGAGTGTGTGTATGGATGTTTCTTTAGATTCACATTTCTAATTGGTATCACTCTGTAATTTTTTAAACACTTACAGTGGAGGTCTACTAGCAATGTAATATTTCAGCTTATGTCTGAAAGTTCCTATTTCACCTTCATTTTTTGAAGATATCTTCGTTGGGTAAAGAATTTGAGGCGGCCGGGCGCTGTGGCTCACGCCTGTAATCCCAGCACTTTGGGAGGCCAAGGCGGGCGGATCACGAGGTCAGGAGATCGAGACCATCCCGGCTAAAACGGTGAAACCCCGTCTCTACTAAAGATACAAAAAATTAGCTGGGCGTGGTGGCGGGCGCCTGTAGTCCCAGCTACTTGGGAGGCTGAGGCAGGAGAATGGCGTGAACCCGGGAGGCGGAGCTTGCAGTGAGCCGAGATCCCGCCACTGCACTCCAGCCTGGGCGACAGAGCGAGACTCCGTCTCAAAAAAAAAAAAAAAAAAGAATTTGAGGCTAGTTTCATTTCCTTCAGTACTGTATAGATGCAATATTTTCTTGCATTCTTTCTGATGAAAAATCTGTCATCTTTATTTTTGTTTCTCTGTACATAATGTATCTGTTTCTCTAGCTGCTGAAAAATGAGTGGGATTTATATTTCAAACAATGGTTTAAGGTACTACAAAAAGGTAATTTTTGGTGAAAAATGGATCAACTAATACTAGGTTGACCAAAGATCTGATTTGTCTGTATATATACTATATATCATATATATAGTAATTGTATATGTAATTATATGTGAATATATAGTAATGGTTCTCAAAATTTTTGGTCTTAGGATTACTTTGTACTCTTATAAACTATTGAGGACCTCAGAGATTTTGCTTATGTGAATTATATCTAGCAACATTTATCATGTTAGAAGAGAAAAACTTTAAAGTATTTATATATTTTAAAATACTGAAAATAAGCCTATTTCATGTTTAACACCATAACATACTTTCATGAGAAATAAACATATATTCCAAAACAAAGTATTTGAGAAGAGCTGTGAAGAAATCTCTTAAATGTCTGGCTTAATAGAGAGTAGCTGAATTATCCCATTTGTTTCTGCATTTGTTCTGTTTTATCATGTATCATTTTGGTTGAAGTATATGGAAAAAAACCTGATCTCACAGAGGCAAGTACTGTAGTTAGAAAAGGGAAAAGTATTTTAATCTTTTTTGATATAGATAGTCTTCAGTGATACTAAACCAAATCAAACAAGTAGTAGTTTCTTAGAGGTAAGTTGAAATGTAGAATCTGAAATCATATTTTGTACCTTTTTTTTTTTTTTTTTTGAGACGGATTCTCACTCTGCTGCCAGTCTGGAGAGTAGTGGCACCATCTCGGTTCACTGCAATCTCCACCTCCCAGGTTCAAGCGATTCTCCTGCCTCAGCCTCCCGAGTAGTTTGGATTACAGGTGTGTACCACCACGCCCAGCTAACTTTTTTGTAGTTTTATAGAGACAGGGTTTCACCATATTGGCCAGGCTGGTCTCGATCTCCTGATCTCATGATCTACCCACCTCAACCTCCCAAAGTGCTGGGATTACAGGCCTGAGTCACTGTGCCCGGCCTCTACTCTTAATATTAGAATCCATTGGTCCATCTTGGACTTTGAATGGATCTTTCATCCATGCATGATTTTGTAACATCAAGCATTGGTCATATGGAAAATATTGGTTACTGGGTTATATATATCCTCTCATTGATTCATACAATTATACAATATTTTAAAATTATATTCATAAATATCACCACCGATTTTTAACCTGAAAATTCTTTAAATATTGGAAAACTGTCAAGGCCACAATGGCAGACACACGATTTCAAAATACAAAATTTTTTTTTTTTTAAGATGAAGTCTCACTCTGTTGCCCAGGCTGGAGTACAATGGCATGATTTTGGCTGATTGCAACCTCTGCCTCCTGAGTTCAAGTGATTCTCCTGTCTCAGCCTCCCGAGTAGCTGGGATTACAGGCATGCACCACCACGCCCCGCTAATTTTTTTGTATTTTTGTAGAGATGGGCTTTCTCCATGTTAGCCAGGCTGGTCTCGAACTCCTGACCTCAAGTGATCCACCCGCCTCAGCCTCCCAAAGTGCTGGGATTACAGGTGTGAGCCACTGGTGCCCGGCCTCAAAATTCTAATTTTTTTCTTGAAAGCTTTGAGCATGTAGTCAATCATCTTTGAAATTATAGAATCATTTCATTCATTTTCAAGAAAATGCTATCTGGATATTAAAGTCTGAATAACTAGGGTTTGTCTCTTCATCACTCTTTCATGTAAAAATGGTGTTCCATGAAAACAGCAGCTAGTTTAGCACACTCAAAGAATCACATAAGTGCTTTTCCTTGAGACAAGCATATACTTTGGTATGGAGCAAAAGCGCTTTAGGTGTACTCCCTATTTCATTGCATAGAATATTAAAAATATGTCTATGGAAGGGTCAAGATTATATAAAATTAACTTTTTTTTTTTTTTTACTGCTTCATCAAGAAAATTCTTTTTTTTATTTTTGTTTTTTTTTTGAGATGGAGTCTCAGTCTGTCTCCAGGCTGGAGGGTAGTGGCACGATCTCAGCTCACTGCAACCTCCGCCTTCCAGGTTCAAGTGATTCTCTTGCCTCAGCCTCCCAAGTAGCTGGAAATACAGATGCATGCCACCATGCTCAGCTAATTTTTCTATTTTCAGTAGAGATGGGGTTTCACCATGTTGGCCAGGATGATCTTGATCTCTTGATCTCAGGTGATCTGCCCACCTCAGCCTCCCAAAGTGCTGGGATTATGGACATGAGCCACCGTGCCTGGCTGCATCAAGAAAATTCTTAAGTGAAACTGGCTTCCTTTCCCCTACTCCCCTTGCTGCCTCGATCAAGAGTGTGTAGTGGAGGAAAATACCATGACTGTTCGTATAATTTGGTGCCATTGTTTTGATGCATACTAAGATACCACCAGTTTTACCCACTATTGTTTTTGTACAATCAGTGCAAATGTCAGCATAGTGAAAAAGGCAAATAATGCATTTTTTTAATCTTTATTTTTATTTTTTTTCTTAGTGACAGTATCTTGCTCTCACCCAGGCTAGAATGCAGTGGTGTGATCATAGCTTGCTATGAGACAGAAAAAATCCTCCTGTCTCAGCCTGTTGAATAGCTGGGACCACAGGAGTGTGCCACCACACCCAGCTAATTTTTTTAAAATATCTTTTTGGTAGAGATGGGGTCTCCCTATGTTTCCCAGGCTGGTCTTGAACTCCTGGCCTCAAGTGATCTTCCTGCCTCGGCCTCCCAAAGTGCTGGGATTACAGGCCTGAACCACAGTGCCTGGCTAAATAACGCATTCTAATGAAATTAATCTTATGGACCTACTGAAATGGGTCTTAGATTCCTAGGTTCCATGGACTACACTTTGAGAACTACTAGCATATATTTACTATGACCTCACAAGTCCCACAAGATTAGCATTATCATCCTTGTCTTACAAATGCAGTCAATCAAAGCCAGGGGTTTAAATATTAAGTTTTTTGTTTGTTTTGTTTTCAAATCTATATAGTTAGTAGGTAGCACAATCAGAATTTGTACAGAGCGCTTTCTTTCTCTGACTTTATACTCTTAACCACTATGCTACTTATAGTTGTCCCTGTAAATCCTCTCATACTAAACAGCTGAATAATGATAAATTATTGACTTGGTCTGTAGTATGGTAAAGCTTTCTGCTGCTTTTTTTCTAGTCATTATGTTCTTCTCTCCAATGTGCTTTTAGTTTGTTTCCTATCTGTCTCAATCATCAAACTTATAGTAGATTTCTATTGTGTTGCCAGGTAGCATGAATTTATCTGAATATATTCTAATATTATTGGGAGCACCCATCTTCAACTCTCGGTACATTCAGTTCTGGTGAAGCTAACTTCTTTGCTAGTTGGTCTGCCTTTCCCGTAGTATTAAAAGCTCCATGAAACAAGGACTTTGTCTATTTCCAGTTTCTAGTATTATACATTGTATATGAGATGATCAAGTAAGTTACAAATTAAGTTATTTTATCTCTTTGAATCTCCATTTCTTCATAGGAGAAATATATAAATACTTATACCACAATGTTCTCTGAATTTTAATAATATAATGGTACTGATATGCTTGGTCCATGTGAAATGACCAAAATAAATGTTCACCAAGTGTTAATATGTTTATTTACTGTCTTGATAGGTTTATCTCCTGGAAGACAGAAGCAACAAATAGGGAACTGCTACTCTACTTAATTCTTCTTTTTTTTTTTTTTTTTTTTTGAGACGGAGTTTCGCTCTTGTTGCCCAGGGTGGAGTGCAATGGCGCAATCTTGGCTCACTGCAAACTCTGCCTCCCGAGTTCAAGCGATTCTCCTGCCGCAGCCACCAAGTAACTAGGATTATAGTCTCCCACCACCACGCCTGGCTGATTTTTGTATTTTTAGTAGAGACAGGGTTTCACCATGTTGGCCAGGCTGGTCTCGAACTCCTGACCTCAGGTGATCCACCCACCTTGGCCTCCCAAAGTGCTGGGATTACAGGCGTGAGCCACTGCGCCCGGCCTACTCTACTTAATTCTAACAAAGAGGAATTGTTGGCAAAAGTTAGTGATGGGAAGCTTGGGAAAATTGACCCAAATTAGAGTTAGAATCCTAATAGGGAGAGAAAAAAAATAGACATGGTTAAATGGTTGACCAAGACTATAAGAAGTACATCTCACAAAACTCAAAAGACACTATTATATTGTCATGAGACCTACAGAGGGAAAGATGAACCAAAAGGAATCACATACTATCAAAATCTGGAAGTGCAAATGCTCTCGAAGTAAGAGAGGAATTATTTAAATCCTGTGTGGTTGGACAAAGAGCTCTCCATTAAGCTCAAATGTTAAAAGAACTTGCACAAAAGATAAAAAGATAGGAATATATATTCAAAAAAGAATATACAAATGTGGCAGGCCTGGAGCAATAGTACCAAGAATTCATACACATCAACCACCTGCCCACATCAGACTCGGGTTCTTGCTGCCTTCTTTGCTCCTCCCCTAAACCTCTACCCAATGTACCCCCAATCCTCTTGCCATTTTCGCCAAAAATGAGCTGACTTGCAAAAATGCTACAGACAGCTAGAGAACTTCTTAAATTTATGATCTGATGTTTGAGGCCAGGAGTTTGAGACCAGCCTGGACAACACGGTGAGGCTGCATCTCTACAAAAAAAAAAAAAAAAAAAAAAAAAAAATTAGCCAAGCATGGTGGCACATGCCTGTAGTCCCAGCTACTTGGGAGGCTGAGGTGGGAGGATTGCTTGAGCCCAGGAGTTTGAAGCTGCAGTAAGCTATGATTGTGCCACTGCATTCCAGCCTGGGTAACAGAGCAAGACCACCTCTAGGAAAAAGTATGAGAAATAGCCACCTGAAGATAAGAAATAGATACACTGTAAATGATGTCATGTTTACACATGAAGAACTTCTCTTCCTATTTTGCTTGTATATTCTTTGTCAAGAAATGATTTTTTTTTTGTACCGGGGGGAAAAAGTAGAATGGTGTGGGATCCTGAAATATAATTAATGAAGACATTTTAATAGATAGCTGGTCCTGTCCTGTCCAAGACAAATTTCAAGACAATAGAACTCACGAGTGAAATTGCTCAACTTCTGCTAGGGACCTTTGAAGCACTCTGAAGAAAACGAGAGTTACTACTGGGAACAATGGAGAAAGGAAAGCTAATAATGTAAGATACTAATTGTAAGAAAACATCCTGAGAAAGTGAGAAGGGACAGGATCTAGTTCACAAAGGCGTTTGGCCTAGGGAGCAAGGGCAGTTTATTAATTACAAATTATTAAGAGATGCAGGAAGTGGGTAGAGTTGGTGGTGGTTAAATGAGTAGTTCTCTTATGAGAATCAACTTACTGAGAGTAAAGACGAATTGGAGGTATTGGAGATTTGAGTAGGACATATGAAACCATTATCTTGGATAGTGAGAAGCTTTCCTTTTTTCTTTTCTCTTTTTTTCTTTTCTCTTTTTTCTTTTCTTTTCTGACGGAGTCTTGCTCTTTTGCCCAAGCTGAAGTGCACTGGCGTGATCTTGGCTCACTGCAACCTCTGCCTCCTGGTTTCAAGCAGTTCTTCTGCCTCAGCCTCCTGTGTAGCTGGGATTACAGGCGCCCGCCACCACACCCAGCTAACTTTTTTTTTCTTTTTGAGATGGAGTCTCGCTCTGTTGCCCAGGCTGGACTCAGTGGCACGATCTCTGCTCACTGCAACCTCTGCCTCCCAGGTTCAAGTGATTCTCCTGCCTCAGCCTCCCAAAATAGCTGAGACTACAGGCGTGTGCCACCACACCACACTAAAAATTTTAGTATTTTTATTAGAGACGGGGCTTCACCATATTGGCCAGGCTGGTCTCAAACTCCTGACCTTGTGATCTGCCTGCCTCGGCCTCCCAAAGTGCTGGGATTACACGGGTGAGCTATTATGCCCAGCCAATAGTGAGAAACTTTCTAAAAGCTGGGCGTCATGGTGCATATCTGTAATCCCAGCTACTGGGGAGGCTGAGGCAAGAAAATCCCTTGAGCCCAGGAGTTTGAGGCTGTAGTGAGCTAACATTGTTGCGTTGCACTCCAGTCTGGGTGACTATGAAATCCTGTCTCTTTTTTTTTTTTTTTTTTTTTTTTGTAAAGTAATGGAATTGTTAAGCAATGTTGAAATCAGTGATTATGAATTTAAAGTGAGGCCAGTTGGAGCAGCTGACTGTCTTTCTCTGGCCATTTTCAGTTGCTTTGGTGTAATTGCAGAATAGGAAAAGAGTTTAGTTTAACCAGGGTTGGGAAGTTGGGATTGCCATAGGTAAATGTCATAAAGGTAGATAGGGGCAAGCAAAGTGATTGTGTTTCAGGGGAAGTGGCTCTAGTGATAGATCATGGAACATAAGCTGAGTAAAGAGATCATGAGGACATGAGGTAGATGTAAGGCTTAGTGGTGGACAGTGGAAAAGTGGTGGGATCAATGGATAGAGGAAACAAATTTTAGAAGTGAAGAAGAAGAAAGATGGATGTCCAAAGTCTTGGATGCTTGAAATAAAGACCAGAGATAGTGAAATTATTGACAAGGTAGAGTGTGGTCTCATCTTTCTCTCCACAATTCAAATATATCAAATATGAGATATTGAAAGCACTAAGAGTAGTGATAGAGGTAGTAGTGAGAAAAAGACAGTGACCCAAGTTCTAAAATCAGTGAGGGAGGTGGCCAGGAGGTAGGTAGATGACTGCAACAAGGAATGTCTAATCTGTTTCTAATTATAGCCTACTGCTTGGGATTGATCTGTTGGAAAATCAGTAGTAATGAGGCTTGAATTTGTATATTATATACAAATATATAATATGGAAATGTATATATTATACTGTAATATACAAATGTATATATTCTCTCTACATATATATTATATATCTCCCTGTCAGTGGTATCATAGCCATGAGAGGAATGGCCTGAGCAAAGCACACAGCAATCTTGGCTCATTTACAGATTGCAATGGACAATTTACCAGCCAGTGAAGTGATCACCTTGTGGGCTAAGGTGGAGAAAAGATGTCTAACTAGGGGAAGGGAGTGGAATAAAAACCCTGTAGTTAATTTTGTACTTTGTACTTCTAGAAAGTATAAAGAAGCTTAAATAATCTTTTCAAAGGAAATCTTCAAAGGTGTACTCATTTGTTGTCTACTACTTGTTTGGGGGTTCCTCTTATAGGTTCCACTGTGAATCGCTATTCCTAAGTAGATGGGAACATCTGTAGAAAACTCTTTGTGCCTATGTCCAGATCATACTGTTCTGTGGGCAAAAACCTCGTGGCTTCTTTTCTAAAGCCCCCATTTTCAGACACCTATTGGAAATCTTAGGAGCAGTAATGTCAGTTTCTTCTCCCCAATACCACATGTTTACTTCTCCAGTTATCTCTGGTCAATGAAGACAAGCGCAGTCTTATTTCAGGGTCAAAGTACAGCCAATTTAGTACTGCTTGAAAAGTGGAATCCAAGGGCTGTCACCCTGGGCATCAATATAAAAATAAAATTGCTGCATTTAATTAGCTTCCACCACTGCAGGCTACTGCTGCTGCTTTCTCTCCCCCGCAAGATTCTACCACTTTTTCTTTCCCCAGGTGGATGTATCACGTTTAAACGTGAAAATTGCCCTGTTCTCTTCAGGAAACCAACCGTAGAACTAAACTCTACCTTTCTTGGACTTCATCTTTTCTAGAATTGCATACATCTTGTATCTTCTCTAGGGTCAGGCTGGAAAATCAAGACCACTTTATCCTTCCCCGATATCCAACTAATTCTAGGTCTCAATTAGGATAAGGTTTGGCTGCATATAATAAGAAAATCCAAAATAATAGTTACTTAAACAACTAAAAGTTTATTCCTTTTTCGTAAAGTCCAGAAGGAATTGAGGCCTCACATGATAGCTAAATGAATTTGTCAGAGATCTAGGCTCTTTCCAGCTCTCTACACTGCCATCTATAGGAGGTGGCCCTCATCTTTATGGTCCAACATAGTTGCTAGATCTTCAATCATCATCTTCACTCTAGGCAGTAGGAACAAAAACAGGTGTATTCCCCCTCTTTATTTTTGGAGATGGGGTCTTGCTCTGTTGCCCAGGCAGGAGTGCAGTGTAGTAATCATAGCTACTGCAGCCTCAAACTCCTGAGCTTAAGGGATCCTCCCACCTTAGCTTCCTGAGTAGCTAGGACTGCAGGCACTGTGTCTGGCTAAATTTAAAAAAAAAAAAAATTTTTAGAGACAAGATCTCACTATACTGCCCAGGCTGGTCTCACACTCCTGGGCTTAAGTGACATTCCTGCCTCAGTCTCCCTAGTAGCTGGGACTATAGGATTATGCCATCATGCCAGCTTATCCCCTCTTTTAAGAAGTCTTCCCAGACCTCCTGCATATCAGTGGCCAAAACCTAGTCACATGGTCACATCTAGCTGCAAAAGAGGCTAGAGAATATAGTCTTATAGCTGGGTAATAACATGCATGGTCAAATTTCAGCCTTCTTTTTTTTAAGGAGGAAGGGGAGGATGGTTAACTGGAAGCAACTATTTGTCCTGCCTTTTCCTCCTACTCAATACATAGACAACATAGCAAGAGATACTGTTGCCCTTTGAGAAGCCAAACAGAGTTTAGTATGGCTAAATTCACTAATTATTACTTTATGAATTAATCAGAAGGTATTCTTAAGAATTTAAAATCTTAAGTATTCTCACCACAAAAGTGATAAGAATGTGAGGTTATATATGTTAATTAGCTCAATTTAGCTATTTCACAATGTATATGTATTTCTTTTCTTTTTCTTTTTTTTTTTTTTTGAGATGGACTCTTGCTCTGTTGCCCAGGCTGGAGTGCAGTGGTGCGATCTCGGCTCATTGCAAGCTCCGCCTCCCGGGTTCACGCCATTCTTGTGCCTCAGCCTCCTGAGTAGCTGGGACTACAGGTGCCTGCCACCATGCCCCGCTCATTTTTTTTTTTTGTATTTTTAGTAGAGATGGGGTTTCGCCATGTTAGCCAGAATGGTCTTGATCTCGTGACCTCGTGATCCGCCCGCCTCAGCCTCCCAAAGTGCTGGGATTACAGGTGTGAGCCACCGTGCCCAGCCATGTATATGTATTTCAAAACATTGCATAAGATATATATGTACAATTTTTATTTGTCGATTTAAAAAAGAATGGAGACTTGAGGACATGGGGTGTTCTTAAACAGTAGTGTGACATTCAGTCTTATTTTAGAAGAATCCTATTTGGAGGCTGTGTGGGGAGAGCAGGTTGGAGTGGGGCAACTTTAAGAGGTTCATGGTAACCTTGGCAAGTACAGATTTGATGAAATGATGGGGGCGGGGTCAGGGAAAGGCAATTCCAAATCTTGGACTTTCAGATCATTGATTTTTTTCTAATGTCTTGTGATCTTTTTCTTTTACCCACTTCACCATTATGTGAACTACCTCAGAATTGCTTATTTTAAATATCCTGCTTTTTGACCATCATTTAAGAAAAAATATTTCCAACAAATCTACTTTAGCATCTCCACTTCAAAAAAGCCTTTACTCCCAAACACTGACCCTACCAGTTTTCATACACATCAACCATCTGCCCACATCCACCTCTGGTTCTTGCTTATACCCACTGTGACTTGCATGGACACTGTTAAATTTACATGTAGTATCTGGAGAATACATAGGAATCAGGACAAAGGGGTGGGGAGAGGGCAAGGACAAAAGAAGGAATGATATGAGAAATAGTGCTAAGATGAGTGACCACACTTGTCACTAGACAGCACTGAATATGGTACTTTTTTTTTTTTTTTTTTTTTGAGAAGGAGTCTCATTCTGTCACCCAAGCTGGAGTGCAATGGTGCGATCTTGGCTCACTGCCACCTCCGCCTCCCGGGTTCAAGCGATTCTCCTGACTCAGCCTCCTGAGTAGCTGGGATTACAGGCGCGCGCCACCATGCCCGGCTGATTTTTGTATTTTTAGTAGAGACGGGGTTTCACCGTGTTAGTCAGGATGGTCTCAAATCTCCTAACCTTGTGATCCACCTGCCTCTGCCTCCCAAAGTGCTGAGATTACAGGCGTGAGCCACTGTGCCTGGCCAGTGCTGAACTTTTCATAATAAACTATAGGTGTATGGTTAGGCTAGCATAAATGGTTTCTAGTGAGTTTTTACTCAGAATACCATCTATTCTTCAGAGTAGCTAGAAGGGCAAGGAAGATTAAGGTGCTTGACACCACACTTAGTACATTTTTTTATCCATAACACTTCAAACATTTTAACTGGAAATCATTTCAAACTTACAAATAGGGTTACAATGATAATACAAATAATCCTTGCTTCATTGCCTTATTTCTCTCACTCTCTCACATTCTCCCTCACACGTGTATGCACATGCCTGGGTAATTTTGTTTCTGGATCATTTAAGAATAAGTTGCATATATCAGTCGGGCATGGTGGCTCATGCCTATAATCCCAGCACTTTGGGAGGCTGAGGCAGGTGGATCACGAGGTCAGGAGATCGACACCATCCTGGCTAACACAGTGAAACCCCGTCTCTACTAAAAATACAAAAAAATAGCCGGGCGTGGTGGCGGGTGCCTGTAGTCCCAGCTACTCGGGAGGCTGAGGCAGGAGAATGGCATGAACCTGGGAGGCGCAGGTTGCAGTGAGCCAAGATTGCACCACTGCACTCCAGCCTGGGTGACAGAGCAAGACTCCGTCTCAATTTTTTTTTAAGTTGCATATATCATAGTCTCTATTCCTAAATACACCAGTGTATACTTTTGTAGAAGATACTTTTACATAAATGCAGTAACTAACTTCAGTATATTTAATATTGATATAATACTGTTTTCTAAGCTACTATCCTTATTCCAATTTTGTCAGTAACTTCAATGTCCTTTATAGCAGTGGCCCCCAAACTCTTTGGCACCAGGGTCTGGTTTTGTGGAAGACAATTTCCCATGGACCGGGGTTGAAAGGGGACGGATGGTTTTGGGATGATTCAAACGCATTATGTTTATTGTGTATCTTATTTCTATTATTACATTGTAATATATAATGAAATAATTATATAATTCACCATAATGTAGACTTAGAGGGAGCCCTGAGCTTGTTTTCCTGCAACTAGACGGTCCCATCTGGGGGTTATGGGAGACAGTGACAGATCATCAGGCATTAATTAGATTCTCCTAAGGAGTGCGTAACCTAGATCCCTTGCATGTGCAGTTCACAATAAGGTTTGCGCTCCTATGAGAATCTAATGCCACGGCTGATAAGACAGGAGGCAGAGCTCATGCACTAATGGGAATACGGGGAATGGCTGTAAATACAGATGAAGTTTTGCTTGGGTCACCTGCTGCTCACCTCCTGCTGTGTGGCCTGGTTCCTAATGCCCAGGAGGCTGGGGACCACCTGCTTTACATTTTCTTCTCCAACACAGAATCTAGTGTAGGATTAGGTACTGCATTTAGTTATCATGTCTACTTAGACTCCTTTAATTTGGAACACGGCCACGTCTTTTTTTTTTTTTGACATTGACACTTTTTAAAGAGTCCCTTTTATTGTTCACAGTATTAAAATACTAGATAACCTGTTAGTACCTGGCACAGGGTTAGTACTTATTTATTGCTTGATCTTGAAGACAGATATGCCTCCAAACAGGAAAGAAAAATGATTGGTAAATGTTCATCTGGGCTGTAAGCACTGTTAAGAGCTGTCTACTTTGCCTTAACTAGTAAAGCATATCCCATGTAATCATTTTTCAGAATTAAATACTATTTTAATACAAGGGTATCCAGCTCTATTTTACATTGTTGCCTACTCATTACAACATTTCACTGATTTAGTTATACAGTTCTCTGCTTTGGAATTTTAACTTTATATGGAATTTTTAAAAAAGTCTGTCAAAACTAGCCATGTCTCCTGATTTGCAAGTGAAGCAACCAAAGAATAGAAAGCACTTCTGGGTGAAATTTAACCTTTTGATCAGGAGATTATATAATAGACATTTCACATAATTTAAGTGAGAATTCCAGTCTTATGGCCAAAACATAACTATTATTATGGGGAAAATGGACATCAAGTACATGTTAGAAAATTACTTCTTATAATTTTGCACAGTAAATAAGACTACAAAACACACAGGCTGCACAAATCTCAATGAAGTGCAGAATTATATTGAATGCTAGGTTAAGGACCTTACCCATTTGACACTAATCTTATTTTGGTGCTCATAGCACAGAGTCCATCAACATTTGATTATCTTCTGTATGGATGTAGATTTTCTAATCTTCTTTTCTGTGTAAATCTTACCACTCCACCACAAACAGATGGCAGGAATGTTTTACACAGTACTTTCTTCAGAGTGCAGTGTACATGGTTGCCATTGAACCAACACTGATAGTTCTGCCAGAAGTAGGAACTGATAGAAGTGTTGCAACACAGGACAAACCTGAGCCTCTAGTCCCAAGTTCCCGACCTAGCTGGCAGTGTGGCCTTGAGTTTGCTAAGCTTCCATTTTCTCATCCATAAAATGGGAATAATGGTAGTTCCTGCCACATAAAGGCAGTATGAGGTTGGTATAAAAGCTTTGAAATGAAATAAAACAGGCTTGTGAGATGGGTCAGTTTGGCCAACATTTCCAATTCTACATTTCAGTGTTCAGCATATTAACATGGTTTTAGGTTGTTTTTGTGTTTCCAACTGCATATATCTCATCATTCATGAGCTGCTCAATTAAGAAAGTCTGAGCCACCCCTAAAGATGGCAACATGAAATAAAGCCATCTTTGAAGCACCCAAAATCACAAACAGGGCCTTGCCCAAGGTTAAGTCATGATTCTGCAGGTAAACTATGCACTGCCACAGTATACGGGGACCCCAAACTGGCTGGTGTAAAAGTCATCCTTCTATAATAGAAATGGAGTCCCAATGCTCTAAATCCTATACAAATCACTTGGGGAATCTCTTTAAAATGAAGATTCTGATTTAGTAGGTCTGGAGTGCGGGCTGAGATTCTGCATTTGTAGAATGTGTTTAGTGAAATATTTTGATGCTACCATTCTAAAGACCAATGATAAATACACTGAAACTTTATTAAAAGGTCAGGGTATATAGAAAACAAAAGGCATGTTTGCAAAATTATTTATTTACATCTTAAGCTCACATTAAAATCTTTCTAGGATAGAATGGCTAAGATGAAATATACAAAGCTGATATAAACACAGAACTCATTAATCTTTATCTGAACAGAAACATAGAGATGGCTTTAGATAATCTGTTTTTCCTTCACAAACCAATGTTCCCTTAAGTCATGCCATGATAATGTCTCCCCATTAAGAACTTAACTTGTATTGCCCAAAAAAGCTGAGAAGCAAAAAGCTAACTTTGATTTGTTAAACAGCTATTCATATGCCACAAAACCAAAACTATTTTACAGTGCTGAGAGGTCCAGATAGGTCCAAACATGATGATTTTTAAATGAGTGCTTTGGTTAATTAGGCTTTGACTTGGTTTTTGGCATTACTTGTATAATTATATCATTCCAATGAGTCACTACAGGTAATCCATTCAAAACATGACTTGCTTAATACTATCACAAAGCACTTAGCCTTGCCTTGACTGGAAATACCTTTAAGATGCTGACAATAGCAACAATTTCTCCTTTCCTTCACTCAGCAAAAGAAATCACATAAATCACAAAATAAAAAATTCATTTCTCACATGTTAAAAAAGCAAAGTCTGCCATAAACCCTTAGAGAAGAAACAGTTTCTCATAATATCTGCCCTGGGTAATAGTGCATTATTAAAATACTAGACCTGCAAGATCTCTTCCTATGCCTTGGAAGCCTATGACTTCATGATCTATTCATGAAAAATATGCCGAAGGCTAAATATGCAATGCATTGAAATTTCTGGGAAGAATTCACATTTAAAACAGTTTAAAAAATCTGGATTTAGTAAGAGTTTTAGAAAAATAAATAAAACACTGTGGTTCTACTTCTCCCCTTCTACTCTCCCTTCACAAATCTAAGCTTAAGTGCAGGCTTCTAAAAAGCAGAAGAGAGTACAATAGGATGAGAGAGGTGGGTTTTACTATCCACATTTTCCTTTTCTTAGTGTAACGTATTATCTCAAAGGCAAACTTGATTCCCTTTTCTTGAAACGAAGATCCCATCTTCTGAGACGATCTTAAATAATTGTTCTTAAATCAAAAAGTTTGAAAATCAGTGCTTTTAATAAGCAACTAAATGCCTATAAAATATATAACTTAATATTTTGAAGAATGCTATTGTAAAGTTTGAAACAAGATCTAAACATTTTTAAGTTTACATTTAATGTCTTTAAAAGGTCTTTTAAAAGCTATAAGTTCTATTATAAATTGCCAACTAAATTATAAATTGCCACTCACCTTCTCAAAAATTGTTGCACAAATGCATACATTTAAGGTATCTGTATGGTATTTCTCATATTGATCTTTTTCCCAATCTCATAAGTGGGATAAAATGAGAAATTAAGCACCTAGATGTTGGTTAAATTCATTTGAGCAGCATTTTGATTTTGAATAGAGATTCTAAATGTAGTCTAAACTTTCCAGAAAGTCATATTTACATTCATTGTACATTTTATATACACATAAATACAAATTTATAGGAAATAAACAAATTAACCTACACCTCTCATACTGTAAAAGACAAAAATTAAAAATACAACAACCGTGATCACATGCTAAGGCCAGCTATCTGGGAAATATTATTGTTCAGTTCCAACAGCAATAACTTTGAGTAACTTGACACATATCACATAAATACACTACAGGTACTTAGTTTATTTTTGTCCTTAGCCTAGGCCAATCCACAGTTTTAAGTGAAACAATTTTCTGTGAAAGCTAATGCCATACAAGTAGTCAAACACTTACTAGAAATGTCTGCACCACAGAAGAAAGATCTAAAGAAGGCATAATAGCAGATGTCAAATATTTTGAAGTATAATTATAGGGAAGGATTAAAATTAACTCTTTATCCAGGGGGAACTCAGGGCTTTCTGACAAGAGCTGTGCAAAAATTCAAAGGTTTGCTTCATCAGTGTGAACTCCCAGTCCCACAAAAAACAGTGCCTTGTCAAGGCTCTTGTAGTGAGGCCTCCTGGGTTGACCGGTGAGACTCATAAGCCCCCAAGAAACCCTGAAGTTCCCTGATGGAAATTATTTTGTTGAGATTGAGTTTCTGACATGATGACTTCTTGGGCAGTTTGCTTTCTCTTGTGTTCCTGCCCATAAAGCAGTGCTTGATTTTGCTGTTCACCTTTTGTAAATAGATGGGCTTGGCCCTCCAGGAATATATCAAAGCGAACTTTTCGGATTATTGTCTCATGAAAACAAGCAGGTTGTTGTGATGAACTTGGAAAGTGCCCTGCACCTAGTAAGTCTTCCACCAACTGCTGGCGGAAGTGGCTAGCAGAGATTATAATTGGAAGAAAAAAAAGGTTACCGAATCTAAAATGTTGACTGTTCTATAAAGTTTTGATCTTGAGCATGAGTGGAAAGTCCTATTTGGCACTCCTTGACCTCAGGTGGCATGCCAATGATTATCACAGTAAGAAATTCTTAGAATCAGATTTGAGGTATAGAAGGAATAAGAAACACAGAAAATTTTGACCTATATTAAATAAACTCTTCTATAAGTCAGGTTTTTAACCCTAAAATCAAGGCCTTTTTTCCCCCAGAATATTAAATTTACTAAAAACGTAGAAATAAAAATTCTAGTATGGCTGTAAATATATAAGACAAATAAATGAGGTCACATGGTTTATACATTTCAAATTCTTAGAGAGGCCCTACAGTAGTTCAGGAAGACAGTTTACAGTATTGTTCCCTGAGTTCTTGAGGCAACCTCAAGTAAATTTATGAACTCTAAGATTTGAGAGACAGAAAACCTACATGGTCTGCTTATCCCTCTTTTCTAAGAGTAGCTATTTACTCCAAAGTGGTTTGTTCAGTGCTTTCCCTATAGTTCAACTGCTTTAATTATGTGGCTTTATCCGTTTCTTAGAAGACCAGCTCCCCAAATGAAACTTTTAAGAGAAAGAAGAAAAGGCTGTTTAAAGCAAGTAAGCTTTTAACATTAGTTAAGAGTGCAATTGAGTAAATCAGTTCTAAATCTATAATACAAGAAGAGTGGTAATACTGTCACAGGTGTTAGAAGGTTAGAATTCTACAGATTTGGGTTTGTCTGATGTCAGCGGTTAATAACCACTTAATAAGCCCTGCCTCCTAACCAATTATACTCTACTAATTGTCTACCAATTCAAAGAACCAAAACTATTATAATGACTTTCCAGTATTTAAATATGTAAGAACACCTAAATTTGGTTTTAAAATAAAGTTTATAACAACCATTCTCATCAGATCTCAAACTTCAAATATCTAGATTTTACACATAGATTTGTAATAATTAAAAAAAAAACCAAAACCACAAAAACTCATTCAAAACTGGTATTTTTTAGGTTCTTGAATTTTCATATGTCCACATTCTTGGTGGCTATTAAAATTTTAAAATAAATTCAAATCTTGGGAATAATTTAAGTAGTGAAATATGTGAGTATTTATTTTCAAACTCCCATAAGGGTCTATTTAGAAAAACTAATTATGATAAATGGAAACTCCAGTTGTGTTGCTGGCAGTTTTAGGTTAGGCTTAATTTTAAGTTGAGAACCTACTGAAATGTTCATCTATTTCAGTAAAGTGCACAAATATGAGTGTACCCTTTGGTTTGGCTATGACCTCAAAGGAGGTGTAGAAGTCAATGGCGCTGGTGTCAGATTCCTAACTATATTACTGAGGCTGGCAATCTTCTCCTCCAGGAGGTAATTTTTCTTCTCTGCTGTTTTCTGTCGCTGTTCAGTCACTTCCAGAGCTTTCAACAACTGGGCATTTTCAACATACAAGTCCTTCACCATTGCGTCTGCCTTAGTGTTCTTGCAGAGCTAGAAACAGAACCAGAAACATCTTGACTCCATTTCTGTAACTCTTCTTAAACCTTCAGTTTAAGGTCTGACATAAGGACAGTTGTTTTATAAAGGCAAATCACTTCGTCTAATTATATTCTTTTATTTTACAAAATAGCTTTAACATCAGACTTGGCATCAGGGACACCATTGGAACAAATCTACTTTTTCTAAGCTATTTCTTTGCATGAGATGTTTATGTCAGTTACTAATAGAACAGATTGATATTAGATGGCACCAAAAGTTTTTTTTCTACCTAAATAGGCATTATTTCTGTATTTATTCTTTAAAAATATCAAATACTTTTATAACTTAAATTCCTGAGGTGTCAGGTGTGGACTGTTTAACTCTGCTTGTAACAACAGATACTTGAACTTACCATTCGTAACTACAACCCACTGATTATTTTAAAATTTAGCTCATGTATTATAACAGAGATAAGATTTGGGCAGTTACTTCTCCTGAATTGTCTTTGTTTTTGTTTTGTTTTGCATGGGGCCTTGTCTAGTCTAATCTTTATAGTTAGAATATATGGTCTAGGTTGGGGTGGGAAAACTTGTTAGCAGCCTTGGGATACTTTCATTGTTGTTCTGGTTAATATTTTCCAGTCCCCCTTCCCATGTTACAAGTGTTCATTTTACACCCAATTTCAAGTAGGGCATCTAAAAGTATAAAGGTTTATGAGAATAAAGAGTAACTAAAGAGTAGCTTAACAACCTATTAGCATTTCAAAGGGCAGGGATAAGGATGACAGCACTCTCAAGCTCAGAACCTAGATGACTGGCAGACATCACATAACATTTCAGAACATATTTTCTGTTGAACTTCCTGAATACAACTTTTTTTCCTCCCTCCCTCTCTTCCTTTCCTTAAAAAAACACTTTGATGGTTCTTCATTGCCGACAGAATAAAAATCAAGCTTCTTTCTTGGCTCAGCACTGGAGGCCTACTGTCCTGTTCCCCCTTCCTCTCTAGTCTCTCCTCCTGCTTCTCCCAGGACAGTGTGAACTGGCAATGCTGAAGTGTTTATACGTGTCCACACCCCACATGTGGTCATAACTCCATGATGTTCCCACAGCCTAGGATACCCTTCCCCACACTTTCTTAACTAGTTGAAATCTTAACTCTCAAGATGCAGCTTCAGAGGTCTTCAGGAAGCTTTCTTTAAACTCCTGGGTTGGATCAAATATGTCTTTCTCTTGTGTTCTCCTCTACTGAAAACAGGACGGATCCCACTTATTTCTGAACCTACCATTTGGCCAAACGCTTGGCACCTTGTAAGTGCATTCTATATGGGCAGGGGCTTTGTTCACTGTTGTATCCCTGTGCCCACGGCAGGACCTGGCCCACAGTAACTATGTGTTGAATGCTTGAATATGTAAAGAACTGAATGGATAAATGCTCACTGAATGGGACTTTTTCTTCCCTGTGTATTAAGAAACAGGACAACCAAAAGTTGCTGTCTACAGCTGAATTCAGACCCTCTCTTGGGGTTGTTATTCTTAGCTTTTAAGTATCTAAAGAACTAGGTTGGGCATTTTCTGCCCCCCACCCCACATGTTCATCTCAGTTTCCAGAGAGGCTATAACACTCTCCCAGAGGGTAGTACTTTCTGCTTGTCTCTTCAGTGGATGCGCAACTAATTTCTAAACACCAAGGCCACATCTGCCACCAGCAGGTGAAAAGGAGCAGGCTGTTTAAGTGGTCCTGGAATCTGGGGTCTAGATTCTAACTCAAAGTACATCTTTTTGGAGTCTAGCTGTAGCAATAAGATACTTGTTGAGGTTTTCATAAGCTGTTGGGAACAGGAAAGCTAAAGTTCCATTTATTATCCCCCTATTTTTTTAACCAATATCATTTTTCAATTTAAATAGGAATATTTCCTGTCTTGGGCAGAGAAAAATCTGTTGATTCACAGGGACCTAAAGCATGTGAATGGACATGCTTTAGGTCTATGTGAATCAATAGATTTTTTTTGATCTTTAAAATCTTAGGTCCATGTAAATCATGTTAGCAAAGATTTACACTTTTAAATTGTGGACAAACATGCCTTAAACAGAGCTTTGGAAAAAATACAGAGTTCGTATTTTTTGGGGTGATATGAGGGATAGCAAATCCTAAGTTCTTACAGACATTTATAATAGAATTTGCCTTTATTAGACAACATAAGTTAACGAGTTAATGGCAATAAAGGGATGTAAAACTGGAGTTAAAGCTGGAATGTGAGGTGGGTGAACAGAGATGACCGGGTAGGCTCACTTGTTCTTTGAGCTGATTCACTTTCTCTTGAAGAAGCCTTTTCACTAGTTTCAGTTTCTGTTCAACTTCTATCATTCGTTCCTCCATGACAGTTACCAGTTGTTCCTGGTTTCCCTGAAGGGAAGAAAAGTATATTATTCGAAAATCATGTCACACTGAAAACACTGGTTTATTTTCCCCACAAGATGCCTAGAGAAAGGACAGCAAATGTTTTGCCTTTGTAACAGGAAGGATGGATTTCTCATGAAATGAGAGTTTTGAGCCCTGCATGGATTGCATATGTCAGAAAAGTAACCCTATCAGATAAAGGATCAGACTGAAAAATCAAAAGAATCTTACCTGTGTTACCATCATCCCCCTGATATAAAGCAAAATTCTGAAAACCCATAATTTAATACCTGTGAGTACCTCTAGTAAAATGGACATCCAAGGTAACTTGGAAGATCGCTATCAACCTCCCATCTGTGATCTGGGTCTCTGCAATGTTATGGGCCTCTCAACAACAAAACAAGCACTGAATATATTCAGGGTTTCCTAACATAACCAATCAGCTTGCAATATGCATGTCTGTTTTTCCTTTGAAGTGGCTGATGACTGTGAGGGTGGTAAGTTTCTTTCTTCATAATAGCCTCTTCCTGCCAATTTTTCTAGTCATCTGTTTCCCACTTGTAAATGTGAAGCACACATCTGGATTGGAGGATGGGTTTACTATCAGAGCAGATTGAAAATGAAAAATCTCCTGTTCTCACACAACGGTGATGGGTTAAGGAGTAAGTGAGTTTTGGAGAGGAGAGAGACCTAGAGAGATTAGAATGCAATTGACTTATTAGAATGCAACCCCCATCCCTCTGCAGTCCACCAAAATGTCCCCATAAGGAATTTCAGATTTCATAAAGGTATTAACAGCTGATGGTAGTTAAGATATACTTTAAAAGACATGCAGAATGACTAAACATGAGTCAAAGGCTACCATCTGTTTAGATACTAAGTAGTAACACTTAATCATAAAAGAAACCCTAAATCATGTAGTAACTATCCGGAGGATAAAAATTGTAATAGGCAAAGGTCTAATGCAGGAAGTAAGTTACAAAAAATTGGGCCTGGAGGACATCTAGCTTTTAAAAAGGCCTATATTTAAAAAAAAATAATAGCTTTTTAAAGTTCAAACATAAATACAAAATGATGTCTATTTGCCCAACAAAGCAAAACAAAAAAAAAGATAATTCAAAGAACATAGAGTTGGCAAAAGAGTGGAAAAACAGGAAAAACAAAGGCAGTCATATACTTAAAATTTATTTTATTGTTTCATCAAAAATTTCCTGTCAAAAAGATTTGTACATCTTATACAAAACAGTATAAATACCCCTGGTTTTCTTCAAATTCCATATATAAAAGTAGTACCTTTGGTTAAAAATAGTTACAACATATGGAATGAGAAAATATATAGACTACATCCTTTCAAGAATCTTAAATCCACACTCTTTAAAGGGTATAAATAAAATGATTTGTAACAAGCTGATGTTTGTGAATTTGATTCACAAGATCTGTCATTTCTACATAAATAAATAAGAGACATAATACTGCAAAGGTTTAACAGTAAAAATAATAAAATAATTTAAAAGAGCACTTAATTCCAACATATCTTAGCTTATGTCTCTGTGTGTGGTGTGTGTGCATGGGTGGGTGTGTGCATCTGTCTGCCATGGTAAGAAATGCCATCAATAGCAGCCCAGTTTTCACAGGTGCCCAATCCTTCTGTAGGAATCTGCGTGCACTGCTCGCTGCTCCGGTAGCAAGGCCTAGAGAAAGAAGGCAAGTAGTACACTTCACCCTCATGTCAGGATGAGTTTTTAGGGGGAGTCTAAATTCACACATCTACAATGCAAACAATTTTTAAAAGCACACACATTAACACTACATAGGCAAGCAAAGCAACACAAAATGCAGAAGAGATCACATCACTCCACACACAGAAACGTGCAGATTTAACAATATTCTGCATTCTTAAAATTAGTGTCAGCTCAGCAGCGGGAAATGGGAGAGCCTGCAGTAGCATTCTGGTGAGAGTAATAAGCCGTCCACTCTGTCATCTGGTTGGAGGATTTTTTTTTTCTTTCAAAAATCTTAGTTTTTGTCTAATCCTGAAGGAATTGGAGGAAAAGGATATTTTTTTTAACATTGGTGGGTGGGTTGGAAACAGCAGGCTTTGAAAATAGGGTGTAAGAGAGCAATGAGAAGAATCTTGGCGGATCATTTGGTTAGAAGGTCCACTAAAAACTGAGATCAAAGTTTTGTAGTTCAATTATATACTGGAGAGTTAAAGCATCTAACACTCTACCATCACAATTTAAGAACTTTAATACTGGGAAGTTGAAGAGGTATGTATAAAGCTTCCAAAAACAGATTTTAAAGCTCATAAAACAAAAACCTTCTAAAGTTTATTAGAAATACAGCATAGGTACATATGTAGAGGGAAAAGTTTATTAGAACTGACAAGTGGTAGGAGTACTTCGTAATTAAACATAGATGGATAGTAGAAGAAACAGAACTGTTCCTATGTAGAGTTCCAGAGCTAATGTGACTGCAAAGCCACTTTGAGGGGATTCAAATAAGAGATAGGAAATTCCTTGTCAAGCATTAACTGAGTGGCAAGGTATCTGAACACACAAGCGCATGCAAACCAGAAAGGATTAATGTAGAATTCCACAAAGAAGGACTTTTTATTTTATTCCTAGTTCTGAATTAACTAAATAGGCAAGCTGCAAGAGTTAAACTTCTGAGAAAGGATGATGAATGAAGCATTAAAGAGAAATAACTCTGAATACTTGAAAACCTAAGTAATATAAGATTGGATGTGGTGGTGAGCTGGGATCATGCTAATGCAAACAATGAAAAGATTTTTATTTTCTTAAATAGTTTTATGAACTATGTCAACTAGAAAGATGTCACTGACTATACACTCTATTTGTTGTGAAAAGTCATCACTTGTGATTTTCATGGGATGCAGCAGGCTGCACGGCTCTGGCACAGGAAAGCTCAGTGTACTTTGTTAGTAGCGCATATCCTAGCAACATTTAAATTCTGTAATATTTTTGGCATGGGATGGGAACATCAGGCCAATTGTGCGCTGTGTTTAAGTGATCCTGATACTTCATCGTTTATTACAAATGGGCAAATCGTCTATTACAGAACACTAAATGACTCAGCTTAGAAGCTGAGAGCTCAAAAGTAGCACCGCAGTTCTATGGATTTGTCATACAGGTTAAATATCTCTCTGAAAGAAGATTTAGGATTGTGATTTTGTTTTTTTTTTTTTTAATTTAAGAGATGGAGTCTTGCTATGATGCCCAGGCTGGAGTACAGTGGCTATTCACACACATGATCGTAGCTCACTGCAGCCTTGAACCTCTGGCCTCAAGCGATCCTCCCGTCTCAGCCTCCCAAGTAGCTGGGACTACAGGTGTGTGCCATTAGATTTAGGTTCTTTCTCTCCACCTTTGAACTGGTATAACTTTCAAATAAACAGGTAAAATTAACAGGTGATCTACTAGAGTAGAGAGAGCTTCATACCTGTGGTGTGTTGGTTTCGGAGGTCCTGTTTTCAAGTTCCTCCTGCAGGTGCTGGTTTATCCTTTCTGCCTGCAGCAGCTGGCGTTGAAGCTGCAGAAACTGCTCCCTGGGCACCATCGGACAGGCTTGCTGCTGGAGCAGCTGCAAATCCCAAGCATGAGGGGACGGGCTAGGCGTCGCAGTGGACCTCAGGTGCTGCATCTGAAGGACAAGGGCAAAGCCCTGTTCAGCTGAGTCCCTTCAATCCCAGAGCTGCCCTTTATGGTGTCAGGCAGTGAGTAATGAAGACTATTAATTCATTAATAACCCCAGACCCACTGAAACTTGGAAACAGGACAGCATATGGGCCCGAGGAATACAGAAATGAGAAAAGCTATTTCGCTTAGCAGAGAATATGCTTAATAAGTAGGCTTTCTTAAAAGTTTTAGGCTTAAAAAGCCCTTCCCAACTCTGGAGTGATATTAAGGGCACGATGTACATAATACATGTGAATTCTATTTCATTTTTTCTTATACTGGAATAATTACCTCCCCCCTTTTAAAAACGGGTTGGAGAAAGTGGCTATGCTTTAGGGTTTTACCACTTTACCATTCATAAAGATTGTTAAATGTTCAATGACTATATTTTTTCCAACCCCAAGTTAGCAATTTTTTTTGGAAGAACCTCATCTTGCATCTAAAATTATTTTAACCTACCTTTAGTTTATCAATATGTAATTATACCCTTAGATTAAACAGCACAAGACAGACAATTCTGGGGCATAAAGCAATAATATCCTAGAACATCTGGGAACTGGAGAACATGGAATGGAAGTATTCAAGACAATGAGGAAATGTGTACCAACATGCCAGTCAAAGTGGGGGAGAGGAAAGGGAGGACGATGCACAGCATTTTGGGCAGTGAGGCAGGCCACCTCACATCTATACACACGCGGAGCATGCAACAAACATTACCAAGACTAAACTCAAGAAGCGGCACCTCCAGGCTTGTGAGAAGGTGGAAAAGGACCTCTAAGACTCGGCTATAACTAAATGTTGTCATGAAATGTCAGAGCCACTATCCATTTCCTTATATCTAAATTTCTAGGTGGGGGTGGGGGCATTGCCCACTTTGAAATACCTCTAGTTGTAGATTCAGAAAACCACTTTGTTTTCATGATAAAAATTATGGAGAATTATCCCATAATTTTATATCAGTGGGATAATTTTCTTCATATATAATGCTTTAAATACTGAGGAAAAGTTTGATGTAAACAGACATATTATACCATTAAAACAAAATGAATACTGGCTCTTTCCTTAAGTACTTATTAACTGTTACAATCAACAGAAATAACATGAGCAAGGGGTTTAATGAGATGGCTCCATGCTATGAAAGTTCATTGAAAGAGAATGTTCTACCTTCACACACTATCTCAGGCAGAGAACTGCACCCTTCTCTGCTACTTCCAACCACTGAGTTCTAGGTACAGGTTAGCCACAGACAAGACAAAAAGAAGAGAAAATTACAGGAGTTAGAGAAAAGTATGAGTAATAAAAAGAGAAAGAACAGTACTAATTAGGTCTATTATATACATGAATAAGAGCATATGAAAGACACATTTTTCTGTATATAAATTTACAGACATTAAAATGTCTTACAACTCTAATTCTACAAGTGCATCTTCACTTACTGTATCCTATTTGTGCCCCGCCCAATATAATGATTTAGAAGATTCCAGGTCCAGGCCAGGCGCAGTGGCTCATGCCTGTAATCCCAACACTTTGGGAGGCCGAGGTGGGCGGATCACTTGGGGTCAGGAGTTCAAGACCAGCCTGTCCAACGTGGTGAAACCCCGTCTCTACTAAAAGTACAAAAATTACCCAGGCATGGTGGCACGTCGCCTTTGGTCCCAGCTACTCGGGAGGCTAAGGGCGGAGAATTGCTTGAACCTGGGAGGCAGAGATTGCAGTGAGCCAAGATCACACCAATGCACTCCAGCCTGGGTGACAGTGAGACTCCATCTCAAAAAAAAAAAAAAAAAAAAAATTAGGTCGCGTATGGTGGCTCACGCCTGTAATCCCAGCACTCTGGGAGGCCAAGGCAGGTGGATCACGAGGTCAGGAGATCAAGACCATCCTGGCAACGTGGTGAAATGCCATCTCTACTAAAAATACAACCAGGCATGGTGGTGGGCGCCTGTAATCCCAGCTACCTGGGAGGCTGAGGCAGAAGAATCGCTCGAATCCGGGAGGCAGAGGTTGCAGTGAGCTGAAATCGCGCCACTGCATTCCCACTTGGTGACAGAGCGAGACTCCGTTTAAAAATAAATAAATAAAAAAGATTATTCCAGGTCCAGTACAGAATGGATCTGATGTTAAATCTCTTGCCACTTGGAGACGCAGAATGCAGTATAAACTATAAGCCATTTTGTTGTTTAAGTGTCTGAAATGTTAGCTATCATAGAGGTACACAAGAGACTCGAGAACTGCTGATATAGTCTGTAACCCTTTTGTTGAGTGTTCAAAACAAACTTATTGAACCGCTCATGTTGAAAAAGCTCCGAAGTAGGCGTCAAATTCTAGCCCTAATTTTTTTCTTTACCTAGTCTAGTGATCTGTGATCTTTAATTACAGTGGGGGGATGTGTTATGTTAGAACCGTGACTGTTAAACTAGTATATAGAGATGAGAGACTACTTCCCCCAAGGGAGTGCACATATCAGGTTAGAACCATGAAGACAGCTGTGCTCAAATCCCCTGAATCCAGAGATTCTGATATAGAAACCTGTCCCTGCCCAGCCTGCCACCCGTTGCCCCAATCAGGTAAGAATCCCTGCCAGAGTGAGAAGGAATGTACCTATCCCTCAGGTGAGCTGGGACACACTGTGCATCCCCCAAATTAACCTACTCTATAGGTATCATACTATAAATAAAAATCCAATTTGTAGCGCTGGAGAGGGGGAATGGTTAATGCTTAATAGCTACAGCCGAGTGATGAACAGGTTTTGGAAGGAGTGGTAATGGTTGTAGGATGTTGTGAATTTAATGAATGCCACTGAATTGTACATTTTTAAATGGTTAAAATGGCAAATTCTATGTTAGGTATATATTTATCACAGGTTAAAAATTAATATACTAAAAACCATTGAATTGTACACCTGAAATATGCGAACTACATAATATGTGAATTATACCTCAATAACACTGTTTTTGTTTGTTTTTTTGTTTTTTGGGTTTTTTTTTGAGACGGAGTCTTGCTCTGTCACCCAGGCTGGAGTGCAGTGGTGCGATCTCAGCTCACAGCAACCTCCATCTCCTGGGTTCAAGTGATTCTTCTGCCTCAGCCTCCTGAGTAGCTGGGACTACAGGCGCATGCCACGGCGCCCGGCCAATAACACTGTTTTTAAAAACTTCAATCTGGAGAAATATAGGAGAGATCAGGGAACTCCCAACACTTTGGGAGGCTGAGGTGGGAGGATTGCTTGAGCCCAAGAATTCAAGGCTGCAGTGAGCTGTGATCACAACACTGAACTCTAGCCTGGGTGACAGAATCTCAAAAAAAATATCCAATTTGTGTAAATCTATAGCATTAATAATTTTTTTTTTTTGAGATGGAGTCTTGCTCTGTTGCCTAGGCTGGAGTGCAGTGGCACGATCTTGGCTCACTGCAACCTCCGCCTCCCGGGTTCAAGCGATTCTCCTGCCTCAGCCTCCTGAGTAGCTGGGATTACAGGCGCACACAACCACGCCCAGCTAATTTTTGTATTTTTAGTAGAGATGAGGTTTCACCATGTTGGTCACGCTGGTCTCGAACTCCTGACCTTGTGAACCACCTGCCTCAGCCTCCCAAAGTGCTGGGATTATAGGCATGAGCCACTGTGCCTGGCCAATAATTCAGTTCCATTTCCTAATGAAAGTTTCATTAGAATAAATAGGTATGAGATGTTCTTTTCAGTGTTCAAATAGAAAAATCCATGCTTTTTCCTTAGCTGTTCGGCTCCAGTGTCAAGAACACTCAATTTTCCTCCTCTGTTAGCAAATATTTACTACTAGGTGGGAAAACAACAAGGGGAAATTGCTTACGATGGCTAATAATGTTAATGGGTGCTGGGTAAAACAGGAACAGGCAGGAGAAGAACTGGTCTCTTGGCAGAGCCTCTGGAAAGGCTCTCACAGTGACTAAGTACACACTGCTACTTTTCAATTTGATACTAGACATATGGGCTTAGTTTTAGACATCTTATTCCTCAGAGTATATAATTATATTTCATCAGAAAAGCATGTCTACATCTAAGTACAGCCCACAGCTCAAAGTTTTGAATGCATTCATTATATTGCTGTTAAAAAAAGAAAAAATGGTTTAGACTTCACTAAAACTTTCATGAATTTCCCCTTTAGTTGATAAATCAGAGAACACAAAATTGACAAACTTCACTGGTGATTTAATGTTAGTGCTATACGTTTGCCCATATTTCACATTAAAAATCAATGCTTGGTGCTTGGTTTTTAAAAGCTACCTTTGCATGTGGCCAGCTTCATAAAAGAAAATACTTAAATAGCTCCATTTCTTCTTTTTCTTCTTTATTTTTTTTTTTTTTTCTTTTTGAGATGGAGTCCGGCATTGTTGCCCAGGCTGGAGTGCAATGACGTGATCTCGGCTCACTGCAACCTCCGCCTCCCAGGTTCAAGCAGTTCTCCTGCCTCAGCCTCCCAAGTAGCTAGGATCACAGGTGCCCACCACCACGCCCAGCTAATTTTTTTGTATTTTTAGTAGAGACAGGGTTTCACTATGTTGGCCAGGCTGGTCTCGAACTCCTGACCTCAGGTGATCCACCTGCCTCAGCCTCCCAAAGTGCTGGGATTACAGGGGTAAGCCACTGCGCCCGGCCCCATTTCTTCTTATAATTCTGGCTTAACAATATGTGTATACACAGTACTTTTTAAGAGCACAAAAAGACAATTTCTACAGGTTCTTCTCTGCCTTACATAAGTCTTATAGTTCACTAAATGTTAGATTAACTAATTTCATTTACCCAAGGTATATCAATGAAATCCTTAAGAAGGATGTACACATAAGTTTGTTATATCCTATAATTAAACTCGGTATTCAGAAAGCAATCTAGAAGACTGGAACTCAAAGTCCAAGCTGACAAGCTAGTTTTACAAATCCATTTTTTTTCTTTTTCTTTCTTTTTGAGACAGGGTCTCTCACTGTCTCCCAAGCTGGAGTGCAGTGGTGTGATCTCAGCTCATTGCTACCTCCAACTCCTGTGCTTAAACAATCCTGTCTCAGCCTCTCAAGTAGCTGGGACTACAGGTACGTGCCACCACACCTGGCTAATTTTTGTATTTTTTTTTTTTTTTGTAGAGACAGGGTTTCGCCATGTTGCCCAGGCTGGTCTTGAACTTCTGGACTCAAGCCATTTGACTGCCTCAGCCTCCCAAAATGCTGGGATTACAGGTATAAGCCACCATGTCCGGCCACAAATACATTTTCATAGTGATCAGATGTACCTCTCACAAGGCAGTCCTGAGTTCTAAATGTAGTAATGAAGAATAGCAGCACTTGAAATTAAAACTTCCAAATGTTAATGCTCTCAAATTTCCCGCATGGATTTCCCAACTGAAGAGGGTGCTAGAGATCAATCATGTCTATAAAATGCTGCAATATAGGAGGGATCAGTGAACTGGTATAAACATGGTGATGGCAAGAGTGCTCAGGGCCCCTTGGCTAATCAGAGAGTCCCTGCCCCCTGAATTTGCAGAGGTACAGGTCTTTGCATTTTAGGTCATCATTATTACTTACTCTGAAAAGCAGTATGGCTTCCTATGGCAGTATAATGAAGCAAAGTTGTCTGTTAAACTTGGTAAGGCGGACCAAAGAATTCAACTTGGCAGTGTACTTAGATTTTCACAACGGGAATTCAATGCCATGTCTAGTCTCTCCCAACAAATACCTCATTCATGGATTAACATATTCTTCATAGCTAAGGCCATCTGCTGAGAAACTTACCTCCATGAGCTGCTCATCCAGTTTTACTTGTTTCTTTTTCAGGCCTTCATTTTCCAAATGAATTGTTTCTAATTCTTGTTCAAGGGAATTCATCTGACTGACCTGTTTAAAAAAAACAAAATATTCCCTTGAAACAGAAACAAAAACACTTGAGTTGTTCTACTTTATTTTGACAAATCTGTGCTTGTCAGAAATCTCAACTCTTGGAAGAAAGCCAAGTTAATTCAGTGACAAACAAATAATACAATTCAGTGTATTGCTTACATTTAAGTAATCTAGTTTTAATCACCTGTCCTCACACAGAATAGATTCCTTAAGGCAGCTGGCTTTTAAACTTGGATGCCACCCACTGTAAGAAATACGTTTTATCTTACAACGCAGTACACACACCCACACATATGTACAGTACATATCACTGAAATATCCTTACCATGGACCATGTACTCTGATATTTTGTAGTATATTAATAAAAAATGCTGGTTTCCATTAAATTGATTTCATTATCCTCTACTATGGATCTGCAGCAGGAAAAATACTGTCTTAATGCAAACTTAAAGGCTTAAAATTGAGAGTACATAAAACCTGATTTATATAACTTTTTAATTTTAAAGATTTCGTGAGTACCTTTTTTTTTTGAGACAGAGTCTCACTCTGTCACCCAGGCTGGAGTGCAGTGGCACAGTCTCAGCTCACTGCAACCTGCGCTTCCCAGGTTCAAGCGATTCACCTGCCTCAGCTTCCCAAATAGCTGGGACTACAGGTGTGCACCACTGCACCCAGCTAGTTTTTGTATATTTTTTTTTTTTAGAGATGGGATTTCACCATGTTGATGAGACTGGTCTCGAACTCCTGACCTCGTGATCTGCCCACCTCGGCCTCCCAAAGTGCTGGGATTACAGGCATGAGCCACCGCGTCCAGCCTCACTTTTATAACTCTTTACTACAGGAAGAACCTAGTGAGCTAGAGGACACCGAGTCAGAATATTGCTCAGTAAAAAACATACAACACTATCTTAGAAAGCTGATTTTGCTTCTATCAAAAAGAGCTGAGGAGAACAGCAAGAATTGTGAAACAGAAGTGTAGTCTTCCAGGTCCATTTTAAACTTCAGTATTATTAAAAGCCTATCACAGACTTTTCTCCCCCTAATGAGCAGCTAAATGAAACCCATTTTCTTTCTGCAAAGTTTACTTGAATGTACCTGAAATTAAATGACATTTCAGCTTTAGAGCACAACCAGGTCTTCTTACTGCAAATGGTCATGATAACTTTCACAAAAAACAAAAATTTTATGAATATTTTATAATGAAATATTTTTCTCAGATTTCTAAACAGACCATATTTTTTATAAAGAGGTAATAGTGAAAACTGAGTTTCAGTTTAGAAAAAGAAAAGTAACAACTCTGAGAAGTCTGGTCTAGAACTCTAACTTCATGGGACAAATTACAGAAAGCAAACTGATTGGCACTGCAGAGGTGTGACCAGGGGGTAGCCAGCCTCCAAGAGGCCTCAAAGAGCCCCACCTCCGGGTATTCACACCCTTATACAGTCCTCTCCCACACTATACTAGGGTTAGTCTGCGTGACAAATACAGTGCAGCAGAAATGTTGGTATGTCACTCGCAGGATTAGATCATAAAGGGACCACAGCTTCTGTCTTGGTCTTTCGGTCTCAGTGTCTGTTTCATCACTCCTTCTGGGGGAAGCCAGATGCTACACCCTGAGAAAAGGCCCAGGTAGTGAAGAGCTGAGGTCTCAGGCAAGCAGCCAGCAAGGAACAGCAGCCTCTTGCTAACAGTTGTACAAATGAGCTTGTAAAGTAGATCCTCTAGCCCCAGTGAAGCGTTCGGGTAACTGCAGGCCTGGCCAACATGTAGACTGCATCCTCATGAGAGCCCTGAGTTGGACCACCCAGCTAAGCTGCTTCTGAAATCCTGACTTGCAGATAAGACAAGAAATGTTGTTTTAATTTGTTACATAGCAAAAAAAAAAAAAAAAAAAAAAAAAGCCCATATTAAGATGTTTCTAATATTCGAGTGATAAATATTTTGCCAACTTATAAGGGCTTCTAATACTAATAAAGATGATTAATTGCCTTCTTTAAGAAGCTTAAATTGTGGTTTTTTGTTGTTGTTTTTTTTTTTTTTTTTTAAACAGAGTCTCACTCTGTTACCCAGGCTGGAGTACACTGTGTGATCTTAGCTCACTGCAACCTCCGCCTCCTGGGTTCCAGCAATTCTCCTGCCTCAGCCTCCCAAGTAGCTGGGACTATAGGCATGTGCCACCATGCCTGGCTAATTTTTGTGTTTTTTTAGTAGAGATGGAGTTTTACCGTATTGGTCAGGCTGGTCTCAAACTCCTGACTTGGTGATCTGCCTGCATCGGCCTCCCAAAGTGCTGGGATTACAGGCATGAGCCACCACACCCGGCCAAACTGTTATTTTTTCAACCATTATTCAATCAAAAAGAACCACGATGCTATTTTGACAAGATAACAGCATAAAGAGATACATGCCAAAATATGCCATCGTAATCATTTCCTTAGAAGTACACCTGAGAAGAAACACACTTAAGAACGCATTATAGTGAGAACACAGATGTACGCCATATATTCTCAAAAACTCACCTTCCTGTTAGCAGGAGATTGTTCTTTCTGAAACTGATCACACTCTCTCTTTAAGCTCAATTTTTCTTGCTCTGTGGGATTCATGGTACCTGATGGGTTTAGATGTTTTTGGTGCTTGGGAAGAAGATTGGATTCCAACTGACGGACCTAACAGGAACAAATGTAAGAGGAAAAAATGCTAATACAATCACCCAGCCAGCAAAAACAACAAACATAGGGAAAGTTTTAATTCAGTACTTGGGTCCTGTTTAACATCCTTTTTCAATCAAGCCTGTAAATACTTGAAGCTAGCTTTTCTGGATTTCAAAAGACCCTTTCTAGGTGAGTCTGGTTGGGTCTGCAAACCCAGGACTGTAGGAACAAGACTGGGAAGAGGGGACTTCTGGGTCTACTAACTCTCCAGGAGTCAACAGTGTATGTGATGTGGCTGCCAGGAAAACAGGCACAGTGGTCCCAGGCCCTTTTTTTCTGACATGAACACTACTTTTAGGAGAGAATGGGCTGACAGTTCCCATCTGCTCTTATTGGACTATTCACATCTAAAACAGTTCTACGAAGACATGAACCATGTCTGTCTTGCTCACCACTGCAGCATCCGTGATAGCAGTTTCTGGCATGGAGTAGGTGTTCTAACTAAATATCTGCGACTCTTCAGAGTTCCTCCTCAAAAGGGGTGTTAAGCATAGGTTAAATATCATTGGGAGACTATGCAGCAGAGGTAAGGAATTCAAGCACCAAGTTGGTGGTTGGAAAAGACCTTAAACCTTGAAATGCTGTCTTTTAAAGGAGGCACCTTTTTCTCTCGTGAGGAGTTATTTAGACCTGCAAGATCTGAGTCTAGTTTTACCATTTTTGTACTACTAGTCTTGGTGGCCAGCCAATTTGAAGACTATATGGTTCACATAATTTCCATGAGTCTATATTTTGGATATGAAGATTAAAGTCACAAATATATTTTAATATAAAACTGCTTATAAAAATATTTTATAAACATCAGGATAAAATTATATGTGAGTAAATGATAAATGATACATTCTTAAAATAAGTCTGCTATAGCAGGATACTCAAATCCATACCTTAGAACCATTCCAATCATATCCAACATTCATTTTCCTATCAAACTAGTCATTTTCAAACATATGCCATGATGTGCAGCTTCTCCAATTACCTTCTCCCGGGAGTGCGTGAGTTCGGCTTTGGTGTTCTGTACCATGGTCTGGAGCCTCTCATTCTCTTGCCAAAGCAGCTGCTGTTCCTCATTCATCAGATGATCCAACTTGTCCCAGGACAGCCTTTTCTGCTGGTTATGGAGCCCTGATGGATGAGTAGCTATCTCTGGGGCCCAGCTCTTAAGAGAATTGCAGAGTGTAAGCCTTAAAAACAAGCTATTGGGTAATTGCTGTTTTGAGACAGGTGTCATGTTTACCCAATGACAACGACTCCTAATAAGTACCTTTCAATTGTCCCCTCAGTCTTCTAATGAAAGTATGTGTATGTACATATAAATATGAATAAAACAATATTCTTGAAGTTTGATTTAAACAAAAAGATTTGGAGAGTCTCTGTTTAAAATGGTCTTTGACAAAACAGCCATGCCATGTCCAATAATGAATATGACTGTAGGGCAAGGCCCAGTTCCATAAAGGACCCAAATGCATTGAGACTGGTGGCTTAAAAGTTGCTTCATTCTTACGAAGTTATCTTTAAGCCCAGAAGATATTCATTTGATTCACAGAGGACATAAAGAGAAGGCTGAAATGCACTGCCAACTCAAAAGCTTTCATAGGCTAAACTCTACTTTCATTTTCACATATGCAATCATATCCTTTTTTTAGAATCCAAAGCACATATTGTCCATGTAATTAACGTCTGAATTCAGAAATGTGCTTTCAGCTACCAAAGTGATTTTTTGGATCTTGAAAATGATTTAAAAAATTAAAAAGATAACACAAATAGATAAGCCTCTTACCTTTTAAACCAAACATGAAAAAAAAAAAGGTACAATCTCATTTTCAGAAAAAGTCAACCCAGAAGTAATTTTAAAAATGGAAACTTTTTTTTTTTTGAGACAGACTCTCACTCTGTCACCCAGGCTGAAGTGCAGTGGCACGATCTCAGCTCACTGCAACCTCCACCTCCCGGGCTCAAGCAATTCTTATGCCTCAGCCTTCCAAGTAGCTGGGATTATGGGCGCATGTACTACCACAGCTGGCTTTTTTTTTTTTTTGAGACAAAGTCTAGCTCTGTCGCCCAGGCTGGAGTGCAGTGGCACGATCTTGGCTCACTGCAACCTAGCCCTCCCGGGTTCAAGCGATTCTCCTGCCTTAGCCTCCCGAGTAGCTGGGATTACAGGCACTCGCCACCATGCCCAGCTAATTTTTTTTATTTTTAGTAGAGATGGGGTTTCAACATGTTGGGCAGGCTGGTCTTGAAGTCCTGACCTCGTGATCCGCCCGCCTAGGCCTCCCAAAGTGCTGGGATTACAAGCGTGAGCCACCATGCCTGGCCATTTTTGTATTTGTAGTAGAGACAGGGTTTCGCCATGTTGGCCAGGCTGGTCTTGAACTCCTGGCTTCAAGTGGTCTGCCTGCCTCGGCCTCCCAAAGCGCTGGGATTACAGGCATGAGCCACCACACCCAGCCCAAAACAACTAGTTTTTTTATAAAAAGTTTCACCAAGAGATAACTGAATGTGTCTACTTTTATTGTAGGACAAAATCTTGACATCTGCCCCAAAATGACATCTATAACATTGTTCTTAATTTATTTGCACACAGATTAGGCAGCACTGTGACTTATTAAAATGAGACACTTTCTACCACACCACCATAATGTGTCAGCCAGCTAACACTTTAATCAGCTCTTCCTGGACTTTCTGGTGCCATAGCAACCTATTTGTAGCAATGAATTATCTCCTGAAATTCAATACTATTGTTTTATGCCTTTTTAGCAGAAGCTGTACTTTTTTGCAAGTCTGTGTATAAGTTCCCAGATTAATTTCTTGCAATGTTTTTCTACATTTGATTTTTTTTAAGGTCACACAAATACTTTTCTCTACCATTTAAGAAAATGTTTTAGTTTTGTTATTACAAAACTCAACTCAGCCATGGTCTTCTGACTTGCTCAATACAAAAAAAAGACCTGTTTTATATCACTATGGTTTCATTTATATGAAATTTAGAAAAAAGCATCCCTAAACTACAGTGGCAGAGGGTACAAAAGTGGTTCCCTTGGGGTTACCAACTGGAGGGAACAAGAGAGAGCCTGCTGAGTGCTGGAAATGTTCTACATTTTTATCTAAGTGATGGTTATACAAACACAGATACATAAAATATGCATATTTATATGTACATACATATACACATAAAAATAACCAAGTTGTCCTAAGATTTGTATACTTTACTGTAAATAACTTATACCTAAATAAAAAAAGAACAAATCACCTTGCCACCAGCATTCTGAAGTTGCTTATGTAAAGACATCACTTCTTGTTTTAAAGCCTCCTTTTCCTGCTGAGTCACTCGTAGGTCAGATTTCATCCGGGACATTTGCAGGTTTACATTCTGCACGGTGTCTTCTAAATTCTGAACCTGTATTGTGAGAATGATCTTTTACTGCTACACAAACTCTTGTGGTCTCACCTCTAGCATGTTCAGGAATGAATAAGGACAAAAGAACTTTCAAGTCTGTTTGTTTCTCTTTACTAAATCCAGCTTTCTTGTCAGTAGCTCAGTGGAAACCTAGGACAGTAGGTATATTTACAGGATGTTAAATTATATTTAGGACAATGATGAACTATGTCTGGAGCAAGGTATTGCTGATAGTCATCTGGTAGATTACTAAATGGTATCTTACAATACCAATGGGTGCCAACTGGCATCACAAAAGATGGTTTCACTGAATTTTGTAGAAATTGTTTTAGCCTATGATGTTGGACTGTAAAGGACCCTCTTAGTTGCAAATAAAAATATATACTTGTAGAATCCTATTCTAGGCTAGGCATGGTGGCCCACACCAGGAATCCCAGTACTTTAGGAAGCCAAGGCAGGAGGATCGCTTGAGCCCAGGAGTTTCAAACTAGTCTAGGCAAGATGGCAAGACCCCCCATCTCTACCAAAAATAAAAAGCTGAGTGTGGTGGCGTGTGCCTGTAGTCCCAACTACCTGGAAGGCTGAGGTGGGAGAATCCTTTGAGCCCAGGAGTTTGAGGTGGCAGCAAGTGGTGATCCAGCCTGGGATACAAAGAAACCTCACCTTTTTTTTTTTTTTTTCTGGAGACAGAGTCTTGCTCTGTCGCCCAGGCTAGAGTGCAGTGGCACGATCTCGGCTCACTGCAACCTCCGCCTCCCAGGTTCACGCCATTCTCCTGCCTCAGCCTCCCCAGTAGCTGGGACTACAAGCACTTGCCACCGCGCTCGGCTAATTTTTTTGTATTTTTAGTAGAGACGGGGTTTCACTGTGTTAGCCAGGATGGTCTTGATCTCTTGACCTCGTGATCCGCCTGCCTCAGCCTCCCAAAGTGCTGGGATTACAGGCGTGAGTCACCGTGCCTGGCTAAGACCTCACCTCTTAAAGAAGAATCCTATTTTACGCTAATACCGCATATAAATTCCAATTTTAAAAATTTAAATTCATAAAGGGAATGTTGATATAGATCTTCAAAATAGGGCATAAACTGCCTTAGAAGTCCTATCTATAAATTAGGAACAAGCAGTCATTTTTATGCACTATTCTCAAGCCTTCATAATTAATAAACTTTGATGGAAATATTTAAATTATTTTGCTGCAATGTTTGAAATATTATTTAAATCATTTTGTCATACTATATTTACTTTTCTTTTTTTGAGATGGAGTCTCGCTCTGTCGTGCAGGCTGAAGTGTACTAGCATGATCTTGGCTCACTGCATCCTCTGCCTCTTAGGTTCAAACAATTCTCCTGCCTCAGTCTTTGGAGTAGCTGGGACTTAACAGGCACCTGCCACGACACCAGGCTTTTTTTTTTTTTAATTTTTAGTAGAGATGAGGTTTCACCATGTTGGCCAGGCTGATCTCGAACTCCTGACCTCAAGTGATCTGCTCACCTCGGCCTCCCAAAGTGCTGGTGAGCCACCATGCCCAGCCTTGCCACACTATAAACACACATCAAACATTGGTCAAATTGAATCATTTGGAACCCTCTTACGCTACTTCTACCTGGAACACTCTTTTTACCGGGATTTCTGTTGGAAGATCTAGGAGAATACTAACCGTGAAGATGAAACAAGAATTGTCCATGTACCTTTTCCTGAGAAGCCACCAGCTGTGACTTTAAGCTCGCACTCTGATGTTCCCAGGATTTCTGTTCCTGCTTCATCGTCGCAATTCTATGCTCTAAAAGACTTGATTTTGCCAACTGTTTCAGGAAGGGAAAAAGAGGTAAGAGGGCATTTTTGCAAACATAGCTAGCCTTAATTTATATGCCTGCACTTACATTGTCAAGAACAAGTACCATCTATTTATGTAGGGGAGCAGGGCAAGGTCAAAGGAAATGGTCTTCCTGGCTCCAAATCGAGACAAACCAAAGACTGTTTTACACGTCTAATTTTGAGGAGTTGCTTCTTTTTGGAAATTTCCTATTTTTCTTTTCTATTGCCTCATGTTTTGAGGGTGGAAGATGGTAAGCTGGAAGGCCATTAAAAATCTCAAGAGCATACCATAGGAAGAAAACAGAATATCTCTTAAGGCAGGTGGGGAAAAAAGGTGGTGTTTTGGGATTTGCTAAAGAAGATAAAATAGAAAAAAAGTGTTTATCTATGAAATTGATCTCAGATTATTAAACACATAATTTATATTATAACAAAATAGCGGTATAAAGTAGCACTGTGATGTGATAAGAAACATTTTGTATTATCGAGTTTAATAATATAATTAGTAAACAACTAATTTAGACTTCATCAGTCTTGGCTGCAGGAAGTCTGGGGTCACAGAATGCCAAAGAAATGCTGCTCCAGGACACTCTGGAACAACAGACTACCACAGGAGGCCCCTGTGCCACTGTCCACAGAGAAAGGTTCATTATGGTGTGTATTGTATACGATGATGGTAAAGTCTTATTACTTCTACTACCTTATCGACACAGCTATTTAATTCCTCACTCAGAGCTTCCTTTTCTTTCAGCAGTTTTTCGTTGTAGCTTAGAACACTAGAGATTTTTTGCTGGAAGTCAGAGAGATCGGGACATCTGTGCAGCTGTAAGAGATAAACAAATGAGCCCTCCCATCACATCTCATGGCTGTAAGTACAAAGGGGTATTTCTAAATAGGGCATTTTCACAGCTGCTGCTATTTGCCTATCTGTGGATATTTCAGAGGACATAAACTCTAGCAGAGACTATAATAAACTTCAAGGATTCCCTTCTGGCTTCTCTCTGATTCCCAGTTGACTGTTGAAATGTCTGCTTAGGTAGATTGAACCAGGCAGACATTGTTAAATAATGATCCTAGCTCTCCTTTTAAAAAACCAGTCAAGACTATAGAATTGGGCTGTGGGGGTGGCTCACACCTGTAATCCCAGCACTTTGGGAAGCCAAGGTGGGGAGGATCACTTGACCTCAGGAGTTTGAGGTCAGTCTGGTGAACATGGTGAAACCCTGTCTCTATTAAAAATAATTAGCCAGGCGTGGTGGTGCATGCCTGTAATCCTGGCTACTCAGGAGGCTGAGGCAGGAGAATCGCTTGAACCTGGGAGGCAGAGGCTGCAGTGAGCCGAGATGACTGCACTCCAGGCTGGGCGACAGAGACTCTGTCTCCAAAACAAAACAAAAAAACCCCCTAGAATTGGCATGAACCACATACAAGTAACAACCCAAAGGCAAGTTTAAAGATAAAACCGTGTTTTCAGCTTGTTCCCTGTACTCTTCCTTTCAGAAGGTGCCTACGCTGACTGGCCAGTAAAATGTTGTTGGTGCGAACATACTGGCTTTTCCTCTCCACTTCATGAAATCAAGACAAACCAAATACTGTTTTTTATTCGTCTTCAATATCAGTGCTGGTACTAGTCTCATTTTGGGCTGGATAATTCTTCAGGCGTTGGGGGTCGCGGGGCATTCTGGACACTGTAGGATGCTTCACAGCGTCTCTGGCTTTACTCAAAAGATGGCAGTAACCCCCCACCTTCCAGTTGTGAAAACAAAAAATGTGCCCAGACATTGATAAATGTTCTGGGGCAGGAGAGCAATCCTCACCCCTTCACCCTATTGAAAACCCATGCTTTAAAGAGGCTGTTTCTTACACTTCTTAACCCTTTTCCATAGTTCATAGGTTTTTAACTTTCCTCTATTTCACTTGACTCTTCAATTCTTTATTATCATTATGATTTTACGACCATCTTTCTACTTCCTGAACCTGAAATTCTTTCACATTTAGCTGTAGGAATAGTATGACAAAACAGACTTTCAGGGTTCAATCTTGTCTTCAACTGGTGACAAATCCAGCATACCTTACAAATCTGAACAAGTCAGAAGGATATAGGAAAATGTATTTTGAAATACCTGGGCACTGGTTTAATAAAGGACCTTCTACTTTATCCACTGCCTTGTCTTCCTACCCTCCAGACACCCGTAAAGCTTGATACCATTTTGGATGTCTGTAAACTGGCATGTAACTTTTGCTGATGCTATTTGTGTTTCCTTTCAGTGCAATAGATAACACAGATAGAAGTGCTTTGTGAACTATGAATCACGATATCATACAGAGTGACACATGCCTTCTAGGTCCACGTTGTATAATAGCAATGATGGGCTGACGCTACCCTATTCTTGGGATCCAAAAGGATCCAGGTCTCTGATAAAACAACTTTCTACCAAAGGCAGACCAGGCTCACAATTTCTTCATCTCACTATTTATACCAATGCTTGTTTAAAAAAAAAAAAAAAAAAGCAATAAAAACGTGCTGAATGACATCCCCATCATGTTGTTTTTCTCCTAGCTCTGCTCCTTTCCTTCTGTTCTCCAGCTTAGCAAAGCCACAAAGCACACATTTCCCATACTATGAATTTGAAACCAATCATTATCATCTAAAGGCTGAACAACAGACAGGCTTTCAAAAAGTCAAGGAAAAAAGGATGCTCAAGTTAATTAGGATAAAGTTGGTAATAACAGCCTTGGAATACTTCACCACACTACAGAAAGGCCCCATGAGTTTTAACTTCTGTTATGTTTATATGGACAGGCGACTTCTCTAGTCACGGCAGAACATGCATTTTGCATAGCAGTAGTTAACTTGAAAAGGTTCTTATAAAGCACCTATTGAGTACCAGTACTATACTAGGCATTATGAAAGACACACATACCCTGAGGGTTTTATAATGCTATTAAAAAAGCAAGACGCATAGGAGTCAATCAGATCAACATAAACATAATACCAGATTTATAGACTCAATGTTTCCACATTCAGGAAAGGACAACTTTGTGCTTACAGGTTGAAGAGACAGATGTTAAGAATGAAAATTTTATATGAGTGCCATCACAATCTGATGCTGAAGTAAACAAATAAAATGGAACAACTAAATTTTCCTACCATAAATCAAGATTGTTCCAATTGAAAGACTCCTGTAAATACTGAAAACAGGACAATGTTTAGGATGCAAATTGTTTTTTTCCAACAATGCATTTCTCCATGAGAGGACATAATTTTTAAGTTGAGACCTCTTTCATATTTTCATATTTAAAATTAAGCCTTTTTTCTTTCTTTCTTTTTTGAGACAGAGTATTCTGTCGCCCAGGCTGGAGTGCAGGGGCACAGTAGCGCAATCTCAGCTCACTGGAGGCTTGACTTCCCGAGCTCAGGTGATCCACTCATCTCAGCCTCCTGAGTAGCTGGGACTACAGGTGCACACCACTATGCCCAGCTAATTTTTTTGTAGAGATATGGTTTTGTCCTGTTGCCCAGGCTGGTCTCATATTCCTGGCCTCAAGTGATCTGCCCACCTTGGCCTCCCAAAGTATTGGGATTACAGGCATGAGCCACTGCGCCTGGCCTAAAGTTAAGCCTTTGTTTGAAACTTTGAAACAGGCTTCTGAAGGCCACATTCATGAGACTGCATGCCATCATGCTCTAGAACTGATGCCTCATAGTTGCTACAGAAAAAGGCAGAAGGATCAGTTTCTTCAGTGCCTCACAAATCAGTGTGAACAGAATTAGAAAAGTTATAAGCAAGATAGTCCCCCTCCTTTTAGACAAACATATGTTACTTTATAACCTGGCTGGGTGACAGAACAACAATTTCTTAAACTGAAGTGGTTGGGATTCATTTATGATAATAGAATTTTAGAGTGGGCCGGATGCAGTGGCCCGCGCCTGTAATCCCAGCACTTTAGGGGGCTGACGTGGGTGGATTGCTTGAACCCAGGAATTCAAGACCAGCCTGGCCAACATGGCAAAACCCCACCTCTATTAAAAACACAAAAATTATCTGGGCGTGGTGATGGGCACCTGTAATCCCAGCTACTCGGGGGGCTGAGGCATGAGAATTGCTTGAGCCTGGGAGCTGGAGGTTGCAGTGAGCTGAGATCACACCACTGCACTCCAGCCTAGGCAACAGAGGGAAGAAGGAAACTGTCTTAAAAAAAAAAAAGGGGGGGATTTTAGAGTGTACAACATATATAAGTTAGACACATGTATAATTAGCAATAGCCTTTACAGATAGGATTTTGCACTTTAGGTCCTCAACTTTGCCAAGCAGTATGTCCTCAGCTACCAAGCTAGTTGACAGAACTTGGTACAAAGGACAACTGGTGGTTAGAAATACCAGCCCAACAGGAGCCCACCAGGTACATATTGTTCTGTGAACCCCCCTTAGCTGCACACAGCCTTACCTGTTTCATTTTCTCCAGTTCATCTTTGAGAAGGTGGTTTTCCTGTTGCACAATATGGGTCTGTATTTTAACTTCAGAGAGCTCCGCCTCCAGAGAAGACACTAAAGTGGAGGACTAAGAGAAAAATGAAAAAGTCAAATAACAGACATACATATTTAGGCTGGGGAAACTTACCAGGTTCATAAAAGGCCATATTAAGGAAACAGTAATATGAACTCAATGACACTGTTTTATGACCATTTTTTATCGTAAAAGACTTTCCACTTAAATGGCATGGAAAATTCAACATCATGCTAAAAACTCTCAATAAACTAGGTATTGATGGAACGTATCTCCAAATAATAAGAGCTATTTATGACAAACCCACAGCCAGTATCATAATGGGCAAAAGCTGGAAGCATTCCCTTTGAAAACTGGCACAAGACAAGGATACCCTCTCTCACCACTCCTATTCAACATAGTGTTGGAAATTCTGGCCAGGGCAGTCAGGCAGGAGAAGGAAATAAAGGGTATTCAAATAGGAAGAGAGGAAGTCAGAGTGTCTCTGTTTGCAGATGACGTGATTGTGTATTTAGAAAACCCCATTGTCTCAGCCCCAAATCTCCTTAAGCTGATAAGCAACTTCAGCAAAGTCTCAGGATACAAAATCAATATGCAAAAATCACAAGCATTCCTATATACCAATGATAGCCAAATCATGAGTGAACTTCCATTCACAATTGCTATAAAGAGAATAAAATACCTAGGAATACAACTTACAAGGGACATGAAGGACCTCTTCAAGGAGAACTACAAACCACTGCTCAAGGAAATAAGAGAGGACACAAACAAATGGGAAAACATTCCATGCTCATGGATAGGAAGAATCAATATCGTGAAAATGGCCATACTGCCCAAAGTAATTTATAGATTCGGTGCTATTCCCATCAAGCTACCATTGACTTTCTTCACAGAATTAGAAAAAACTACTTTAAATTTCATATGGAACAAAAAAGGAGCCTGTATAACCAAGACAATCCTAAGCAAAAAGAACAAAGCTGGGGGCATCAAGCTACCTGACTTCAAACTATACTACAAGGCTACAGTAACCAAAACAGCATGGTACTGGTACCAAAACAGATATATAGACCAATGGAACAGAACAGAGGCCTCAGAAATAACACTACACATCTGCAACCATCTGATCTTTGACAAACCTGACAAAAACAAGAAATGGGGAAAGGATTCCCTATTTAATAAATGGTGTTGGGAAAACTGGCTAGCCATATGCAGAAAACTGAAACTGGACCTCTTCCTTATACTTTATACAAAAATTAACTCAAGATGGATTAAAGACTTAAATGTAAGACCCAAAACCATAACAACCCTAGAAGAAAACCTAGGCAATACCATTCAGGACACAGGCATGGGCAAGGACTTCATGATTTCTAAGGTAAGTTTTGCATGTTTCTCCACTGTAAAATTACTGTCTTTTTCTTGGAGGAGATACTTTGAGACTATACAAATTCTATTTCTCCTCAAACTTCTGCTTATTAATTTTAACATCTATCAGTGCATTTTGTCTACAACTATTATTACTGGGGTGTTTGCCTAATGATGATTTTCTATTTTCTTCTTCATTTATTAATTGGAATTAGAGCTGTTGTTTTCCCTCCCAGCTTAAATTTTTATATCAATATGGACTCATTTATTTATTTATTCAGTTTTTTTGGTGGGGAGATAAGGTCTCACTCTGTTGCCCAGGCTGAAGTGCAGTGGTGCAATCTTGGCTCACTGCAGCCTCGACCTCCCAGGCTCAAGCGATTCTCCTGCCTCAGCCTCCTGAATAGCTGGGACTATAGGGGCATGCCACCATGCCCTACTAATTTTTTTTGTATTTTTTGTAGAGATGGGGTTTCACCATGTTGGCCAGGCTGGTTGCAAACTCCTGGGCTCAAGTGATCCACCTGCCTTGACCTCACAAAGTGCTGGGACTACAGGCATGAGCCACTATACCTGGCTGGTATTTATTGTAGTCTATGTTTATTTCATAATTATATTTATTTTATTCTATACTATCATTTATTTTGGTGATCAAATTGTTCCAGCTTTGGCCATCAGGACACAGGCCCTTTTGACATGTCCTTTTTTTTTAAAACATCTTTTTCCTTCTGGCCCCATCAGATGTTCCAGGCTTATCCTGTATTTTTCTCTGCCCCAGCCCTAGAATCAATCATTTTTCCAAGGAACCCTGGTTCCTTTTATAGGAGAATGGTGCTTAGTAACCAAGATCTGGGCAATCCATGCATATATACACATCTGTGTTTCTGTATCTATCTAGCTTTGTATACATATTAGAAACCATGAGTTTATCCAAATACCGCAGATCTCAATGTAACATCAGAGGGCTCATCTTAGCATTCCCCATTGCCCCACTTGCAACTTCTTCTCCAACAGTGAGAAATCTAGTTCTTATTGTTCACAACATATTTACTTATTTGTTCAATTCTAGTAAGACATATAGTAGTTTCAGAATTACTAACCCATACCTCTTATGAGAATCCTGTTTACTGACTAGATTATCATAGCATGTAGATACAGTTCATCTTGTCTTTAGCCTGGATAGTATCCAGTCAAGATATTAATTTCTGAATTACTTAAGAGAATTGTTTTCTTCCCCAGTGTGGTTATATTACCCATTTATAACACAGTTAGGCTCATCTGTTCATGTATGTGCTCCCTTTGGGTTTCTTCCCCCACCACTACCATATTGATTAGTTTTACTTGTGCACTTATTCTGGGGGTAAGTGAAGAGTATGTGAAACGTTACTATGGTTCTAAGAGTCAGAGCTATACGAAAAGATAAACTCAGAGAAGTGTCATTGTTCTTCCTCGTCCCTTCTAGCGCATTCTCATTCCTCTGTTCCATCCCTTTCCCACCCTCCCTTTTTAGTTTCTGGTTTATCCTTCTTGTGTTTCTTTTGCACAAATGAGCAGACATGTACTTTTTAATATCCCTTTCTTACACACACAAAGGCATTCTATAGATACTTCTTTGCACTTTTCTTTTTTCACTTAACAGTATGTCTTGGAAATCATTTCATATAAATAAGGATTTCTTTTCTTCCTTTTTCTTGAACAGCTGCACAGTACTACTTCATGGTATGGACATAACCCCCACATGTATTCACCTACTCTCCTACACATCAGCATCTATGTTGTTTCCACCATTTTGCAATTAGAAACAGTGCTGCAGTGAGTAACCCTCTGCATATGAGTTTTCATATTGTTGCGGTGGTATCTTTAGGGTAGATTCCTAGAAGTGAGATTTCCAGGGCAAAAGCTAGGTACATATGTAATTTTGTTAGGTATTGTCAAATTCACCTACAAAAAGGCGGTACCAGTTTGTATTCTCCCAGCAAAGCATGAAAGAGTCTGTTTCCCCACAGCCTTGCCAACAGAGTATGCTGTCATATTTTAAAATTGATGCCAGTCTTATAGGTGAGAAATTATACAAGTGTTGTTTTAATTTGCGTTTCTCTAATTTTGAGTGATTCTGAACATTTTTCCATAGATTTGAGGGCCATTTTAATAATTTTATTTTATTATTTAGAGATAGGGTCTCACCCAGGCTAGAGTGTAGTGGTACAGCCTCAAGGGATCCTCCTGCCTCAGCTTCCTGAGTAGCTAGGACCACAGGTGTGTGCCACTACACCCAGCCAATTTTTAAACTTTTTGTAGAGATGGAGTCTTGTTATGTTGTCCAGGCTGGTCTTGAACTCCTAGGCTCAAGCTATTCTCCTGCCTCGGCCTCCCAAAGTGCTGGGATTACAGGTGTGAGACACCACGCCTGGCCCATTTTTATCTTTTGTATATGATTTATTTGTTCGTATGCTTCTCCCATTTTGCTATCAAATTTTTGGTCCCATGTCCCTCCATTTTTAAGAGTTCTTTACTAGCAGGGATATTAGGCCTTCTCACTGTGGTATATGTTGTGAATATTTTCTCCTAGTTTGTCAGCTGTCTTCTAACTTTGTTTATGGTATCTTTTTGCCAAGTAAACTTTTTTTAACATATAATCAGTGTTTTCTTTTATTGCCTCCGGTTTTTGAGTTACAGTTAAATAGCCTTTCTTTACACCAGGGTTAAAGACAAATTCACCCGTATTTTCTTCAAATATTTGTATAGTTTTTTTTTTTTATATTTAGTCTCCTAATCCAATTAAGTTTATCCTTGTGCATGGAATGAAACATAGGTCTAATTTTATCTATTTCCGAATGTCTACTCAGTTGTTCAGGCACCATTAATTTAAAAGTCCATCTTTACCCCAGTGGTTTGAGAAGTGGCCCTGGTTATACACTACGTTTCCATTTGTATTTGGGTCTAATTCTAGACTTTCTATTCCACTTACCTACTTATCTATTCATGTGCCAGGACCATACTGTTTTAATTACTAAGGCTTTATGTTTAAGGAAGTTTAATACAAACATTTCTTCTATTTCTTGGGATTTCCTCAAAAAAAGCTGTCAGGTGGCTACAGGCCATACCTGCACTTTACAACGTTCCAGTTCTTCTTTCAGATTAAACTTCTCTTGTTCCCGTTCCTCCAATGCACTGTTTCCTGGCTCTTTTTCCTTCTGGCATAGCATTTCTGTTAGACGTTGATTAAGTTCTTGCAGTTTTTCCTGGTTTTGAGAGTTCTTTTGGCTAAGTTCTGTATTTTCCAAATCCAATTGTTGGTTTTTGATTTTTAATTCTGAAATCTAATTAAAATTAAAATAAGTTTTTCAAACTTGTTACCCTACTTGTGCTAAAAAAAAAAAAAAACAGATTTAGAGACATAATTGTCTTTTCCCTCTTTATATAAAGTTTAAAATATATATATATTTCAAAACAGAAATAATACACACTCATTATTACAAATTCATTCCATTCACAAGTGTATGAAGAAGTGAGACACTCAGTCTGACCCCACTCTACAGGGGAGCCCATTGTCCACAGCTGGATATGTGTCCCTCCAGATCATTTTCTACGCATATACAGAACCCATACACACATACAGATTCTTTTCTTCTCTTTAGCAAAATTTGGAAATTTTATGTTTGGACAGCTTGCTTTTTCTACTTACTTACTTAAAGACTCTTTCCAGGTGGGCACGGTGGCTCACGCCTGTAATCCCAGCACTTTGGGACGCCGAGACAGGCGGATCACCTGAGGTCAGGAGTTCGAGACCAGCCTGAACAATATGATGAAACCCCATCTCTACTAAAAATACAAAAATTAGCCGGGTGTGGTGGCATGTGCCTGTAATCCCAGCTATTTGGGAGGCTGAGACAGGAGAATCGCTTGAACCCAGGGGGCAGAAGTTGCAGTGAGCTGAGATTGCGCCATTGCACTCCAGCCTGGGCAACAAGAGCGAAACTCCGTCTCAAAAGGAAAAAAGACTCTTTCCAAGTCAGTGTGTTCAGCAACCACCACATACTACTTTTTACTGGCTATAGGATATTCCATGTAGTAAGATATTCCATAATGCATTTATCTGTTCCCACGTTGATAGACATAAAGTTTTTAAAATCATTATTTCTTTTAAATGGATCTTTTAGAAAATCCATTTATACATGGTAGTATTTTGTATTTAGAATTATTTTTTAGAAGTAGGATTGCTGGGTTAGAAGATCTGTATATAGATATATATTCATTATTGTTTCAACAGATATCTCTAATATGTCTTCCTCACAGTGCTACCACCTTATAATCCTAACAACAATGCATGGGCACAGTCATTTCCTCACATCCTTTTAAATACTAGATATCAATCTTTACTTCTTGCTAATTCAATAGGTTAAAAAAAAGACGCTTATTGAATTTGCACTTCTCTAATCACTAATAAGGCTAACCATCTTTTGTATTCTTTTTTTTTTCTGTGACTTGACCATTCATATAGATTGCCTATATTTCAACTGGATTTTCCCATTTATTTGTAAGAGTCCAAAATACATTTTGGATGTTAACACCTTGTCTATTTCAAGTGCTGAAAATACTCTTTCCCAATATGTCCTTGTCTTTTGACTGCTTCAGACAGATTCTTAAATGGCCTTCCCTTTTTATAACTGCATGTTGTAAGATTATACAAATTGAGCACTGAATGGCACCAGCTATCTGAATAAAATGTAATTCTGTGAAATGATATGCTGATTAGCTGGCATTCTGTATATGTGAAATTCTGCCCTTAACTTTCTGCTTTCAATCATGGTGAGGAAAAAGGAAGGGCTAACATTAACTGAAACTGCACAAGGGCTACAGCTAATATTTCGTAGGTATGGTTTTAGAGGTATCACCTCCTCAATTCTGCTGATGATAAAGCTTTATCAAGCACTTAGGGCCTAGAATAATATATACATTATTTAACATAAAACAGGAAGCTAGTTTAGAGTCAGTATGAGGTAAGTTTCCATTTTCAAATTCAGAATTTACAACCTTACCATCATTAGCTATATGCTATTCATTACCGTGTGCTGTAAATTTATAAATTTCAAAAAATGGGAAAATTTTGGAATCAAAAAACATTGAGAAATATTAAGTATTTCCTTACCTGTTTCTTTAAATTTTCAACCATCTTCTGAACTGCAGCATTTTCTTGTTTTACAGTTTCCGTTTTTTGCCTAAAAGGAATGATGAAAATAAAATTTAATGGTTAGGCTTTAAAAGCTGAAGTAAAAGAATTTTAGTCTTTGCAAAAATGTCTTAGGAAAATGTAAGTATACGTCTTACCACATTTCTTCCTGAGATCCATTTAATGTCCCTAATTTCAGGTTAGAAATGCTATCTTCTTCATTTAAAGTAGTAATTTCATTTCTCAAAATAGAATTTTCCTGTTGAAGCTTTTCAGATTCATATCTGAAGCACAGAGATTGAAAAAAATTGTTACAAGGCAGTCATCTGGCATCTTTGGAAAATATTTTCTAGTAACTTCCAAAAGGATGAGTATTCAATGCCAGTTAAAAAGAAAAGTCTAAATTAGTAGTCTCTTAGTATTTGGAAATCGAGTTATGACATATTGACACATTTCTTTTGGGAAGTAAGAATTTCACTAAAAGATGTTAGAGAAGTGTAGCTAAAAAACCCTTAAGCCTGGAGAAATGAATCAAGACTCAATGCTCATTCTGGTTGTTGATTTTTCTCAATGGCAAGCATACTGCTTTGAGCAAATGTCTTCATTTATCTCAGTCTCAAGTCCTACCTGTTCTGAATACACATAAGCCATGTTACAAAGCTATATTAGCTTAGTTTTAGGCCCCTGGGTACCTAGGGAAAGAAAATTCTCTATTGAAATCAAAGGGCCACAATGAAATATGTACACTGTTTACTTTGTGATTTTATTCATCTCATTATATTCTGATTTTTAGGACTAAAAATGGTCTGAAGAAGAGGAAAAACTACATTCAGAATTAAATTATTTCAGAGACATTTCAGACGTCCTGTAATAGTTTACAAGTTTTTTTTTTTTTTGAAAAACCAAATTTGCTAGAAGACTATGCAATTATATTTTACAATGTCAAGTGGGCAGTGGTTCAAATTAATTCTACTTGTATCTCTGCTTTTCAAGCATATTTATTAGAATCTGGAGGCTCCTCAAATTATATGTTCTAAGATAAATTTCCACTGTTTGTTTTGTCTCTTTTTTTTTTTTTTTTTTTTTTTTTTTTTTAAAAGAGACAGGGTCTCACTCTGTCACCCAGTCTGGAGTACAATGGCATGATCATGGCTCACTGCAGCTTTGACCTCTCAAGCTCAAGCAACCCTCCCACCTCGGCCTCCCAAGTAGCTGGGACCACAGGTGTGCACCACCACGCCCAGCAAACATTTTTTTATTTTTCTGTAGAGGCAGTCTTGCTATGTTCCCTAGGCTTGCCTGGAAACTCCTGGCCTCAAGAAATCCTCTTGCCTTGGCCTCCCAAACAGTTGAGATTGCAGGCATTTAAGCCATGGTGCCTGACCATTTGCACTGTTTATGGGTTATCAGCATGTGCTTCAAGTGATATGAGTACAAAACTATAAAGACAGAACATTTTTTCTATATTAGCATAAGAAGTGAGTTCTTATCTACTAAGTTAATAATACACAAAAAATCATTCATTTGTATATAACATGTTTCCTCAAAATGAGGAAAGTAACACTTAGCAAAATAAAAAAAAAAAATCCCCTATCCATCTAAATGAAATAAGTGCTAGAAAAAAGTTAAAGAGGTACATTGAGGATGCACATGGTTAAACAGCAAACACTCGCCATTGTGAACTTTCACACCCCATATGAACACTTGTTTGCTACAGCGGAAGGGAATGCCTCCTAAACAAGGTTATTTTATTTGTTAATACGGCACAGAAGCAGAAGGAAGTCTAGAGAGTACTGCTCTCTTCGTGAAGACTACTAGGTTAGTTTCTCTAGGCACGGCAAGCAGTGGAAGTTAGATCTGGTGAGGTGCTCTGTGGGATTCGTGACGTCTAGAAGGTACATACATTACCTCAGAAGTTCAACTTTTTGCTGCATCTCACTGCACGTGATCTGCAAGTCATGCATCATTGCCTTCAGCTCTTCCTCCTTTTCTCCGTGAGAAAGTACATCTTTTTGCTTAACTAAAATAGTGACTCTCTCCTTCAACTTCCTAGTCAGCTCCTGTAACTTTGTTTTCTCCAGTTCTAACTCTGCTATGGTGGCCTGATGCTGAAAATGTTTGTCTTGAAAGCCTAGGAGAGTAGTGTTTTCCTCCAGTATAACTTGATTCTGTACTCTTGGCCTTTCTTGATGTGTCTGAATTGTTCCATGTAACCAGGCAATTTCATGTGCTTTTACTTTTTCCAAGAGCTGTGTGTTCCCCTCAAGGTACTGGTTTTCTTGCTTACATTCCTCTATGACATGATGTACACTCCTAACCCTGGGCACACACTCTTCCAGTGTCTGATTGAGCTGGAGTATATTTCCATCAGGTTCGATTTCCAGGTTCTCTAAACTGGCTTCCCATAAGCAGCAGTCACACCGCTGGACCACGCTTTCCTGAAGCTTCTCAATCTTGCCTTGAAGTCTCAAAACCAGAACATTCAGCCCCTCATTTTCTATTTTGACCTCATCGTAACTCTTTTCCAGGCTGAGGAATGTTTCAGTGACTTCCTCCATTTTCTTCAGCTCATCCTGCAACCTGAAAACCTCTGCAGTGAGTTCTTTGTTATTTTCTAGTGCCTCATCGTAGCGTGTCTCCATCATTCTCAGCTCTTCCTGAAGGCAGTCATTTTCTCGGCTCACATCTTCATACAACAGCTTATATTTGGGAGAAGCCTCAGGGATTCTCTCAAGCATCTTCAGTTTCTTTTTTAGCACAGAAACATCAAAAAGTAGGTCCTGTTTCTTTTCAGAAGCTCGATCACAGTCCGCACATAACATCATTAGCTGTTCCTGAAGCTGACTAATCTGATTCTTCAGCTCCCAGGATTCAGTCCTGGTCTCTTCACTGTTTTCAAGCTCAGAAAAACCCTCTACTGAAGCTTCAGACTCCTCTATTTTGACTTCCTGTCTCTGAACAGAGCTCGTCCCTGTACTTCCCAGGTCCCGGACCTCATCATCTTCCAGGTCACTTAGGACATGCCGCCTGGTCACACCTTCTACTTGCTTCGTTCGGTTTTGCTGTAAAAACTGCTCTGTTTGTTCCGCAGTATTTCCAAAAAACTCAGTAGCTGGCTCATCCAAACAAGAAGACATTACTAACCCTGGCTCTAACTTTTGTAGCCTCTGTTGCAATCTAGAAATTTCAGTAGCCATTTTCACATTTTCCTTCACTGCCTGTTCATGAGCTCTCTGCAGGCTTAAGAGGACGTCCCCATTTTCTTCCAACAGCTGCTCCCCTTGCTGAAGCAGGGACAGGGCTCCATCTCCTTCCACCTCCTCCTCTCCTATCACCTGGCAACCACTCTGAAGCATTGAGAGAGGAGATGTTGCCTGCTGCATTTCCTTTATTTTACTCTGAAGTCTGGAGATTTCTGTGCTCATCTCGGCTCTTTCTCGATCTGCTGTCTCACAGGTCGCTTTGTGAATGTTCTCCATGGCTAGAAGCTTGGACATCATTTCCTGCCTTTCCTGGTCATGTTCCATTTCTAGTCTTTCCAGCCGCTGGCTGGCCAGCTGCTCCGAAGCCCCTGCCTGGCACAGGACCTCCTCACGCTCCCTCAGTTCCCTTTTGTGACTGCTCTTCAGCTCAAGTATCTGGTCAGACAGCAGGCTTTGCTGGGTTTCAGATACATTTCTTAGGTCTTCCAGGTCTTGGAGTAGCTGCTGTCTCTCGACGACCATGCTGTTCAAATGTTCTTTGTATGTTTTCTCCAGCATCTCTCTCTCCTGGGTCAGGACCAGAGAAGTTGTTTTCTCTCTCTTAAGAGTCTCTTTCAGCAGCTCCTGGGCTTCCGCACACTCCTGGGTGAGCTCGTCCTTCTCAAATTCCCACTGGGATTTCTCCTCACGCTGCTGTTCCTGGAGGTCCTTCAGCTCTTGGCGGTAGCGCCCCTCCAGGCTTTGCAGAGCGCTTTCACACCTCTCAGTGACTTTCTGACAATCAGACTGAAACTGGGCTTCTATTTGAGAGGTTCTTCTATTACACTCTGTTTCCATTTTTTCCCTAAATATAGTCAACATACAGCATTATTGAAACTGCCGCCAACTCCAGAAGCAAACAAAAACCATTTTCCCATGCACTGAGAAAGCTGCTGAGCAAACAACTGAAATACTCCCTAAAAATGCTCTTAACTTACTCCTATGTGATTCATTTATACTGGAAAGGGATCTCATTTCTGAAAGCTAAGACTGGCAGCCATAATTCATTTAAAAGACTTACCTCTCTCTGGAGTTAGGGGGAAATCTTAGAAACTAATTTCTCTGGCACACTCCCGGATGTATTTGTTTATGGATTTTTAAACCAAAGACAAATGACCAAATGTATATTAATCTAATTCCTCACTTGGGAAATATATACCATTCCTTCATTTTAATTAAGCATGCGTTATAGGATATCAGTCACATAAATGACACATATGAACAAATTCATTCTGCTTTTGCTTCTTACTTAACGAAGTAGCACCAAGTCAATCAGCGTGTGACGAAACAAAGCCCTCAAATAAACCTGGGATTTCACATGAGGAATGTAAGCATGGAGTGCTGTTTCTTAACTCTGGGAGGAAATGTAACCTTGCCTGGAATCCAGTTTATTAATAGCTTTTCTCAGAAAGCAACAGGATTGAACTAGGAAGGAACCACTTTTGGGATAATCTTATCCTCCTCTTGAGCCTTATAAGGTAGAATAAATCTTAATACGAGGAATACTTTCCTCTTTTACAAACATAACAAAATAAAAACAGTTCCAATCATCCCAAGGTAGGTTCACATCAAAATAATGGCAAAAACAGTAAAAAAATATTTAAAAGAGTCTACTCAATCAATGGGCTATTATGCCTTCTGACTTCTTCAAGTCTCTTAAGCGACTGGCACTTTTTTTTTTTTTTTGAGACGGAGTCTCGCTCTGTCGCCCAGGCTGGAGTGCAGTAGCGCGATCTCGGCTCACTGCAAGCTCCGCCTCCCGGGTTCACGCCATTCTCCTGCCTCAGCCTCCAGAGTAGCTGGGACTACAGGCGCCCGCCACCACGCCCGGCTAATTTTTTGTATTTTTAGTAGAGACGGGGTTTCACCATGTTAGCCAGGTCTCGATCTCCTGACCTCGTGATCCGCCCACCTCGGCCTCCCAGAGTGCTGGGATTACAGGCGTGAGCCACCGCGCCCAGCCACAACTGGCACTTCTAATGCCCCGAGGGATGGTGCCCCAGGTAGCTTCATTTCCCTTCACTTTCTTACCTTCCCTCCTGAAGCTCCCTTTGGTGCTTTTCCAAGAGCTCTTTTCTTAACTCCTCTTTCTCAAGAGTGTGTTTCTCCACCAGGCTTGTCAGCTGCTCCTGGTGAAACTGCTCTAGTTCCTGAGTCAAGCCTCTCACCTTCTCTTCTGTCCAGGCGCTACTCTGAAGGCCTTCCCTCTCCCGCTCAAAGCTTGCTTGAGCCTGTGTCAGTCTAGCCTTGAGCTCCATCTCATGTTGCAGCCTCAGCTTCTCCTGCAGGTGAGTCTTTTCCTCCTCAAGCTTCACTTGCAGTTGTTTTTTCTCCTCCTCATGCCTGCAAGTGGCCTCATGATGTGCCTCCTTGAGCACTGCTGCTTGCCCCTGAAGTTCAGCAATTTCATTTTTAAGGTCACTTATTTGTTTTTCTAAGGTGTGCGTTTCGTTCTCATGCCTTTGCTTCATGTTCTCCTGTGCCTTCTTGCAGCTGACCACGGTTTCGTCCAGCTGCTTTTCATAATGGCGCACCTGAAGGCACAGAGTGACACCACCACAAGATTACTCAGCTCAAGGTCACTGAAAGTGAAGTGATGGAGCAGCAATTGCTTTTTTTTTTTTTTTTTTTTTCCCTACAAGACATTTCTCATTTCTCTATCTTGTTTTAAAGTAACTGAATTCAACACTTTAAGCAAGATACTTAAGTCAGGCATGGTTTACATATCTCTTTTAAGTGGCTGAATTTTATTAGTGTCTGAACAACCTTATTAAGAACTGAGCAGCCATTACACATAGCTACCCTCTGTCTTCCCATGCATCCTTTCCAACTGTAAACTTGAGTCTTGGAACATATATATTTTTTGAGACAGGTTCTCACTCTGTCACCCAAGCTGAAGTGCAGTGGCGTAATTATGGCTCACTGAAATCTCCATCTCCTGGGCTCAAGCAATCCTCCCACCTCAGCCTCCTGAGTAGTTGGGACTAAAGGCACACACCACCGTGCCCTAATTTTTTTTTCTTGGTAGAGACGGGGTCTCACCATGTTGCCCAGACTGGTCTTGAACTCCTAGGCTCAAGTGGTCTGCCCACCTCGACCTCCCAAAATGTTGAGATTACAGGCATGAGCCACTGTACCCTGCTGGGTCTTAAAATACTTAATTAAATTCAAATATTAATTGAACACCTATCAGGTACTTGCAGGCCTCGGAATACAACGCTGGGTAAGATATGGTCCCTGCTATCCAGGAGAAACCAGTCTAGACATGGATATGACAACTATAAGTACAGTAGGAGGCAGAAAATAAAAGGTATACAAAAAAGAGCTACAATGTAACCCAGGGACTCAAAGGAGGGAAAAAAATCACATTTTAGTTGGAGAAATTCAAGAATGGCTTCATGCAAGAGGCAGCATTAAATATAAATCCTGAAGGGTAAGTAGACTTTCGAGAGGCAGAAAGAAACTAATATCAGCATAGTTTGTAACAGCACAAGCAAAAGAGGACAGAGTGTGATGGACAACTAGGAACTACCCAATTTAGCTGGAGGATAAGGTAACTCATAAGAACGGTCAGTTGAAGTCTGGACTGGAAACGTCAGTTGAAGTCTCATGGTGAAGAGTTTAGAGGCCAAGGTTCAGAACTTGTACCTAATTTAGTAGGCAATGAAACATCAAAGGGCTTTTTTTGGTTTCACTGAGATGTTTTTAAAAAAGAAATTGGGAGATAATATAATGGGTTTCAAGCTTCAAGTTCCATGATTGCCAGGGCTGAAGATATTACATTTTGGAGAAACTCTCCAGAAAAAAGGGGCCTTGCTGTCAGCCTACAAAACCATCCTGAGGATGTGGGTTCCCAACATAGAATGTGCTGCTCTATGAGAAAAAAGAATTGGAAATGCCCTACACACATAAGCCTGTCAGAGCCAAAAGAAATTAGAGAAGTGGATTGGTGGGAAGGACTTACTTTATCTTCGAGCTCCAGTCTGAGGCAACATATGTCCCTGTGATGTTGTTCTTTCATCTGTTCAATGACCAGCTCTGCCTCAATGCTCATATTCAATGGATTGCATTCTTCAGAACCGAGCCCTGAAAACACATGGGACTCATTGATCCTGCAGCAGGTTCTTTCAATAACACAGTGTGGCATCTGAGGAGGGACATCCAGTTTAACTAAGGAATGATTTTCAGCCTGAATTACCAGAGATGTGAACTAATAGGAAATAACAGAGGCCAAGAGAAGTCTTTTCTCTTTTCAAGCGTTAGGGCAAACAAGAAGAAATGAAGGTGAACAGATTCTTTCATGTACAGGCAGTGGAAAAAACCTTAATAGAATCCATCTCTTAGAATAGTAGGTGGTGGGGCGGCGGGGGTGGAAATTGTTGCTTATAGGTAGCTACCTCCTAATGCAAATGCTGCAAATTGAGGTAATAGCATGAGGTAGTTTGGTCAAACCAACCAGACTCCTACCCATCCAACAAATACTGAATGACGATGTGGCAGGAAAATGAACGGCCAGCATACTTGCTGCGATGCCCTGAGGAGTTAGCTTCATGGGTCACACTATCAACAACCCATCACTCAGCATTACAGAAGACTGCCTATTTCCTATGAATTTCCTAGAGTGTGGGTAGATCCCCATTTTATCTTATCAGCTATTATTGGCTAAAATTATCATATTTTAGCTATTATCAGCATAATTTTAGCATATTATCAGCTAAAATTTTAAAAAACAGGGCATAGGTTAGGAACCAGGATACAGGCAGTTGTGGGTAGAAATTCTTAACTCATGCATGAGCTCATCTCTGCAACTGCCCACGACGATGACTGAGAATGACACTGAAAATGTGAAGCATAAGTTGGGGGCTGAGCTTGTACACAGAAGAAAAGATTATGACTAATCTCTTAAGGCAGTGGGACCCAAAATAGCTTTGCATGTGGGGATACACAGGCAGATGGAAGAAAGGAACTTTTCTTGGGTATATGTCTAGCAGCTGCAACTGGCAGTCTTGCTTTGGGTCTTCTCTTCATATTTGATGGCATATTCCCAAATGAGAAGTAACACCCAGGGTGTGAGCCACACCACGATGGTACAGCTTCTTGTCCTCATGAGGAACAACCCCAACACTTGGCCATCTATGGAAAAGTCCATAACAGCTGCCGAGATATATCATATTATGAGATCCTCAGACTGGAATGAGCTAAGAATCAGAGGGGAGGTCTTAAGGCCTCTTTGTCTCCTCCTTCCCCAATCTGTTAATTATTCTGCAGTAAGAGGAGGAATAAACAACCTGTGTAAGAACGACACTCCTATCCCCAATAGCACTGGGGAAAGTTATTTATAACAGAATAACTGATTATGAGCTGTCTCTGAAATTTAAACTCAACACCCCCGAGAAAAGAGGTAGGCTATCAGGAGAGAGGAAAGGAGCTCATAGTTAATGCAGGAGGCTCCCAAACTCTGCCTTCCAAACTTGCCACTCAAAATCTTCCTCAAAGGCCAGGAGGCCAGCCCTTATTTATCTTCTTTGTTCTGCTGAGGCAATACAGACATTCAGCACAGCCCGTATAAGAAAACCAGCTATGGATTCTGTAGTATCTGGCTGGCCTGCTCTCCAAAACCATCTTCATATGAGTTACACACTCTCTTCGAAGAGGACAGCAATAGCTCAGTGTCTGAATTCTAACACTCCCAAGGCCTGGATTCCCAGATTTGCAGCCAGTTTTTTGTTTGTTTTGTTAACAAAGCAAATACCCTTGTGGTTTGATTCTTCCATTCCTTTGTTGACGCATATCAAAATCAGATGGAAATGTTCTCATAAAAACTTCAAGGACAAATGAAAAACGAGACCACAAGTGAAACAGCTCAAGAAAAGAGTATGGCCAAATTCTTTTTTTTTTTTTTCTTTTTTCAAGTTGCCAAAGCTTTGCAATTTTATATTGAACCACGTTTCTAAAAACAAGAGTAAAGGCTTTATCTACAGCCTGTCCGAATGTGTTTACCGTGTTCGGGCTCAATGCCACCGCTGTTAGCCTCAACTTCTTCTGACGGTGAGTTCTTCAACGGAAGCCTGAGCACTCTGCCTTGTGCACGATATTCTTCCAGCTCAGACTGGAGTTCATCTACTTGGTCTTGTAGTACCTGGGATTTAAAAACCAACACTGGTCTTAGATGTGACACCAAAAGCATAAGCAACAACAACAACAAAAAAGATAAATTGGATATCATCAAAACAAAATCTTTTGTGCTTCAAAGGACACTATCAAGAAAGTAGAAATGTTTTGCAAATTAAGTATCTGATAAGGGACTTGTAACTAGAATATATAAAGACTATTATAGCTCAATAATAAGACAATTTTAAAAATGGGCAAATGATCTGAATTGATATTTCTCTAATGATGATATACAGATGACTAATACATACATGTAAAAGATATTCAATATCATTACCTATCAGGGAAATACAAATCAAAGCCACAATAAGATACCATTTCACACTTACTAGGGTGGCTAGAATCAAAAAGACATACAATAACGACTGTTGGTGAAGAAGTGGAGCAATTGGAACTATCATACTAGTGGGAATATAAAACAGTGCAACCACTTTGCAAGAAGTTTAGCAGTTCCTAAAACGGTTAAACATAGGGTTACCATACAACCTAGCAATTCTACTCCTAGATATATGCCCATACAAAAACGTGCGCACAAATTTTCATAGCTGCGTTACTCATAATAGCCAAAATCCCCCAAATGTCCCTTAACCGGTGAATTAATAAACAAAATGTGGTATATCTACGCAATGGAATATTATTCAAGAAATGAAGAACTGATACACGCTACAACATGGATGAACTTTAAAAACATTATGTTAAATGAAGGAAGCCGGTCTCAAGGGCTAATATTGTAAGATTCCATTTATATGAAATGTATAGAATATGCAAATCTGTAGAGACACAAAGTACACTAATAATTGCCTAGAGCTAGGGGGCTTGGGAGAGATTATGGCTAAGTGGAGAAGGGGTTTCTTCCTGGGGTGATGAAAATGTTCTAAAATTGAATGCGGTGATGTTTGCACAATTCTGTCAATACAATAAAAGACTGAATTTATACCTTCAATGGGTAAAACATATAGTGTATAAAGCTGTTAAGAAAACAAGTGGATGAGGCTGGGTGGGCAGATCACCTGAGGTCAGGAGTTCAAGACCAGCCTGGCCAACATGGTGAAACCCTGTCTCTACTTAAAAAAAAAAAAAAAAAAAAAAAAAAAAATTAGGCGTTTGGCAGACACCTGCAATCCCAGCTACTCGGGAGGCTGAGGCAGGAGAACTGCTTGAACCCAGGAGGTGGAGGTTGCAGTGAGCTGCGATCACACCACCGTACTCCAGCCTGGGTGACAGAGCTAGATTCCGTCTTAAAAAAAGTAAGAAAGAAAACAAGTGGATGAACTGGGGGAATTTCTGAAGGTAGAGCTGACAGCTTTTACTGATGAATTCATTAAATGTAAAGACATTTAGAAAATACCTCTATTTAATTAGAACCAAGAGCTAAAATTTAATTATAAAAGCAGTAGAAATGTTTTCTTAACCATGTATGTATATTTCCTGAAAAGGAGGGCTGCAAGTAACTTCATAATATGATTGTTTTACTCATCTCTGCACAATTAAACTTTTTATCTAAGTAGCTGGAACTCAGTTATATTTGTCTCATTAAAATAAACACGTGTTTCTGGTTTAAGAAAAAAATTCAAATTCCTAACTTTAGGGGAATTTTTTTAAAATCAAAGATTCTTGTTACTTGTAAAAATGTTTCCATCTCTCCTGGCCGAAATTGGGAATGATTTACTAGCTAAGACTTGAGTGGTTTTCTGTTTCATTTGCATTTTATAAATAAATGGAGTAAAAAATGTATTCAGAAAAAAAAAAACCCACAGGACAAAACCAAATCACGTCAGATTAGATCTGCAATGATCAATCAGGAAAGGCTAATTTTTGAATAATAATGTTAATAGCTAACATTTATGTTTTTTTTTTTTAATTTTATTATACTTTAAGCTTTAGGGTACATGTGCACATTGTGCAGGTTAGTTACATATGTATACATGCGCCATGCTGGTGCGCTGCACCCACTAACTCGTCATCTAGCATCAGGTATATCTCCCGGTGCTATCCCTCTCCCCTCCCCCCACCCCACAACAGTCCCCAGAGTGTAATATTCCCCTTCCTGTGTCCATGTGAATAGCTAACATTTATGTAAGTGCTTACTCTATCCTTGGCTCTGCTCTAAGCACTTTACATATACTCACTGATGGAATTTTTGCTACAACATTTTGTGGTGGGTACTTTTATTTTTACCATTTTATGCATGAGGAATGGAAGTACCCACAGATGAAGTGACTTGCTTAGGGTCACAGAGCTAGGGAACGGGGAAGCTGGGGTCTGAACCCAGGCACTCCTGCACTTACTCAGTTCTCTTTGTCTACCTACCCTGCACTGCCGCTCATATTCATTTCTCATCTGTGTCAGTCTCTCTTCTTGCAGGAAGAACTCAGCACTGCTAGGATCGAGGTCACCAAACTAGAAGGGGAAAAGGGCAAAGCTGTCATTTTTCCCGAGTGCCCTTCTTTGACCCAACACAGCAAAGGCCCAGTTTCTGGTATTCACCCAGTCTCTTGAGTATGATAGGAATGTGACATGTAAGCACGAACAACACCAACTGGGTGATGGGGAGAACGCACTAGAGTGACGTGTTCAATGAACACAGGGATCATTTCTCAGTGCCAGGCAATGTTCTCCTTCATAACCAACTTAGTAAATTATATCCCTACAAAAGTTAGAGCACCATTTAGCTACCCCAGTAATTGCCTAATAAAAATGTTCTGGTGGCATTGCTCCTGTTCTTTTGAGTAAACTACATAAAGTAGGCTGCCTATCAGGAAATGAGATTTGAACAGGTTTACCTTTTCTGCTAACACATTTTCCAAATTTCTCTGAAGTTTGTTTGTCAGATTCTCATATTCTGCCAACTTCTCTGCATTTTCTAGAAGCTCATTTTCCAGACGACTGTTTTCCTGAACAAGTATGGGGAAATTAAATGTGGTACAGATTAAGAAATTAGCAAACTGTGGTACTATTTTATATACAGCATAAATCAGTACCGTAGATTAAAGATGTTTATCTATCTTAAAAGCTGTAGTAGACTACAGGAGGCAAAAGTAAATATAAAAGGTTGATATCTATTTTATAACAACAAAATAAGTTTGCCCTTTTGTTTTTGACCACGTAGAACTGTGCTGTCCAAAACAGGTAGCTGCTAGTAGCCATACTGGGTACTGGGCCCTTGAAGTGTGTCTAGTACAAACTGTAAGTTTAAAATAGACACCAGACTTTGAATAGCCCCAAAATGTAAAATAGCTCAGTAATATTTTTTGTATACTGATAATGTGTCAAAATGATAATGTTTTAGAGATACTGGATTAAACAAGATTATTTGAAATTAGTTTCACCTGTTTCTTTTCACCTTTCAATGTGGCTATTTGCAAACTGAAATTATAATGCAGGCCACGTATGTGTATCTATTGGACAGCATTGCAGTAGAATATGAAAATATTCTCAATACATAATATTGACAAATGAAAGAAAATGATTACAAAATACCTTGTTCAGCTGCCAGCAAAAGAGAACTCAGAAAAAGTATAAAAAGTAGAGTAACTCTAGGCCAGGCATAGTGGCTCACGCCTGTAATCCCAGCACTTTGGGAGGCCAAGGTGGGCGGATCATGAGGTCAGGAGATCGAGACCATCCTGGCGAACACGGTGAAACCCCGTCTCTACTAAAAATACAAAAAATTAGCCAGGTGTGGTGGCGGGCGCCTGTAGTCCCAGCTACTTGGGAGGCTGAGGCGGGAGAATGGTGTGAACCCGGGAGGTGGAGCTTGCAGTGAGCCGAGATGGCGCCACTGCACTCCAGCCTGGGCGACACAGCAAGACTCCATCTCAAAAAAAAAAAAAAAAGTAGAGCAACTCTAAAATCAATTTATTGATATTATGATTTGGTTTATATTTAATTTATAAATTTCTTTTGGTTTAAAGATATAAAAACTGTACATATGAATTGCTCATAATTTGTATATGTTTATATTATAATAACACATCAACTAAAACCCATAAAAGTTTTTTTAAAAGGATCTGTATATATAGTATTTTTAAGAAAGATTTCCAACCACATTTGCCAACACACACACACACACACACACACACACACACACACACACACACACAGACGTGCCATTTGACATTTTTCTTTTCCAGTGTTAAAGGCTGATTGGAAGAACATCATTTTCTAAGAACATTTTGCCAAAAGAATACAGAGCCAGTATATTTTTAGTATATTCTAGTTCACACCCTCATACAGCAATATAAGTAAAAAAAAAATGTACTTAGAGCATTTAAAAAATACTACCTTCCCCTAAAATGCCAATTCTGTAACATTAATCTTTCAAAGTACACCTAAATGTAGAGCCTAGAACAACATAGAGTAATCTCTGTGTATCAGGCAGTGCTGGTGCTCTGGAAATTGACAAATCAGATACTGTTGTTATCTTGGGAGGGAGGCAGATGTGGATACAACTCTATATGACCCAGTAGGAAATGTGCTATCTCTTGGCAAGAAAAAAGTAAATGTAATGGGAATGAAAAAGTAATTTGGCCTGCAGTGTTGGGGAAAGCAGTGAAGGGGCATAAATGTGCTCTGCCCTCTGAGGCACGGGGAGAGCTGGGGTAGGTGCAGTGGGGTGGGGGAGGGCATGGCACTGGGACTTGGTGGCAGCAGCTCAAGTTTGAAAGGTATGAGGACGAGCTCCTTTTCAAGAGCCTTGACTGCTAACACATTGTTTTTGTTGTTTTTTTGCAAAGGGTGGTAACAGCATGATTGTAACGGATATTTAGCTAAGTAACTGGTAGCCATATGGAGGTGGAAGAGATGGAAGAAAGAACTGTTCAGGATACACATTAATTAGCTGAGACATCATGATGAATTCTGAACCTAATCAGAGGCTGGGGAAATGCAGAGGAAGGAGATAAATCTGAGAGTCACTTTGGAGCATCAACATAACTTACAGGCTGATGAGTAATCATGAGGGAAGATGACGAGGAATTTTAGCTTCTGAGACTTACACCTCATGGTGTTGATGTTGATTGGGGAGAAATTCACGAAATGAAACAGTTAGATGGCTAGGGAGTAATAATTACCTCAGTTTTTGATGTGTGGAGTATCAAGAACCTTTTGCGATAGCAATAACAGCAAACATTTCACATGTACTTATTGTTTTCCAGACACTGTATGTGCCTCATCTCATTTAGCCCACACATCAGTGCTATAGGGTAGGTATTATTATGGTGCCCATTTTTAACATTAGGAAACAGGCTGAGGAACCTGATCAAAGTTTTCAGTAAGTGGTGGTACCCAGATCTAAACCAGGCAGCCTGACTCCAGAGCCCTTGCACCTTATTATATGGTGTAAGAGTCCAGCAAAGAGAAGGACCACTTCTTTCACTGAGACACAGGAAAGAGGGGAGGATGTTTGAGAGGCAAGGCACATTTGGAGGCCGAGGTGGGAGGATCACTTGAGGCCAGGGTTTGATACCAGCCTAGGCATCATAATGAGACCCCGTTTCTACCATTTTTTTTTTCTTTTAGATCCAGAGTCTTGCTCTGTCGCCTAGGCTGGAGTCCAGTGGCACAATCTCTGCTCACTGCAACTTCCTCTGCCTCCCAGGTTCAAGCAATTCTCCTGCCTCAGCCTCCTGCGTAGCTGGGATTATAGGCACACACCACCACACCCTGCTAATTTTTTGTATTTTTAGTAGAGACAGGGTTTCACGATGTTGGCCAGGCTGGTCTCGAATTCCTGACCTCAAGTGATATGCCTGCCTCGGCCTCTGAAAGTGCTGGGATTACAAAACACATTTTTTAATTAGCTGAGCATAATAACATGAGCCTATAGTCCCAGCTACTTGGCAGGCCGAGGCTGGAGGATCACTTGGGGCCAGGAGTTTGAGGCTGTGGTAAGTTATAACTGCACCGCTGCGCTCCAGTCTGGGTGACAGAGTGAGACCCCATCTCAAAAAAAAAAAAAAAGAAAAGGCACATTTGGAGGCCGGGAGAAACAGGCATCCATGTAGCAGGAGGCAAGACCATCTGCTGAGAATGAGGGGGGCGGGCAGGCGAGAAGATGGGGATCTGAGGGTGAGGGCCAGGTTTGGAGTAGCAGCGGGAGGAATCAAGGGGTCAGCCAGGTGCCAAACAGCCCTGAAGACCTAGTGAACCCGCAGTGGGAGAGAAGAACAAGAGATGCTAATCAATACTGTGAGCAAAGCAGGAGCCTGGGTAGCCCTGCTGAAATCCAGATTTTAGCAGGGCCCTGCCAAGTCTGGGTGAAGACCCAGCTGGGCAAACTTGGAGGATTTTTGGACTGAACCCTGTGCAAACATGCCCACTTCCAAAGCTGTAGTTTTCCACGTGGTGTTCCCGGCAGGGACGCAGACCACAGAACTAATAAGATGATTACCTTTAAAGAGAGGGCAAGGCGGTCCCGGATATAGTTCTCTTCTGTTTTTGCCTTTTCAATTTCCTGTTCAAGTTCTAAACGCTGCTTGCCTGCCTGCTGCAGGATCTGCTCTCTCTCTTTTCGGAGTTCATTTTTTAAGGCTGCTATTCGCTCCTTGTACTCTTCATCCAGTTTCCTGTAACGAAGAAAAATGGACAAGCTGCCATCACGTCTTTCAGAGGTCCCAGTATCAATCTACCAAAAATGGAAACACAGAGGCACAGAGATGAAAAGCACCTGGATAAAATATCTAGTGTACCCTGCTTTCCCTTAGGGCTTGACCACATCTGAGTCACTCCAGCAAGGTGTGGCCAACAGGCTGACCAGAAGAGTCCCCAGTGCACTGTTCTGCCCCTGCAGCTGCAGGCGCCACTGCCCTGGGCCAGGGTGGTGGGTGAGGAGGAGCCTCACTCTGCTGGCCTCACCTGAGGTTGTACTCATTCCGCCGCTCTATGGCCGCATGGTGATCATCCACCTCCGAGGCCATTAAAGACTTGAGCTTCTCGGCCTTGTCCAGATCTGACCGTAGCTTCTCTTTTTCTCTGACCACCTGATCAACTCGTTCCCTAGGATCAGAAGTACACTGAGTTAATGGGAAACTGTTTCTAAGCAACAAGTAGACCCAGAAAAGCTCTCATCTGGCTTGCATCAATACAGAAGCAAAACCAAGACAACCAAAACCCTCCCAAAGCAAAAAGGCACTCCACCCTTCCCTTCAAAAGCCTACATGTCAATCTAAGTTCTCCTTAATTTTCCTATACTTTAAGGAAGATGTGTGCAGCAGTTGGATAGAAGATGAGCAACATTTGCATACAGAATAGAAGGATGTCCATCCAAGGCATCCGAATGACTTGCTGGACAAGTAGGAAAGGGAATGGGGCAGGCGAACCTTCTGCTCAACTCACAACAAATGCCGGATTTCAGCCTTAAAGCTGGCCAGAGCCGCCTGGTGAATGCTGTTCTTGGTAACCAAAAGTTCATTTTCAAGGGCCAGTGTTAATTCTGTCAAATTGATGTTTCCATCGAGGCTGAAATCCAAGGCCTAGAAATCAGAGCAAGGCGTAAATTCAAAAACAAATCACTCATTCCATCCTCTGAAAGCAGAAAATGTGAAGGCTATACAAACTCTGAGAGCTGACAATGATCTAGCAATTAGACAATTCCATTGCTTTGGTGATTGCTTAGGAACAGCCATCAGTCTAGAACACAGTTAAGTTTTCTCTAAGGAAAGCATAACATGGTTATTTGTGTTAAAAAGAAAAAAAAAAAATTATCTTGGCCAGGTGCAGTGGCTCACGCCCGTAATCCCAGCACTTTGGGAGGCCGAGGCATGCGGATCATTTGAGGTCAGGAGCTCAAGACCATCCTGGCCAACACGGTGAAACCCTGTCTCTACTAAAAATACAAAAATAGCCGGGCATGGTGGTGTGCGCCTGTAGTCCCAGCTACTTGGGAGGCAGAGGCAGGAGAATCTCTTGAACCCCAGGAGGCGGAGGTTGCAGTGAGCCGAGATCACACCGTTATACTCCAGTCCAGGTGATAAAACGAGACTCCGTCTCAAAAAAAAAACAAACAACAAAAAACAAAAAAAAAACACAACAACAACAACAACAACACTATCTGGCCCTGTAAATAAACACAATTGTAAGAGTATTTCTCATGTCAATAATCTGGGGGTTAAAAACACGGAAAGTACTTAACAAAAGGCTCCTGGTTAAAAGGGCTAAAAAAAAAGTTACCTTTTATCTTTGAGACTTTGTGAACAGAAGTACCATTAAGAAGAAAGAAAATCAAATCACAGTTTCCAAAAAATAAAATTGAAAATTTTCAACCCTTCTCCAGTTTGTCATTTTTCTCAATTTTAGCTGCCACACCTTCAGGATCTCCTGGCTGTTCTCAATGCCCTCTTCCTGCCAGGTGTCCAGTATTCTCTCCACAGATGCATGGCCCATCCCATCATCCAGGCAGGAGAAGACCCGAAAGCCAATGGTACTTGTCATTGCTGATGAGGTTGTGGTACGTCGTCCACTCTCATCGAAAGACTGGAAGGAGGAAGAGACTTGAGTAAGCCTAGCTTGATTCCAGGCATTTCAACAAGATATTGGTCAGCCCTGACCACGATGGGTAGAAGGCATGTTTCTCTAATATACAGTGCCAGGAAAAAAGTCATGCAGCCTCTCTGATCTCTGTTCCCAACTGAGTCAAGCCTACGGAGCTTATCAAAACCAACTGTTTTGGTAGAGAGTTCTATGACATAGACGAGATATGTCCCTAATTAACACCAGGTTTCTTCTGACCCAGAGCTGACATGACAAGGCATAATTAGTGGTCTTTCCACTGTAATTTACGGTCATTTCTCAAACCCAACCTTTCCTTCCTAATGGTTAAGTCTTTCTAATTCTTCTTTTGCTTCCCTCTCTTTCCTTAGTATTTTGCTTCAGACAACAGATTAATTTATTAGACATTACTTAAATGGGTTCTAACTTTTATTCACAAAGAAAGCACTTCTGCTTATTTTTTACCTGCATGGAAAGGTGCCTTTTTAGTTGTCTATATGGAGTAGATGCTGATGGTGTAAGAGATTTTCCATTTTTAAACAAACCATAGAAAAAATCTTCTACACTCATTGTACCGTCAGGATCAAGATTATGGAATACTTCCTCGAGCATCTAGAAAAGAGTCATCACATATTTTAAATACTCCATTCAAGTATACAAGGCCCAAAGTATACTTCCGGCCAGTAGTAATCAGTACCATGGTTGGTCCCAGGACTCCAGAAATATAATTATGCCCCTTTATTCTCACTTTACTGGTTTCCCTTTCCAGTAATGATATGCCCTCCTCCTTCCCACAAACTAAATAAAAGTCAATTTCCAACATCTTCATAATCTTATGCAATTTAGCAATTAACTATATTCTCTTTTACTCACACTCCTACAATAGGCAGTCTTTAATGTTGTTACACATTATTCTTACAAATTTTAAAAAATACCTAAATAATATAAAGATACAAGCTTCCCAGTGTCATAACAGTAGAAAGTGGTTGGACATCTGTTACACTTTTATACTGTGGTGACCCTCAGTGATATTTTCTTTATGTTGAATTTTTGAAATTGGTAGGCTAGCACAGCAGAATTTGGTCTGGGACAGATTACAATGATCTGATTACAATTAAGATTTGGAATCTGAAATCCATAACTTGGGGTTTAGAACCTTACTTGTAACAATACTGAGTGTGTTGGCTTTTTGCTTTAATGTTTTAGCACAGGAAAAACAAAGACTTTATGTGTGTGCAATAGAAGGGTTCCAAGACATGTAAAGGCAAGGGAGTTTTGACTGGCTAGTCCGCACCCTCTGATGGTAATCAAATAGCCCCTATCCTGTAATAGGGAAGGGGAGATTGGGCTACAGCCCCATCTAGAGGCTTGCCTGGGAATGGCTGGTTCCCTAGCTCCACAGAGGAATGGGAAGGTGAATAGAGCAACGTGGATCATTGAAGCCACAGAACGAGGAGGAAAGGCAAAGCCCTCCCACTAGCAGTCAGATTCCTCTTTATTCTGGGGTTAAAATGTTTCTATAGGAACATGCCTCCAATGTACAAAATGGAAATCTCTTGGAGAGCTTGTTAAAATGAAGACTCTAATATGGTAAGTCTGGTGGTGTGGGGATTCAGATTTCGGCATTTCTAACAAGCTCCCAGTTAAGGCCCATGCCACTGAGCAGTAAGGAGACAGAATAAGCAACAAATTGCTCTTGTTGCATTTGAGCCTACAACTGGACTCATTCTAACACAGGCCTAAATTCTCTGCAACACATTCTCAAGCTTCTAATATTCCTTTTGTAAATCTGGACTACTGCTAGGATTTATACGATCTCACTATTGTTGATTTCATTCTTCATGTAAGGGCTTGAGGCAATTCTCTCATCTCAAATGCTTTTTTTTCCCCAATTCATACCCAACAGGAAACATTAGTTTCCATTCTTGCTTTCATACGACTTCCTCTGGAGGGAACTCTGAAACAAGAAAACCATTCTAAAGAGTGGAAACGTTTGCAAGAAGCAACAATTCCTAAAAGAGGATCAAATCAATGGAAAGATATTTGGGGCAAGATTCTGAGGTTGCCAAGATCCCTTAACTTTTCTATCCTGTTCTTATCAACCAAAATAATATTTTCCTGGAGGACAAGGCTTTCAGGACCTTTGTACCAGAAATTACTGTCAAGTCCAGGTGTGTTGACTGAAGTTAACAAGGTTAAAAGTTTGGCTCTAACATTAGATCCACACTGCTTGACCTTGTGACATTAGCCAAATCAGTGCACAGCTTCCAGACTGCCTAAAGACCTCGCACCTGGAAAGTCCTTCCAGTTATTTTAGATGGTGGAGTGGGCAAGTGATGAATAGAAGAGTGTGGATTCAGAAGACGGGGCCGGGGCTAGGCAGAAAACAATGCCGGTTAAATGGCCAACTGGGGCACGCTCTACACTTTGAGCAGGAGCTGTCTCTGGAACTGTGAGGACATTCTTATTCTTACATGGACCAGGTCTTTGGATAGCTGGTTTGCTGAAGTGTAAGTTGGAAAATAATCACAAACCCAAACACTCAAAGAGGCCCGGAAGATGATGTCAACGAATGAGGCAAGATGGGTTTAAGACATCAGAAAGTAGCGAGTGCTGGGAAACTGAACACAGGAGTGCATGTCCTCTCCAAAGGGGCTGGCTGCATCTTACTGCCCATAAAATGGAGCCAAATCTTTGGAGTTTTAGAAAAATCTCCTGATTTTTTTTTTCAATGTAGCAAAAAGTTCAATTTTAAAAACACTGGGCATGACAAGTAAAATAGGCTTGGGGCCAGATTCGGCATCGGGCATGCTGGTTTGCATCTCTGCCCTGTCATTGTTCTTGCTTTCGGAAAGGAGTGTGCTAGTTACAGGCATAAGACAGTGACTCTAGTTCCCCTTCATGAAAGCAGGGAACAGCCACGATTTCACTCTCTCTACCTATAAAATGAGAGGTGACTAAATCTAAAATGGCGTTCAGTTGTAAAATTTTAGGATTCCAAGTAAATGAGATCATCTTGAACTTCCAGCTCCTCTGTGGTTTAGAGCTAGTAATACTAAGTACTATAGAATTTCACTATTTTTCTTTAGCAGGAAAAACACTAAGTAAAAGTTATATTCTATGAGCAATCCTCTACTTGTCCTCAGGCCAGAGGAAAATAACTAAATGTGCTACTTCTTTTCCTGAGCTTTGGAAACCACCACAGAAGAACATGCAGCTCTCCACAAGTAGCTACAGTTTATTCCAAGAATTGGTTTTAGATAAATAATCCAAGTTTGTGCAATATTTTTTGGCAAAAACAACCCAAGGTTCTACATATTGCACTGATTTACAATTCAGGAGAATAAATTTAATTTTATGACTTAATAGTCACCAATGAAAAATAAATTACCACTGAGCCATTACAAAGGTAAACAAAGGGTATATAATGGTCAAAAATACAGGAAAGAAGGGGAAAACAACAAAAAAAATTTTCTGTAAGCTAGGCTACTTGAAAGCTTTTGAAAATAAATCAAAAGCTATTATTTGTTTAGAAAAATACCACTAAACAAATATTTCTATTATCTGTTTAGAAAAATAATACCACTTATCCCCCGAGCAAGCAGAAAGCATGGTTTCAAATATCATTATAATCAAAGATTCCCAAAGCGACAACTGTAGCCCTACCCTAACTCTCTCCAATCCTTATTTTCAGCTCGTTGAAAGGCACATCTTAGAATTATTTCTATTCTTATGTTTCACAGCTATTCATGCACCCAGTCCTACCAGTTCCTCCCTTAATTTTTTAGAAAACATAAAGCTCAGAGTTTTACCAAAGAAGAGTCTTTTGGGGGCTCCTTCAAAACTCTTCTTAGTATTTTCAAAACAACCAAACTACCCTTTACCATTTTCTCATGACCAGAATATTGTAATGGCTGCTGGCTGCTCTCACCCAAGGCTCTCTTCATGCTAATATGTAAAAGCAGTTTAGCTCCTCGTCAGCAAGCAAGATTTTTCTATATATTGCTCAATCTGCTTAAGAACTCAGAGATGATATTGAGATGTTCTTTCCAAAAACTTAAATTTATCCTTCTGGTCTTCAAAATACTCCCCCAACTCAAATCTACTGAAATCCTTGCTTAATTCTGCCTCCACATGTTTCCCACAATTTACTCTGTGAATGGCACCTCTACAAATACATCTGACATCATGGCTACAGAGAGCTAGTGCCTGACAGTTTCACATGGGGTAACCTGCCTAGCACAGTGAGCTTACAATAGCTGGGTAAGTGTCAGCTCTTGTCAGTTTTTCTTTTTCACAACACAACAAGAGCTCCTCAGTGACAGAATCTTCATGAATGACTTCTTAGGAAAAAAGAAAATGGAGCCTAACAAGCTGCAGAGAGCCACACTACAGCTGTTCCTAGCATGTGGTCAACTACACTTTTACCATCATTATCATTCCTGAATTATACTGCGAGGCTTACCTCTCCATCCACATTCTGTAAACCATACTGCTCACAGATGGAGACCAGCTTCTTCCGGTTCAGGTGACCATCACGGGTGATCCCCAAATCTTCACAAACTTCTTGCAGTTTCTCTTCTATCCAGTCTTGGGGAGGGGAAGATCCACTCTGTGAAGCATTCAAGTCATCTGGGTTCCAAAACCTTAACTGGCCTGAGAGAGAAGCATATGTTGCACGGTTTCCAAAGGAATTGCAAAGAGAGAGTGCCTATTCTTAAAGAAAACTGTGCTTTTTGAAAATAAATACTGTAAGAAAAAGGCAATAAATGTCAATTCCATTTTGATTTGGTCCTGAAGCTCCCATGAAACAGAATCAATGGTTCTAAGGCTGCAACTAGAGTAAATGGGTACTTTTTGGCTCCCTGACAGTCATACCGGTGTAATAAATATAATCTCCTGTGCAATACTGCAAAGTTCTAGGCTTGTTTTATTTCAGCTGAGCACATCACAAGCTTAGGCTATAGTGATCATAGAGAAAGAAGGCTGGTTGAGGGCCATTATCGAGAACTCTGTAAGCTCTATCTCAACTATAGCTACCAGAATGTATTACCTCCACTTTCTTTCCAGCCTAAGTACTACAGCATCTTTTACTGAAAAGAAAATAATTTCATGATAAAAGTCTCAACATTAGCCTGTTCCCAAATCCTTACATATGAATATTCTGACATACAGAAACCAACAGTCCAACTGAAATTAAAAAAAAAAAATCAATGGTTGCAAGCTATAAGTTCCCAGTTATCTATACATTAAATTTCATTTGAAGACTTAAGGATCAAACTACTTATTTAAAAATCAAAACTTCTTATTTATTCTCTATTAAAAGCCCTCACTTCTAAATTTTGCTTTACACATTAGAGATTCTGTAAAGTCATTACTTAAACATGAGATAATTACTGGCACAATTTTGTGTGCTTGGAAGAACCTCAGAGGGTTGAAAGCAGTATTTAGTGCTACTCCCACTCTTTAGTGACAGGAATTAAGCCCATTACTGCTGTGGCGTTTCAACCTAGAGAACAGGTTGTAATTACACTTAAGTACAGTTAATCCACAGAGGGCTGTGAAGTGGGCTGAGGTTCTGTTAGCTGAACCACAGTGCCATCTGGTGGCCAGAGGATCAACGTGTTCTGATGCTTCTTAAATACATTTGAAACTTGTCAAGGGATGCATTTTTAAATTAATTAATTAATTTATATTGTTATTTTTATTTTTTGAGACAGAGTCTCTTCTGTTATCCAAGCAGGAGTGCAGTGGCACAATCACGGCTCACTACAGCCTCCAACTCTCGGGCTTAATGGATTCTCCCACCTCAGCCTTCTGAGTAGCTGGGACGACAGGCATGTGCTACCACACCTGGCTATTTTTAGTAGAGACGGGGTATGCCATGTTGCCCAGGCTGGTCATGAACTACTGCGTTCCAGTAATCCTCCTGCCTTGGCCTCCCAAAGTGCTGGGATTACAGGCGTGAGCCACTGTACCTGGCCAAGGGATGCACTTTAATAGGTCACTATTTAAGACTGTTAGAAAATTAATCTGAAAGTCTGTATAAGAGAGAAATTAGCCCGTAAGTAAAATTATATATCTTAGTTACCATCTCTTGCATGATACTAAATGCTAGGATTTTAAAACTAAAAGCTATCAATTGGGAATAAATTTTTTGTTGCTGTTGTTCTTAATGTTAATTCCCCTGGCCTGCAGCATAAGAGATCAGAAAGACCGGGTGTGGAGAGCACCCGGCGGCCCTTCCCTTCCAGGCACGTCCTGACACACTCGGCTCTTACCTTCCGCTTCATACTCCTCACTGCGTTGCGTCTTCCAGTGCTAGAGAAGGCAAGAGAAGATTAGTGTGCTTTAGAACTTATTCAGAAAGAACTATCCTAGCTTTTCCTAGAGCAGATCACTCTCTGGCTCTGAAATCATCATCTAAGTGAGTCACATAATTTCAGGACTCTCTAGTGTATCCATCTAGATGAGTTCTCTTCAGTTAACCAGCCAATCAGGACGAGACTCCTAAGAAACACCACACAGCCTTCTGCAGCATTTCACCAAGGATTTGTCCTCATTTGCTAGGTCACTTATTCAACAGCAAAACCTATCACAACCAATTAAACCCAGCCAAAGCAAATATCCAGTATCCATCAACCAACAAGTATCTGTACACATGCATTTATGAATTTATTCTTCAATAAATGTGTACTGAGTGCTTCTCTTTGTGCTAGGTACTGTGCTAGGTCTTGGTAATACAACCATGAACAACCATGAACAGGACAAACATATTTCCTGCCCCAAGAAGTTTATATGCTAATGAAGACATGCAGACAAGAAAACAGGAAATACAACAGGGTAGTATTTTAAGTGCTATGACAAGGAAGTTCAGGATGCTATGTTGCTATGCAGATGGGATACTTTAGACTTGTTAGATCGGGAAGAAGCAATGTCTAAACTGAGACCTGAAGGATAAACTGCAGAGAGCCAAATGAAAAGAAGGGGGCAGGCTGGGCACAGTGGCTTGCGCCTGTAATCCCAGCACTTTGGGAGGCCGAGGTGGGCGGATCACGAGGTCAGGAGATCGAGACCATCCTGGCCAACACAATGAAACCCCATCTCTACCAAAAATACAAAAAATTAGCCAGGCGAGGTGGCGGGTGCCTGTAGTCCCAGCTACTCGGGAGGCTGAGGCAGGAGAATGGCGTGAACCCGGGAGGCGGAGCTTGCAGTAAGCCGAGATCGCGCCACTGCACTCCAGCCTGGGCAACAGAGCGAGACTCCGTCTCAAAAAAAAAAAAAGAAAAGAAAAGAAGGGGGGCAGTTGTTATCTGCTGAAGCAAGGAGGCAAGAATGAGCCTAGTGTATCTGTGGCATAGTGAGGAGAGAGATGCAACTTAAAATAAGTAGGCTAGAGAAAGTATAAAATGTACATTACCAGTAAATTACATTAAAGGCAGTTCAATTTATCTGAATTGGACCATTTTGCCACCTTATCAGGCTTCATTACTCCTGCCTCTTCTCCAAAGTCACAGCATACAGTTGTAATTTGTGTACTGCATAAAAGTGCCCCGCTAAGAGCACAGGTCAGGACCGAAATCCAGCCCTTGCTCCACTGCCCGGGGATAGTACAGGTCGTCTTTTGACCAGTTGCAACAAGTAGGTCCACAGTGGCTGTGGCTTCCAGCAAATGGCTTTAGCCTCTCCAGCAAACTGCCTAAAACTAATCACTGTTATGGGGGGTTACTACAACCATCAAAGAAAACCCTGTTAGAAAAGGTGAATCGCCCTTTCCAAACGGGGCTGCTGTCATAGCAGTGATCCAGCTTTATGAATGAAGCTGCCTTTGATAACAAATAACCAGCACGTTTTCTGGGTAGCTGACCTGTACAAGACTAGTTGATTGCTTAGAATCCGAAAATAAACTCGACAGGAAAGTCAGCCTAATTAATACCTGTCTCTAGAACTTGGATTCCTCATGACAGATGGTATGGCACGTAAAATTTTTAGATGAAATGTTGTTTTTCAGTAGTTCATTCAAGTTAATACGAGTTGAAGTTCTTCTTTCAGGCAACCTACGCTCATCTACTTTATTCTCCACACTCACTAGTGGTAGTTCTCACCTCTTAAATGAGGGCCAACCACCTACCACAGTTTCACAGGTCCATGTTAGATATTTAAGATAGTATCAATTCAGAGAGTTCATTTAATTTGGCCATACCAAGCTGACAATGCTGAGATGGGTTGTTGCTGACAAATGGAAGACACCAAAAGGCCATAACTCAAAATGTTTAAGTTCACTACAATTCATGCAGATTACAATGGAAAGTCACTAATAAACATGGCATCAATGAAAAGTGAATTAGGACGTGTGATTTTTGCTTGTGATAACAATTTCATCAGCTCACTCAGCCTACATTTCTACATAAAGACGTCTCTCCAATCTAGTGGATGTCTGAGGCATGGTGGGGATGGGGAGCAAGTGGTAAAGTCAACAGTCCTTCATAAATTTTCTTACATTCTCATTTCTGGTCAGAATTGTTTTCACATAAGAAATTTTAAATCAACAAAACCATCCTGCCTGTCTGTCCCTCCACATTTATTTTCCTGTTCAACAGAGCAGACAATTTAAATGCTCATACTACTTCGGCATCCAAAATTATGAAAATTCATTATTTAGCATACCAGTTGGAAACACCCCAGAACTAAATCCACTAATTCCACCTATGACAAATAAAATAGGGTTTTATGGTCTCAGAACCATTGGTAGAAACCTACCAAATCTCAAGCAGGGGATGATTTCTAACAGCAGAAATGAATGGGAGAAATGGCAGGAGAATATGTTATCACTGGCCCCAAACCATAAAGAGAGTCCCAGTTGGAATATACAGCTGTAAAAATGCAACACACACACCTTCAAAAAATCCTCGTCATTACTAAAGCACTGGCTCATTTACTTCTCAGTTCATTTGAAAATAGTGAGCACAGAATTCAAAGAAGCAAGATGCTCCAATATACTGTTTCCAACATCTTATGAGTCTATGAGACTGGGTGCCTATGTCTGATTCACTCTCTGGGACAGTACTTCCCTGCTGCCTTCTTCCCTGGATTCTTACTCCTAACTAATAAAGGATCGAGTATGGAGGCCACTGCATAGACTTAGGAGGCAGAGTGCCTGGTGCTGAATCATGGCTTCCCTACCAGGTTGGCCTTAGGCAAGCTTCTGACGACTTCTGCCTCAGGTTCTCTGCCTATAAAATGGGAACAAGGTAGTGCATATTTCATGGAGTTATGGTAAAGTGCTTAGAATTGTGCCTGGCACATAGTAAGCTCTACACAATTTTGTTATTTTTATTGGACATATGTTTACATGATACATGTGGAATTTATTTTAATTTCCATATTTAAACTTAAAGCATTCAATTGGGTAGACCTGGGGAGGTATCTGTTATGGATATACATTTGTAAGAAAAATGCCAAGTCTTCCCAGCAGAGAAGGAAGAAACACAGACAATTCACATAAGAAGCAACATAATTAAAAAAAAAAAACCAAAAACAAAAAAACATGGGGGAAGGTTCATCTCAACAGCAATCAAAGAAGGATTAAAACCAAGAAGTCATTTTGTTCCTATTAAATTAGCAAAGTATTTAAGATATAACTTCTACTACCATCAAGGTTATGATTTAAAATAGGCCCGTTTATATGTTATGGGTAGCACTGTAAATGATTATTACTTTTAGTAATGTAAATGGCTTTATGTATCAAAAGCAATAAAAATGTTCATACTTTTTGATCCAATAATTTCACTTGGTATTCAAAGACAATAAAATCAAGGAGGAAGAAAAGCCATATGTGTAAATATGTACATGATAGCACTTTTTGCAACAAGAAAGTATTGAAAACAATTTAAATATTCAACAATCGAGCATAAAGTATAATGATACATTATAATGCAGTCATTAAAAGTATAATTAAAAAACCATGTAGGAACGTGGAAAAACATCTTATGAAATGTTAAATGAAAGACCATTACAAAAATGCTATCTATCCTATGATTACCACCAGCAAAAATATTTATACAATTAGACAAAGGCTGGAAGGAAATAGAGATAATAAAAACAGATGCATATTGGTTGAAGGACTATGGGAAACAATTTTCTTTTATTATTTTACTGTTATAAATGTTGTTTATGCAACAGAAATAGGTACAACTCTCACTATTTATTTGCCCACTAAATTCTCACTAAATTTATTTCCTGTGACTTGGGGGTGGGATAAAGGGAAGCTCCCTCCTTTTGGTAAATATTGCTCTGCAGCATCTCCCCCATATTATGACAGATGAGGCGGTTTGGTGGGAAGCCCAGGTGCTGCTCAGGCTGGTGAATGTTGGATGCCAATGCCTCCTAAAGTGGCAAGATCAGAGACACTCGACTGAGATCTGCCTTGTGGACTGAGACCATCTCAAACAGACATTCTTGAGACAGTCCAACCCAAAAGCGTCGTCAGATACGGCACAGCCTTCGAAAGCCCAGGCAGCATCCTCATCTTCGATGATTTCACACAAAATCTTAAGGCAAGTGGGGGTGGGGGTTAGGGGAGAAGGATAGTTTAAACATGGTTTTTGTTTGTTTCTACTTTTAAGACGGAGTCTCACTCTGTTCTGCAGCCTCAACCTCCCACGCTCAGGTGATCCTCCGGCCCTCCCCGCTGACCCACCTACAGATGCCTGCTACCACGCCCGGCTCATTTTTGTATTTTTTTTTTTTTGTAGAGATGGGGTTTTGCCATGTTGCCCAGGCTGGTCTCAAATTCCTGGGCTCAAGTGATCCACCCACCTCGGCCTCCCAAAGTGTTGGGATTACAAGTGTTAGCCACTGCACCCAGCCAGTTTAAACATGTTTTAAAGTCTTCTGGGAGTAGCAGTATCCCAAGAATTCCCCCTAGGACCCTTTGTAAGAAACACAGATCCAGCCAGGACCACCCTGTTAAAAGGAGAAGCAGGCTTATGCTAATGGCTACATTTTCATTCCAAGACCACCTCAGTTAGAGATGGGGCTTACCACACAGATAGGAGGTATTCTGTGCTTCCTTCTACCTAGTCTCCACCAAGGTTCTGTTCCCTTAATAAGAGGGAGAAAAGCACAGGGTGGCTGAGCATTTGTTATTAAATTGCTATTTCAGGGGGGTGGGTGGGGGAAGATTCAATTCATTCACAGCTCATTTATTTTCATTCTCACTGCCTGGAGCCAGTAGTTCCAATTAAAAAGCAGGGAGAGAAGGAGGGGAAGGCAGGTTAGAAGGCTAGGGGGATTAAATCATTCAGTTACTGGAACGCCACCAGTAAAGGGAGGCATCATTCTGGAAAAGGGTCCTTTAATTGCTGATGACTTACCCAGCACAGTGGAAGCCTGGCAGGTGGCCTGTAGACACAGATCTGCCATGAGCACTAGAAGGACGATTATCACAAAAATCTTTGGAAAAGTAGGGGGGAAAGCGAGGAACAATGGCTGAGATGTGTTCACAAGACTGAATTCATGAGATAAGATTTATTTCTTCCCTTGAAATATACGTAACCTCTCATTGGAGAAAGAATGGATATTAATAAACATAAAACTCATCCTGTGGGACTTCAGATTCTCCCTACTCTGGAGGCACAGTTGTAGACAGATAACTGTAGAACACTGTCTGGGTTGTTTGGCTCTGCCACTTTCTGTGACCCCTCAGTACCTTACAACGTGAGGAGGACACTCCAGTGCACCCAAAGGGACATGGAGTCATATGCTTGGCACTTAGGAAACCTTAGCTATTGTTATTATTTCAGTCAGAAAAATGATGTGGTTAGGGGTTTAGACTGCAGAACCATACTCGAGTTCAATTTCCGCTCTACTACTTACTCGTGGTGTGACCTTGGCCAAGTTACTTACCCTCTGTGTGCCTCAGTTTCCTCATGAGTACATGAATAACAACACGTACCTCTGATGGTGTGCTTCACATTTGGAAAGCACTTACAACAGTGCCCATTAAGTGCCAAGCATTTGTTAATAAATATTACAATGACTATTCTTACTACTTGGATGTGTAAAACTAGAACAAGGGCAGAAAAAACAGCAGACAGACTAGTGCCAGCTTTAAAGAACAAACCCAGAAGAGACTCTCTTTAAAATCTACAGCCTTGATATGTTAATTGGCTTGATTTAGTTATTTCACAATGTATCCATATATCAAAACATCATGTTGTACACTGTAAACGTACATAACTTTTGTAATTATACCTTAATAAAGCTAAGGAAATCCCCAGAACTACAGCTATGAGCATGATGATTGTGATGAAGCAGTGAACTTCCAATTCAACTTAGGATCAGGGCTTCCCCTGGGGCCCCTCCCTGCAGACAGTGTCCCCTAGGCAGCCACGGCTCGCAGAGGCTGCCTTGTCCTTCCTCATTACTATGCCAGTGTACTGGCCAACAGCCCCATTGAGAGTAGGCAGAGGGGAGAAGGTCAGAGGTTGTCCGGCCCCAAAATGGCTGCTCACAAGACAGTCCCCAACCCCTCAGGCAGACAAAAGGAGTCCCCCCAAACCCACTCTGTGGGCCGTGCATCTCAATGTCATGCTGGCCATTGTAGCCAGCTCTTGAGTTGTCCTACAGCTGGACAAGGGTGCCCTGCACACAGCGGCTGCACAGGCGGCACCGATTTCTGGAATGCTTTCTTTGGAGGGACACCTGCTTTGCTGGACTGCAGAGCAGATGGCCAGAGCCTCCTGGATCTCCAGCTTCCAGCCCCAACGCCGGGCCAGCATCTGCAGCCTGTGGTCCTGGTGTGGCCCCTGCCCACAATAGCCCAGCCGCCACCCCCACCAGCCATCTGCTCCAGCGCAGACCTTTGCGCCCCGCAGAATGTACGGCTAATTAAAACCATTATGGGGGCAGACACCGGGGCATTCTTACCCAGCAGAGGTTGCTGAGCTGATCTCAGCAGCCTCAGAGCCTGGAGTAGAGTTGTGGTTTTTTGTTTTTGTTTTTGTTTTTTGGAAAGGAAAAAGCCCTGTAAACCCAGAGAGAAGAGGAAGGAAATGTACTAGAGTAACATAGCTCCCCAAACAAACTGAGCTGTAGTGTGCATTTAGAAGAGCAGCACATGTAGCTAAGCACAGGAAGTCTCTGAAAACACCAGAAATCAGTTTAAGGAGAGTGCTCATGAAAGAAACTTTAAGACTTTTAAAAAATACAGCATCTATGGCGTATTTCACTAACAGTCCTAAGTATTTATAAAGCCTGTGCTCTGAGCTGGGTAGTGGAAGCTGAGTGCGCCCGGCAGGGCTGGCTATTGTTTCTGCAGGGACACACTTCCTGGGACTGTGGTTCATTTTCCACTATGCCACCTTTGAAGGCAAAGGCAATGGAGAGCCTGACAGCCCAGCTCCCAGTCTCTCCATTCTGAACTCCCGGACAAGCTCCTAAGGCCAGGGTTGTCACGACCAGAATGCAAATCAGTGCCTTTATCTTTAAAGGCAATTAAGTGCTACAAGTGCATGCGGGGGATGACAGGAATTAACACGATTTTTAAACGCACACACATTTAGATGAGACCTGCTACACTGAAGGCTAAAAAAGCCTTTGGTACTGCTGGTCCAAGGAAATGCTGAATTTAAGAGTTTGGGCCTTAAGCCTCTTCTCCTACCAAGGCTGGGGACTAGTTTTGGTTCACTGGATTTTAAAGTCCTTAAAGGAAAGAGATTTTAAAAAATACCTTTCCTGCTCCTCAGAGCTGCTAAGTAACGAATACTACTTTTCTGTTGGAAAATATTTAATGATATGTAGGACAGAAAATGTTACTGTCATCATGAACATTAATTCTTGACTTCTTGTCTGTTTTAGTTTCTAGTTAGAAGATAAATATTAGAAATTGTTGATCTGGAAGGAGGTGGGGGTGGGGTCTGGTCTCCAAGACAATTCCCGCTGGGATCAAGTCAGGAAGGCTCACCAGGACACTAAAGCCTAAAAGTATGTGTCAGAAAAAGAGACATTTTATAAGCTTTGAAGGAGCTTCTTTCTATCACTTTCAAGTGATCTACAATTGCATCTTTAATGAATGTTTCATCTCTGGGAATAGCCGGATGATCTGATAAGACTTAAGACAATGAAGGAAAAGAATGGAATTCCATTAAAAAAAAAAAAGTCCATCCTGAAGACATCATAGCCTTTGGTAGAATAAATGGCATCAGCAATAAAACTGTTTGCTTTGTCAAAGACTGGAACAGAAAATTTAACAAGGGAGTAACAGGAAAATAGGTGCATTTCAGCTACAAAAGATCTTAGCAGAACTTCTCTTGGTTATTAAGTTTACTCCAGAATTAAATATTGACTCTGTACGATGTAAATGAATAATTCATAAACTGCAAAGTTATGCATACATGAAAATGAACATAAGGGAAAAGATAAGTCAGTTTCACACTTCTTGAAGAAGTTTCATTTTATGTAGGGTAGTAAAATCAGTTTGTCTTTTTTTAAGCTTTTTAACAACCACCTCCCCATCCTCCTACCCTCATAGTCCCAACACAAAGACTGGATTTGCTTGTAGTGCAGTAATCAGCTTTAACTTTTCTCTCAGGTCCTCACTTAAACCACACTGTGCAAGCCAATGGTTTTGGCTTACACTACTATTGTCTACAGTTGGAAAAATGACTGTATAACACCCCTTGCTGTTGATAAGAATCTTACTAGACCCGATTTATTCCCTGTGGAGGAAAACAGTTAACAAGGTGTACCCTGTTTTCAACCAGGGCAGAAAGCAAAGTGGTCCTGCCCCAATTGTATTAATTGCACAACCTTTTCTACCAGGCCTGAGTAATCGAGAACAGAATTGAGAATTAGTTTAGTTTAGTTTTGTTTTCCCTGCCACCTGCCCTCAGAAGAAACATGAGCATAAAATTCAAGGTCAGTTCAGTAGCTATTAATATTCAAGGGAAAAAATGTACTCTTCTTACTCTCACTTGTTTCTTAACAAAGTAAAGCAAAAACAGTGACAACCAAAATCTTCTCATTAATCACACCTTAGGTTGGAATCAAGAAGGTGCCCTTTGTTAGTCTGGATTAATTCAGAATAGAAATGGCCAACTGAATTGACTTGAGCGAAAATGATCCCATAAAAAAAGAAAAATCACCACTTTCTTTTCAATATCACCCAAGATGAGAGGTCAGACTCCCAAGGGATCCAACTGCCAAATAAACACATGAAATTGGAAGTCAAACACTCATGGTAGCCTCATGGTGGGACCTACCTGTCACTTATGAATTAGCACATTCTGCTTCGGGATTTCCAAGTGAAATTCTGAAATGTGTATTTTGGTGCTGAAAATTTAGCTAGGTTACAGTAGCCTTTCCCTACAGAGTAGCTTTATTGCCTTGTAATCTAAATTTGGTAGAAGAGACATGCTTAGTAGCTAGGTTATATATTTTCTGTTTCAGCAGGAAAGAATCAAAGTGTCTGATAGAAGCATGGGGTGGGGGAAGGGATTTCCATCTGATAAGACTTAAGACAATAAAGGAAAAGACTGGAATTCTGTTAAAAAAAAAAGTCTATCCTGAAGACATCATAGATGTAAACATGTAAACATGTAAAATGTTTACAATTTATGTTGGGGCTTTAACATGTACGAACTAAAGCAAAAGTAAAATATGATCAAAAGCAATTCATAACAAGATTTCTTTTCATACATTCTACCCAGGAGAGGAGGCCAAGGTGGCAGATCATTTGCTACCCCCTAGTGCCAACATAGGCTCTCCCACCCGTGCCACCATATCACAGTGGGCACTATGAATAGGCACCAGATGAGCTCCAAGTCGCTTGTAAGTAATGAAGCCTGAAGCTTCACAGTGGACTTACATTAAATATAAATTTAGTTGCTTCAAAGCAATCTCCATAATAGCCTCCCTCTCACATGCCTGTGTTTCTAGATGTTTTCTTGAGTGGGAGATGAAGGGTGGAGTTGTAAGTAGACTGCAGTGAATGATTCTCAGTAATCACTGAGGATGACCCATAATTTGGGTTATGCTTATGGGCAATAGGAGAAGGCCCTCCAAATAAGGATGCAGAGAAAACTGTGAACCACTAACCCAAGAGCCTAGGAATGAATTCTGGCTGACCTGTAGCAACCTCCCCTACTATGAAATCACCTTAGAGGGCAAAAGAGGAGAAATTATTATTTTATCTTTTCAGATGACTGTCTGCTCACTAATCCCTATAGGATGAGTTCCTAGAAGCCAGCCCCCTTGGGGACAGTTTTTATAGGAGTTGTGACACTGTTCCATTCCACTGCCCACTCCTCCACAATCCTCAGAAAAATAAAATTATTATTTGATGCAACCTAGAGCTAAAATTAGTCTTCTGTTGAGTAGCAACAGTCAGATTTCCCTCCCTTTAACTTCGGATGATGGGTTTAGGCCCTTTTATTGTCTTCATCACAAAAAGAAAAAGTCATTTGAGGAAAAATCAGGCATGTCTGAGAGCAGGGGAAACTGAAGTCCAAAAAGGTGAGCTGAGAATCCCTCCTTTCCCTAAGCTGGGATCCAGAAGTCAAAGGAAAACTGCAATCAAAACAAAGAAGACCTGGCTCCAGATCCCCATCTTATTACTCCTTATGAAATAGTCACATCAGGGGAGACTCGGCCCCAGTCCCTCTTTCCACATTGCCTGGTAGCCCCGAGATTAAGTATGAGCCCAAGGAATAAATTCCCAACATCCCCAAAGAGAGGAGACAGAAGGGCTTCCAGCAACCAAAAGGGAGAAAAAAGCGGCCAGCAGTACAATAAAGAACTGTCAGAGGCCGGGAGCGGTGGCTCACGCCTGTAATCCCAGCACTTTGGGAGGCCGAGGCAGGTGGATCATGAGGTCAGGAATTCAAGACCAGCCTGGCCAAGATGGTGAAACCCCGTCTCTACTAGAAATACAAAAATTAGCCAGGCATGGTGGCATGTGCCTGTAACCCAGCCAGTAGGGAGGCTGAGGTGGAGAATTGCTTGAACCTGGGAGGCGGAGCTTCCAACGAGCCGAGGTTGCGCCACTGCACTCCAGCCTGGGCGACAGAGCGAGACTCCATCTCAAGAAAACAAAACAAAACAAAACAAACAAACAAAAAACAAGATCTGTCAGATTCAGAATTCATTATAAGAGGAAGAAATCAATCCCACACGTCATTGAGAATTTTTTTTCCTTCCCACACTCTGCAGCTGGGGGCCACTCTAGAACAGGCAAGATCACTGGGTCTCCTAAGAGACCTGCACAGCTTCTGTAGAAGGGACAGAGGTTTCCAGAGCAAGCTTGTGCTGCCCATTGCATGAACTTCTATAGGCCAACAGAATGGCCCTCAACTGCTAAGCCTAATATGGAAACTGACCAGAAACAGGAATGCTGTCTTGCCATAACAGTAAGTAACAAGACTGATGCATTGACAAGGCTGTACCACAAGATTCCTGCATACACAGGTGTGAAGGCAGTGAGTGTGACCCATAACCACAGCTGCTGTGCAAAGCTGGGCTTTGCCTTTTTTAACCGCCAACAGGAACATCGAAAATGTCTTGTGTGAAGCTATTACTTTTTTTTTGGAGACAAGGTCTTGCTCTGTCACCCAGGCTGGAGTGCAGTGGCACGATCTCGGCTCACTGCAACCTCTGTCTCTTGGGTTCAAGCAATCCTTCCACCTCAGCCTCCCCAGTAGCTGGGACCAAAGGGCATGCACCACCATGCTCAGTTAATTTTTTTGAGTTTCGTAGAAACAAGGTCTCATTATGTTGCCCGGGCTGGTCTTGAACTCCTGGGCTCAAGTGATCCTCCTGCCTTGGCCTCCCAAAGTGCTGGGAGGCATGAGCCACCATGCCCAGCACTGAAACTTAATTTTTTAAAGAGATGAAGTGATTTGAAAACTGACAGGCACAATTCAGCTTACAAAACACTTTCTTTTTAGGCAAGAAAGCAGTTGGATGAGCTTTGGTGTGAGTCCACTTTTGGTAATTAAAAAAGGTGTGGTACAAAGGTGTTATCTTGTATTCCTACAGGCATTGCTCTGGTGTGGGATATAACAGAATAGCGAAGTTGAGTCAGTTGGAGTCCTCGCTGAGAACAGAAATCCAGAGAAATGACCCTCTCCGGGCCTCTATTTGCAGTTCTGCTGATGGAGGGTGGTGAATGCTACAGCTTCTGTGTATAGCATCAAGAGGTCATATCTAAGAGGTTTCTGGAGGAGTTAAGGGAAGTTGTAAGTACATCAAGGGTGAAATGATACTCCCAAAATACCATTTTACTGAGACATAAGCCACAAGATTTTGCCCAGGCTCAGGCCTCAACTCTTATCTTTATTTATACATGAAATCAAAGTCTCACTTTAAAAATAGTAAATCTCCCTGGGCACCAGTAGATAACATATAACAAGGATATAAGAAACATGTTGCCAGCAACAAAGTCAGCTCTGCCCAACAGCTTTCTGCGTATTCCTAGATGAGGACTAGAAACTCATGTCAAAAAAAAAGTAAGCATTTACTTTCTTAGTACCAAATAATACCCTGGGGACTGAAATAGTTGGGGAAATGAGTTATTAAACTTAAAAGTGTTTTCCAAATAACAAAAACTTACCTGCTCAAGTACTGAGACATTTAACCATTTTTTTCATAAAGAAGTACATTCCACACCACTCAGGGTTATAGAACAGACTTTATGATACCCTTCCTGACAATAAGAAAACTATTACGAACACTGTACTAACTGAAGTATGTAAATTACTTGCATCCCTGAGATTGTATATGTAAAATTTTTGTGCATATGAGTATATGTGTTTTACTGGGGAAAGACCCCTATCTCAATTCGCAAAGAGACCCAAGAAAGGAGAAGGACTCCTGAAACTGTTCTCAGCTTTTTCTGCTTTTGGCTTTTTCTATTTTCAGCTGTCACTTCTCATCCACACTACTCTTATACCACTTTTGTGGGTTTTTTTTTTCTCTCTTCTCTCTTTTAGTTGCTTTTCTCCCTCTCTTCTCAATAACATTTCTGCCACTGCTGCTTCACTTGTGGTGAAGGACAAGTGTCATTTGTTTTTTTAAAAAAAAATGATGCAGACCCCGATCAGCAGACTGGTCATGTGTCCTTATAAATTTCCGTATTTATTGCCAACACTTGGGCTCAACACTTGGGCTCTTTTTTGTTATTTTTGGATTTTGGGGTATTCTGGAAAGTTGAGGAGGACACTGGATGTCTGATTGCTGGGGCCATTATTGGGAGCAAGCTTCCTGTAGATTTCAGTAAGCTGAACATGGATGTTAGACCACAATGAACACACAGGTGCACGCGCACACACACACACACACACACACACACACACAGAGTCCACTGGCAATCTACAGACCACTTTCAGAAAGTTGAGGCGCTTTGTTTCTTTTCCAATTTATATTAGTATCTGAAATATCTGTAGCCCCAGTCTGAGCTGGGATTTGCAAGAAATATTTACAGCTTGCTCAGCATGGCATTTTCAATCATGTTCTATAAATGGGATGCTGGTAAATGAGCCATAAAGAAAGAATAAAGAAAATGTTACTGAACCTCCTTTATTGGTAGATTATGGCAATATGCAAAATGAAAAGATGGGGGATGAGGGAGGCTGGCGACTCTCCACATGCTGGAGAACGAGACAGGCCTGGGTGCAAGGAATCCAGCAGAAAGAACCATGGCAACTGCTGGGCACTGGAAAGCACCCCAGGCTCAGTATCTTGAGGCAAAAACCAAGTGTTCGAGCTGCTTTATCACACTACAAAAGATAAGATGCAGGCTTTCAAAATGCCTGAACGCGTTGCTTTCATTTCCTGCTACAGATGCTGTTTTATAGTTTGGGGCAAGGGAGGGGGAGGAGCTGGTTCGCCTTTTAAATAACTAAAAATGATCATGCTATAGAGGAGAGAGATATTCAAGAACTAGAAGTGGGAGACCTCAGATGATGTGGAAATACCTGAACTCTAAATGTGTACATGACGCATGCACAGAAATGTCAGCTCTCCAAAAGCTGAAACGAGGTAAAAACATTCAAAAGATAGAAACATTATATATGTCCAAAAGGCAAGTAATAAGATTAGCAAGGAGTTGGTAACTGAGAAAAGCCCACATCGTGCCATCAACCCCCTCAGCTCCCCTGTCTCTGTGCTGCACTGACGTGGGGCTCCACACTCATGATCCAGATGAACGTGCATGCCCGATTCCTTACCTCACTGCAGTCACCGGCTGGGATGTGTGAAGGCCGCGCTTCTTCATCCAGTGGCTCAATCACCGTCACTTCAGGAAACTCCTCCACGGACTCTTGGAACTCGGGCAAGGACCTTCGTCCGTAACGCTTCCCACCTCTAACATATTTGGGCTGAGCTTCTAGTGAGCAGTCTGAGAGAGGAGACAAGAGTTGAGGCCACATGACATGAGAATCTCAGTTCTTAGCTGCCACTCACAGCCATCGGACACAGCCTCTTATACCAACCTCAAAATAAACCACCACTGTTTGCCAATTGTGGTGGCTGTGGGTGTATATGAGCCATCAGGTCAGATGCAGAGCACGCCTTCTAATTCTGAACGATTTATGGGACCGTGAGTATATATCTGCACATGACGGGAGCAATCCAACAATGGCAGCAAGGGATCTGACTTAATTGCAGAGGATTAAGGTCAGGAAAAGGTGAGGGGTCACATTTGTTCTGTTTATTAAGCTGGGTTTTCCAGCAGGATGGGGAGACATCATATTAACAAAGAGACACCTTGGAGGAAGTCTTAGAAAATGGTAATACAACAGACACCAAATCAGCACTGTATACTCAGTATCCACATCAATTAGTCTGAAACACCCTCCCCTACCTCAGTGATTCCTCTGTTAACCATTCCACTCTCTGATCTATCAGACAAGCAGATGACAAAACAAAGAAACGGACACAACACATTCTAAGCAATTAATGACAGCTAGTTACGTATATGAAACCCGGCATCAAGATCTCATTGTAAAATTAAAAACAGTAAAATAAAATAGCAAATGTGAAACCACAGTAAAAAAAATTGTATTATTTTATCTCTTTGTAAGCATCGGTGTTGTACAAAATAAAAAGGAATGTGCATGAGGTGAGAGTCATCTCTTGATCTTAAAGAAGGACTTCAGCATTTTGACATCACTTGTCTCAGGTTCAACACTGACCACCTTCCCCGTTACCATCACCACCACTGCTGCCATCACCACTGCCATCACCACCACCACCACCACCTCCACCGCCACAACTACAGGCTAAGCTTTTTCTACAATTGGAGCTTTAAAGCAATAAAATAAATACTTCACTCTATTCAAATGTTATCTCAGCTATAGATTTTTTAGCACCTTGTACAGCATCAGAATAAAATGTTTCATTAAAGTACAAAAGATGACAATGCTTTGATTTCTGTTGTCTTGCTGTCCACATATTCATACTCTCTCGAGAACAGATATGTATTCTGTTTGAACATGAGTCTTAGCAAGGTATGTCTGAACTCAGACATGTAGACTTTTAAATGAGATTATGTACACGTATTATAAAAACGACAATAGTTGATTAGATAAGAACTAAAAGAACGACCGTTCCTTTATCACCATTGAAACCATGCTGGGGTTTAGCCATTACTTTACAGTTTCCCAGGGAGGACTGGCGACCCTCTTTGACTAAACACCTCCCCGCCATGTCCTTCCCTCTGGGACAAGCTCGGATTTCACTATCTTCACAAATGTGGCCAGACACATTCTGAACATGCTCAGCAAAGCTCAGAGTGAAGTATTTATGGTAGCTATATAATTTCTAGTGATATTTATATCCAGCTTTAAAAAAGTCCCAGTGAAGTCATTTTATTAGGTCGAGTGATTCTCTTACAGGAAGTGTTTAAGCATACAAAATTTATACTGAAAATTGCATGCATATTTGAAGGTACCTTTTATCAGAAGACAGTGTGTCAGCTTGTGACCATTCAGGAGCGGCCCAGACACCCGAGCTACTTGTTGGCAGCTGACACCCACAGATGCTAGTCAGATAAGAGGCAATGCAGAACCATCCTTAATTTATTACATATTCTTAAATTTTGGTGGCAGACAACAAGATACACCATTAGTGACTATAGGGGTTTGGAAAAGATTAAAAGGAACACTTAGAACCTTGGATAATGAACCACAGTATTTTCCCAGTATAAGAACAAAGTTGTGTCCTGGGGATGGAAGTGGCGAAGGAGCTCTTATTGCATGCTGCACTTATTCAGAGGTTAAAAAAAAAAAAAAAAAAAGCAGTGGGAGAAAACAACTATCTTTTAAAAATCCATTGTGATCTAATCCCAAACCTACCGGTGGATGAAATGGTTCCCTGGTTGTTTACTACTCACTACCCCACGTAGTGCATAGGGTAGATGCAGTGGTGGATTCAAAACAGCTCTTTTTCTAAGCAATAAAAGGTAACAGATTGTGAGCCAGCAGGGACCCTGTGGAGTTTTGGTTTATTTACTCATTTATTTTTGCATTGCCAGGCATTAAATTGTTTATTTCATTATCTTATTATAATAACCAATTTAAGCAAACTTTAAGTTAATATCCTTCATAGAACGTACGAACATGATAAAGTCAATTTCTAGAGACATCTATTAAACTATGTAACCTTTTTGGAATAAAGACATTAGCACACACAAAGAAAAATGGGTTAAAGTTTTCTCATCACTTTATTTTCCAAACCATGCAAGTGACCAATAACGAAGTGGACTAATCACACCATTTAAAAATAGTCACCTCTAAGAATGACACACTCAGACATCCCTCTCCCATTTAGAGCATCCGCCTCATTGCACTTAACATGATACGATGGGAACAGAGACAGCAAAGCTAACGATGTTCAGAGAGAACATTCACGGTCAACAGCCCTTGCTAGGTTAAGCGCTGAAAACACTATGATTCTCCTCATCAATCTCAATCAGAGATTTAGAACTGAACAGCAGATGTCCACCGAACCATGGGGATTATAAGACACTCTTACCCACTCAAGTTAAAGAATGCCTTGACCCTTTCTGACCATGCCTAATGGAAGAGATCCAAAACTGCAACCCTGGGGCTACGTTTATTTACTTTCTGAGCACATCCAGATGGAACCTTTATTTTTCAGGGTGTCATTCTGGAATAATCTTATCTATGTCAGATAACATGGAGGCTTTTGGTTTATTAAGAAACGAAATTATTGACATCACAGAGCTTCCACAGGTGAGAGTATCTGCTCCAATCACCAGCTCCAAGAAGGGACATGAAATGCCTGGCCAATATGGCGAAACCTGGACTCTATTAAATACAAAAATTAGCCAGGCGTGGCGGCTCGTGACTGTAGTCCCAGAAACTTGGGAGGCTGAGGCAGGAGAATCGGTTGAACCTAGGAGGCAGAGGCTGCAGTGAGCCGAGACTGCGCCACTGCACTCCAGCCTGGGCAACAGGGCAAGACTCCATCTCAAAAACAGAAACGAAACAAAACAAAAAGAAATGCTATCAAAACAAAGTATAAATGACTGCCATGCTTTCAGTGTTTCAGTGTTTGAGTTCCTTGAAAGTGTATTTATGATTCTCCCTGGATTGTTAAGCTTCTGAGTCATTTTTCCTTCTTTCCCATTTTCCATTTCTCCTATTTGGCATCACTACAAAAATTAAAGTGGGCTTCAAAGGAAAGCAGACAAGCCCAGCTTGCCTGGAGGTGTCTCAGACCCCATCCCTGGAAAGCTTATTATGAGACACACCAATCAGAGGAAGGTGGCTTTGAGGCAGTCCAACCTGACCTAGTTTAATGATCTAGGTTTTATTCCATAAGCCAAATGCTTGGTTATGAGCAGGGGACAGTAGAGAAACCTTGCTTCAACCCTCCACTGGAGTAATGTGGAAGTGAGTGACAGTCTCTACAGAGCACGTGGGGAAAACATCTGATTCGAGAGTTAAAAAGATGAAGAAAATACTATGCCTTCGGGCCTTAGAAATGACAGCTGGGTTGCTCACACGCCACATTTGTTATTTCACATCTCATCTGTCCCAAGAAGAGAAACTCCAGAGCTTCGATAATGTTCCCCTTCCAAATCAGGATAAACCACCATGCACATGTATGATGCTTGACCAGAGGTCTTGCACTCATAATAAAAAGAAAGTTAAAATATGGTGTCAGGGAGAATGACCACTCAGAGTAGATAAGCCAGCTGCAGCCAGGGGAAATAACAAACACCCGCCTCATTCCTCTCCCAGTTCCTTTCCCAGCAGCAGTGTGGAGGGGAGAAACACAGCCTCCCCTACTCCAGGTTTCAAGCAATACAGAGTACACTTTTTAAAGCTCTCCCCTAAAACTGACCACTGCACCAGATCACCACATCTGCATCAGATGTGATACAGGTCACTGCTTAAAATGCTCAGCTCTCCTAAAACCACTGCATGAACAGCCAAAGCCAAAGCAATGAGGACCTAAGGGAAGCTAAAATCATTATGCAAAAGCCTGAACACTATATATTCAATTGAATGCTTTCTTTGCAAAAACATAAGCTCAGGACCTGGAATGGAGTGGCAGCCATAGCTGCTTCCTGGAAGTTAAAGGAGATTTTTCAAAGATGCTCCCCAGTGTTAGGCAGATTCATTTAACACATAAGCGTATTTACCAAACACCTGCCATAGGCAAAACATTACGTTGTACCTATTGAGGAAGAAGATGGATATTTTAACTTGTTTTTTGAATCAAAAAATTCCCTGTTCCCAAAAATGACCTGAGGCCATTTCCAAGGATGAAGAAGAAAACCCTGTCGTTAGGGTGCTGGTATTCTCATTTTGGAATTGCTCGCATAGGACTTTGCTTTCTATGTCCCTTCCTGACTCATTTAGTGAGCCTGGGAAATCATTCCCAGAGACACCACCCCCATCCAAAGAACCTCAGCACAGGAGGCCCTTCATGTTACATTGCTGCTGAGCTCACAGGAATGCTGAAATCCGTTTGAAAAGGAAAGGTAAAAAATGAAGCATGTGCAAACCTCAAGGCCAGCATCCCCAAGAAGCTTTCTTGGGAAAAGGCAGTCATGCAGCAAATGAGCCCCACCCTGCCCCATTCTACATCCCACCTCCTCGCCTATGCTGAATGCACCATCACACAGGGATTACACAGTGAAAATGCAAACCCACGCCTGATTCTAAATAAGAGAAGGGAAGAAAATCCAAAGGAACACTAAGACCAAGAAAAATACAGACAGAGACCAGTGGAAACTGACACAGAGAGACAGATATGGAGAGAGAATGAGACAGAGACTGAGACCAAGAGAGGGAAAGAAGTGGGTGGGGAAACAGGAGATAATAGGGACCTAGAGGCCTATGGAGGGGTGGGGAAGGGGAGCAAGAGATATAGATGTGGGAAGACCACCAGGAAGGGAAAGAGTGGAGTGGGAGACTGAGGAGGAGGAGGGGAGAGATGAGCTGGGGTGGAGGAAAGAAGGGAGTTGGGAGGGGAACGTCTCAAGGATGGGAAGGGAGAAGGGGAGGCCAAGAAAGGTTAAACATTAAAAAGGCATCAGCAGAAGCTTTCTGACATGATCTGCCTTTCCTTTTGCTTCCCAGTGCACTCCCTGCCTCTAGGGCCATCACCAGCAAGCAGCCGCACCACACTTCTGTGTGCACTAAGCCCTTTCCAATTAGCACCTCCCTCCCCAACTACTTCTCTCTCCTGGAACCTCCACACAAGATGCAGATGTTTAATTAGGTCTTTCAGTTCCTCCCTGAATGCAGTGACAGAATCTTAGGCGCAGTCTCCACCCAGTTCTTAGCCACCTGAATGATGCTTCTTGCTGGAACACAGGGGCTTCTGGACACAAAAGTAACAGGGTGGCTTTGATTAGCCTTGCCCAGGAGGAAGGCTTCCAGGGGAAAGTTACCACCCCCCGAAGGTGCCTAAGCTGGTGGATGAGTGTGGCAAGGCAAGCCCCAGGGCTGACTGGATGGTCTAAGTCCTAATGCAATTGAAGATCAGTCAACAGGAATAAAATCTTTGAGTTGATAATGATTATATAATTGTTTCCCCAACCTTTTCATAGGAGGATCAACCAGCAGATCTCTGTTAGGATGCCTGCATCTATAGCCATTTTTGGGAAGAAGGATGAGATACACTTTTTACCTAATTGAACCCTCCCCATTGTTCAAGGGGAACTCAAAACTCATTTCTTTCAAGTAATTTCTTGGCACCACTTTCATGGAACCGTTTCTCCTCTACATTTAGTGTGATGCACACTGTCCATAGCTCCCTATTTATTTATTTATTTGAGACGGAGTCTCGCTCTATTGCCAGGCTAGAGTGCAGTGGCACAATCTCAGCTCACTGCAAACTCCACCTCCCAGGTTCAAGCGATTCTCCTGCCTCAGCCTCCCAAGTAGCTGGGACTATAGGCACGTGCCACCACACCCAGCTAATTTTTATATTTTTAGTAGAGACGGGGTTTCACCACGTTGGCCAGATGGTCTTGATCTTTTGACCTCGTGACCCATCTGCCTCGGCCTCCCAAAGTGCTGGGATATGGCTCCCAATTTCATAATAACCATAGTCACATTTTTCTAAAAGCATTTTACACGTTAGGATTACCTACCCGGATAGACTATAACACTTTCCATGGGAAAGAGCTGTGCTTTGGAATCAAACGGACCTGGACCTGGACACAGAGTTCATATCAAGGTTGGGAGTGCCGAACCTCATGAAGACTTAGTTTCCTCATCTGGAAGGAGGGAAAACAATAGGCGCTTCATGGAGTAAGGTCAACATCAGTCTAGCAGCTCTGCCCAGGGAGCTCCAGCCACACTCTGGTCCTTCCACCGGGACTCCTGTGAAGCCAGTGGTGGCCCAAAGCCATCGGGCCAGGGAGAGGTGTCCAGCATCAAGCAACCATGGGAGCAGTCAGCAAGAGTCTCTCAGTCCTCAATCCTGAAGAGTTCCTCAACCTCAATTTTTGGTAACAGGTAAGATTAGTGTAATGACGTTATCCAGTTCGTCACCTCAGAAACTGGAGCTGCTCTGATCTTATTCTTGCCCCAATTTTCTCATTAGTCTCCTTTCCCTGCATCAGTGAGCTGATGTGAGAGGAACACACTGATTTTCTAGGATTCCCTGTAGAAAACCGTCATCCTCATGTCCCGTTTGGAAACCTTCTTATATATCCACTAAGGTTGAAATAAAATATAGACATGGCTCACGCCTGTAATCCCAGCACTTTGCGAGGCTGAGCCAGGCAGAGGTCAGGAGTTTGAGACCAGCCTGGCTAACATGGCGAAACCCTGTTTCTACTAAAAATACAAAAAATTAGCTGGGTGTGGTGGTGCATGCCTGTAATCCCAGCTACTCGGCAGGCTGGGGCAGAAGAATCGCTTGAACCCGGGAGGCAGAGGTTGCAGTGAGCCGAGATTGCACCATTGCATTCCAGCTTGGGCAACAAGAGCAAAACTCCGTCACAAAAACAAAAAACAAACAATATATATACACATACACACACACACACACACACACACACACACACACACACACAACTCCCAAGTAAACTGTTTCATTATCAAAATTCTCACCAGCCCTATTTATTTAATTTTAAATTACATGAGTATTTCTTGCACATATACATATTTTTAAGTTGCCTTTTACCCTTAGTAAATTTCCCACATAAGTATTCTTTCATAGCACAGTTTAATAGCTACTTAGTCATTGTTTACATAGATAGAGCACGATTTGCCTATGAATACACTGTCTAATTTCTTCACTTGCTTTATACAGGCTGACTATCCATTATCTGAAAGGCTTGAGATCAGAAAAAAGTGTTTCAGATTTTAGGAAATCTGAAGTATATCAGTTGAACAACCCAAATCTCAAACTCTGAAATCTGAAATGCTCCAATGAGCATTTCTTTTGAGTATCATGTTGGTGCTTAAAAGTCTTGGATTTTGAAACATTTCATATTTTTGGATTAGGGATGCCCAACATATATATTTTTTCACTACTTTAAATGACTAACCTTATACACACATTTTTATGTACATCTATAATTATTTACATAGCATAAAATCTGAGAGTAGCATGGATTAGCCAAAAGCATTATTACAGTTCTTGGTGCCTATTATCTTAGGTAATCCTAGAAAGGTTCTATCATTTTACAAAACATCAGTGGGGATGAGTGTTTCCAATTTCAGGATTAGAAGCACAATCCTAATATCCTCTTTTGTTGTTGTAGTTGGCACTGGTGGTGGTAGTGGTTTGCTTTGCTTTTTTCTTTGCTTTTTTTTTTTTTTGAGACGGAGTTTCGCTCTGGTTGCCCAAGCTGGAGTGCAATGGTGCAATCTCGGCTCACTGCAACCTCCGCCTCCTGGGTTCAACCGATTCTTCTGCCTCAGCCTCCTGAGTATCTGGCATTACAAGCGTGCACCACCACGCCCAGCTAATTTTTGTATTCTTTAGTAGAGACGGGCTTTCACCATGTTGGTCATGCTGGTCTTGAACTCCTGACCTTGTGATCCGGAGTGATCCCACCTCAGCCTCCCAAAGTGCTGGGATTACAGGCATGAGCCACTGCGCCCGGCTTTTTTTTTTTTTTTTTTTTTGAGACAGAGTCTCGCTTTGTCACTCAGGCTGGTGTGCAGTGGTGCGATCTCAGCTCACTGCAACCTCTGCCTTCCAGGTTCAAGCGATTCTCCTGCCTCAGCCTCCCGAGTAGCTGGGATTACAGGCGCCTGCCACCACGCCCAGCTAATTTTTGTATTTTTAGTAGAGACGGGGTTTCACCATGTTGGTCAGACTGATCTCAAACTCCTGACCGCAGGTGATCCACCTGTCTCACCCTCTCAAAGTCCTGGGATTATAGGCGTGAGCCACCGTGCCCAGCCTGTTTTGCTTTTAACTCTTGGAGAAAACTTCTGGTCCTCACTGTTAGCATTTCATTGATGCCAGCAGAACAGGGACTAAGTTCTTACTTACCTTACTTAACCAACAGAAGACAACAGAACGAGCCTTTGGGCCATCTGTGTGTAATATCTCCTAAAATCAGGGACTTCAGCCAGACTTCAGTGCCTAACCCAAGGCCTCTGAACATAGTTATAAACACAAATCTTCAATCACTGAAATCAATAGCTAGCCTAGTGACAGGCCATAAGACCTGGTTCAAGGCACAATTGCTGAGTAAATGAAAAAATGTCTGTTAACTGTATGTATCACTTCTTCAAAATATAAAGAAAATAATTACAATTATGGCAGTCCTTGAAACTAGGAAGGTCTGTTACAATGAAACAATCATCTGTACCAAAACAATGCCTGGTCCTATTTTTCTAATGAGTTGGCTTTTTCAAACCTGAGGTTTTCCCCATGAATAAACAAAGAGACATTTCCAATGAATCACATCAAGGAAGAAAGAGCTTCCTGCATTATGCTAACATCTACTAAAGAACAGAAATCTAATGCAAGATGCATCAAATGAGGACAAAATCTCTGGAGAGAGGATCCAGCTGGCATGTTGATGCCATGTAGCTTGGAGCTTGTGCCAGCATTTCCATTACAAAAATCCTATAATCCAAAGCCACGGCAAATTGAATAAATAGCTAATAATTAAGTTGTTGCCCCTCTCCTATTCCAGAAAAATAATTTAAAAATTAGATTGTACACATAGATATGAAAGAATTATGCCACTGGCAATGCTAATCAGTTTGGAATTTACAAAAGACTTCCTACATCCCAATCCATTTTTCTGCCTTTATCTGAATTTCAATATTTTTCACTGTGTTGTTATTATTATAAAAATTGCTTTTTAGGGGAAAAACGCTAAGATTCTTAGAATTATAAATATCTGAGTTAAAAAGATGCTGAAAATAATCTAGTCCATATCTCCTGATTCTAAAAATAAAGAGACTGTACCTCAGAGGAGTTATAAATGGCAGAGCCCAAGACTATAGAAATAACTTAATTTCATCTCCTCTCAAATCCCATGAGAGCTTTGTTTTTATAGAATTTATATACAACTGCCTTTTATTAGGAGGCTATAAAAACATGAGATATACTATGCATTTGTCCTTGGGAAGAAGAACTTTATAGTTTCAATGAATGTTAAGTAAAATCTTACATAAACACAGGCTAGCATTCTTCATAGATATGGATAATGTCATTTAGATATTAGGAGGCAACACCATCAAATCTTGGAGCTGAAGGATTTTATGTATTTTTTCAGCACAACCACTTTCACATACAAGGTGACCAAAGACCACTAAGGTCATGATATATAAGATCACCTGATTAGAGGGACAGAACCAGCATTTCCTAACTCCTCACTCAAGGGTGGCTCTATTAAATCAAGCTGACTTTTCTATATTATAGTCTGGTGCAATATCTTATATTTTAATTTATAAAAATCTTTGGTGTTATAAAATATCAATTCACGGCCCTCTTGGTTTCTAAGGCTGAGCACTATGGTCCCCCTTTTATTTTCAGTCTCCTTCTATGGTGTAAAGGTAACCTTTTATCTCAAAGACTACCATCTCCATTGATTTCAAAAAGGCAAAACAAAAATAACACAGACCTCGCCGGGCGCAGTGGCTCATGCCTGTAATCCCAGCACTTTGGGAGGCCGAGGCAGGTAGATCACAAGGTCAGGAGTTCAAGACCAGCCTGGCCAAAATGGTGAAACCCCATCTCTGCTAAAAATACAAAAAAATGAGCCAGGCGTAGTGGTGGGTGCCTGTAATCCCAGCTACCTGGGAGGCTGAGGCAGAGAATTGCTTGAACCTGGGAGGCGGAGGTTGCAGTGAACTGAGATTGTGCCACTGCACTCCAGCCTGGGCAACAGAGTGAGACTCCATCTCAAAAAAACAAAAACAAAAACACAGACCTGGCCCCTTCTGGTATAAGATGAACTAAGCATAACCAGCCAAATAATGCAGAGGACACAGGCATCCCTGTCCCTAACGATCAGGTAAAACTTGCTTTTCATTTATTCCTCTCTGCTGCCTCTGGCCACTTGTCAGACCCTTTTGGCCAGGCTGCACTGACCGAAGACTGGCTCACCCATTTGAAAGCTAAAATCCTCAACCTAAAGCCTTCTTGAATCACATCCCTTGGTGATACAGTGTAAGCCCCTCCTCTGCCACTAGCTGTAAGACTTCAATTAAGCTACGTCCCTCTTTGGGCCTCTAATTGCTCATGGATGAAATGGCAGGGTTTTCTCCAGCCCTAAAATGCTATATGATCTATGATTTAAGGGATAGTTACTTCCATAAAGGGAGAGGGAGAGGTAAATGAAGGTGGCCTGTTGATGTACTGCATTTGAATCCTGACCCTACTTCCTCTGTCTCTGCCCAGCCAAACCAGTCTGCCTGCAGCGGGGTAGAGTCACTTTTTTTTTTCTTTTTTCTTCTTTTTTTTTTTGAGATGGAGTCTCACTCTGTCACCGAGGATGAAGTGCAGAGGCGTGATCTTGGCTACTGCAACCTCCGCCTCCTGGATTCAAACAATTCTCCTGCATCAGCCTTCTGAGTAGCTGGTACTACAGGTGCCTGCCACCACACCTGGCTAATTTTTTGTATTGTTAGTAGAGACGGGGTTTCGTCACGCTGGCCAGGCTGGTCTCGATCTCCTGACCTCAAGTGATCTGCCCACCTTGGCCTCCCAAAGTGCTGGGATTAGAGGCATGAGCCACCGCACCCAGCTCAGAGTCACATTTTAGAGTGAGTGGAAGAATGTTTGAGTGGAAAGAACTGCACGATCCCCACGAACAACTGGAGGGGCCAAGGAGAAATTGGCAAAAGACAGAAAAAGCAGAGATGCTCAGGAACAAAGCAGGGAATGTGGGAGGAAAGGCTGACTCATGTCTCAAAGCACAGGCTCAATCCTAGGTTTTATCCTGCCAGGACAAATGTTAGGGAAGTCATAAATGCTACAAGAAATGCTATCAATAAGTACTTTTCTGCTGCATTACACTGAGGTGGAGCAGTTTTGTGACGAAGACTTACTGCCTACCCAAAGGATGGAACACACAGCAAAACTATAAAAATCCCTTCTGTGTGTCTTCCCGGAAGACTTGTCCAAATTATGATCTTTGCCTGCATAGCAGTGAGGCAGACACATAACTATGAAACCACCATCTGGAGCCAGATTTATAAATATTACTTCCTGGCTGGGACCAAGCTCAACCAGCCATTGTCTAGCTCAGGGATGTCCAATCTTTTGGCTTCCCTTGGCTACACTGGAAGAATTGTCTTGGGCCACACATAAAATACGCTAACACTAATGATTGCTGATGAGCTAGGAAAAAAAAAAAAGGTCCATGCATAAATGTCATAATGTTTTAGTTTTAAGAAAGTTTACAAATTTGTGTTGGGCCGCATTCAAAACTGTCCTAGGCCACATGCAGCCCATGGGCCGTGGGTTGGACAAGCGTGGTCTAGCTCATCCTACTGCTCGGATCCCAACAATGTACAACTCTGTGCGGGGACCCTTCACATCTGTAGTCACTATAATCTGTATATTTATTATAATTTTCTGGCAGGTGACAGTGACAGTACAGGTTTTGAAGAAATGGCAGCAGGAGGATCATGTGGATTAGCGGCAGGACCGCCTGTTCCAAATCCACATAAAAGCACATTATCAGCACACAGAACCCTGAAGTTATGCTTATATTACCTATGCTCACGTTAGCTAATATCTACCCTGGCGGTGATGTCAACCATAGCTCTATTCAGGCCCCCCAGATGTCGCACCATTGTCATCAAGATGACAGACAACCTTAAAAAAGTGAAAACACCAATAAAATGAGACCATATAAAAACACAAAAGTCCATATTCTAGCAGCGGTCACCTGTGGAAACGCTAATGTTTGTCTGGAAAATTTCAAGAATGCAATAACCTCCCTCTCAGGCTCACTGGGGGCTTCCAAAGAGCTTTATCAAGTATCAGAGTTAAGAACAACATTGCTAGGGGTGTCACCATCCCCGAAAAAGGCGGAGACTCAATCCAGAACCTAAAACACTGCTAAAGGCAGTGTCCATACACACAACACAAATCTGGAGCACTTCAGAGGGCAGGATGAAGAACTAGATCACCCGGCAAGGGTGAGAAATGAGCTCCCATCTGTGCCTCACCTAAATAGGTCACAGTGAATGACTCCTTGTAGTGACAAAATCTTAATGATTTATGCTCAGTTTCAAAACTGGACTATATTTTTGATGTTCTCTTTTTTAAAGTAGGGTTTATTGAGGTATAATTTACATAGAGTAAATTTAATCCTTTCATTGCACAAGTCTCTGGGTTGGAAAAACTCACACAATCCTGTAACTACTAGCACCATCAAGATATAAAAGTTTCATTGTCCCCCAAATTCCTTCATGCCCCTTTGTAGTCAACTCCTGCCCCTACCCCAACAACCACTAATTTGATAAAACCAGACTGTACTGTAATATAAATTTCCACAGTTTTTAGACTTTCCTTTACACATCTACCATATTTCATTGATTTGAAGACACCTCCCCCCTACACACACCAGATTTAGACACTCTGAAATGAGAATTTACAATTAATGTCATTTTACATTACAATTGGCAACAATTTTTGTTTTTAGAGATACATGAAATAACAATGTGTCTTACAACCTATGGTGCTTAGAAAAAAATCAGTGAAGTATAATATTAAGTCTTTTATTTCGAAACATTCATTGAATACTTACTACATGCTAAGCATTCTTCTAGGCACTGGAAATACAAAAATGAACAGCATGGTCCTCAAGGAATTATCACTTGAGAGGAGGAGACAGATAATTATAATGTAATGTGATAATGTCTACAGCAGAGCATGATCCACTCACTACGACTAAGTAAAATTATCTCTAGACTGGTCACTCTTCTACCTTCAGGAAAAAATTTCCCCAAATCATATCCTTCCATGTACAAGGAAACAAGGATGAAAGCAGTTACCATTCAGCTTCACTCTACTCATTCCAAGAATGAGTTATTGCCTAGAAACAATCCAATTATTTTCTCCATAATACTATGCTGCTGTAGTAGAGAAGTCTCATTTTAGTGTTCAACAGCTGCAAAGCTTTTATGATAATATTGAAGAGAAGTCACCGAAAATAACTGCTCAATCTGTGAAAGGCAGATGTCCCCAATCCTTCATATACATGCTTCAAGGTCCCCAGATTCTTCCCCGGACAACTTTTAAAGGGGAAGGCAGAGAAGAGAAGTGAGTGACCTTACCTGGTTCTTGAAAGTGTTCTTCATTTGACAGAGTTCTGGACAAGATGAGTATTAATGCTTCTTTAAATTGGTCAAAATGTACCTAAAAAAAATTAAAAATAGATTTAAAGTAATTTCCACAGCTCTAAGAATGCAAACCTATCTACAAGGTACCAAAACTGTTTTCTTCCCATCCTGACAGCCTTGAAGTGAGTCATAATCCAATTTGTTGCCCTTTTCATTTCTCTAAAGACAGAAGGGAAAATAGGCTGATCATTTTGACACCTCGTGCCGTAAACATTCATATCGATATTTATTCACCCCAAAGGAAAAAAGCTATATAGCAAAATCCTCTTTATAAACTCAGAAAAAGATATATTTTAAACTCTTAGCTGCTTTTATTTTTCTGAACAAGACCAGAAGAGAAAGACGTTAGGCTAGACATTAGAAAAGCCTTCCCAAGCAAATGATCCAATGTAACGATGTCCCAAAGATGCTTTCGTATCTTGAGATATTCTAGAAGGGAGTAAGCTGTCTTTTGAGGATGACTTGAATATAGTCTTCCTTGAGGGAAGGTATATAATATTTATTTCCCAAGGCCTCTGTGATTCCATAAATAAGCAAAAATCAATAGCAAATGCACAAAGGATAAAAGAATCTTAAGAAGTATTTTCCTGAATTCTTAAAAAATAGAGTTATCTTGACTGAAGTTGGAAAGAACCTGAGTTTTATTTAAGTAAATAGTCAGAACTAGGATATTACTTTGTTGAAAAGGTAAAAGCATTTTCTTTATGGCCAAGGATATTCTATAACTTAGATGTATGTAATCTCACCTTGGGATTTCTTCTCATCACAATTCTAGTTTGATAATGTGGCACCTATTGACATAGAACCCCCATGTAAATACAAAACTGGTAAATTTGTAGTTTGTTCTGCTATGGGATGGGTCTGTTTGGATGTCATTACAAAACACTGCCTAGAGGTTTAATATAGGTGACAGATAAACTTCCAAATCAAATTTACAAAAGCAGCAAACTTCATTAGTTATTGAAACAGTGGACAAAAAATCATATCATGTCTTATCTATGCAAATCAAAACAAAAGAGAGGAATTCATTTATATGTCATAAAAGATTTATATGTCATAAAATTGTATCTCCTTGCAATTTACCACACTCTTCCAAAGTATATGTGATTTCTCTACCATGTTAGTTTTGATTGATTGGAATTACTTACTGAAATCATTAGATTATATTGCATATATTTAAGGTGTACAACCTGATGATTTGATATATGTACACAATGTGAAATAATTATCACATTCAAGCTAATTAAAATATACATCACCTCACATAGTTACCTTTTTACAGGCTTAAAAAATCTACGTAATCTAAGGAGCCAGAGCAGAAGTCTGTCAAGGAAAACCAGGCACCTGCTGAAGATCCAGGGAGGCACAATCTTTGAAAGGGTAAACGACTGTAGAAAGGTAGGCTATGTTAATTAGGTTTCACAGCCAAACATCCTGGGGGAGGGAGGGGCGGCCAGGTCCTGCTACTGTCCCAGAGTCAAGGATAGGCTCCAGTTAACATGCGCAAGGCCAGCTTCCCAACCAGCCAGTTCACAAACATCATGCACTCAAGAGCTCTGGCACTCAGGCCACTTGACGGGCATCTGTGAATTTCTACAGAATCATTCATTCTTCTCAGGGAAGCCAGGAACAGGGTTAGGAGGACACACAAAGGCTTTATAGCTAGGTGGGTCCAGGCTCTAACCCTAGCTCTTCCTTCACTGCCTGATGTGAATTGGAGACATTACGAAGCCTCTCCAAGCCCTAGTTTGTCTGTCTGGAAAACTGGGGACATCTAACAACTGATATTTATTATTCATTCAATAAATATTTATTGAGCAGCTGCTCTATGCCAGGCATTGTACTTGGCCCTGGTGACACAGTAGTGAATGAGAGTGACAAGTCCCTGTGCCACGATGCTCATAGTCTCAGGAAATGTCACAGAGAGTCCAGGCAGCTGCTAAGAGCACTGCATGTATTTTATGGTATTTATAATACCGCTTCCCTGTGTTAGGAAGATAAAATGAGAATTGGGTAAAGTATCAAGAATGTCCTGGGACTGTTAGATGCCCAGCAAGTGGTAGTTAATACTACCAATAGCTATAGTAATAGGGGTGACTGACTGTTCCCATTACTTTTATAAAGAATCAGGGCCATGGCCAGGCACAGTGGCTCACGCCTGTAATCCCAGCATTTTGGGAGGCCAAGGCAGGTGGATCACTTGAGGCCAGGAGTTTGAGACCCGCCTGGCCAACATGGTGAAACCCCGTCTCCACTAAAAATACAAAAATTAGCTGGGCATGGTGGTGCGCACCTGTAATCTAAGCTACTTGGGAGACTGAGGGAGGAGAATTGCTTGAACTTGGGAGGTGTAGGTTGCAGTGAGCTGAGGTCAAGCCACTGCACTCCAGCCTGGGTGACAAGAGCAAAACTCCATCTCAAAAGAAAAGAAAAAAAGAATCAGGGTCATATTTTCAAGCAAAGCTAATAGCCATGAGAGTGACCAAGATAGCCAAGAGTGAGTGGTGGGGGCGGCGGCAGGGAGGTCTGAGGGCCTGCCTTCTCCTCCAGGATCTGCAGAGTTGCCCAGCATCAAAGAAACTGATCCAGTTTGCTATATTTAGGGACCTGTAACTCTAGGTTTCCTCTCTCTCTTAAGGATATTAATGGAGGGGACTGAATGAAACGTAAGTCTCTCCTTGCTAGAGTTACAAGTTGAACATGAAGAAGGTTCTCTTTCAAAAGGAAGGTGTTTGGAAGATTTCAGATTCTTTAACTTGACTCTGTGAGTCTCCCCAGGGTCTTCTAAAGGCGTAAGTTTTGATGGAGGCCATTGGAAATAACCTTCCTGAATTTGGTCCTCACATAGTTCAATTCATTGTTTGAAGGTCACTCAGTAGTGCATGTACCTGAATTTTACTTTCCCTGACACATGACAAAGACATCTATAATCTGGAATTAATTCTAATTAACTTCCAAGGCTTTACATGAGGCCTAAGTATCCCTTGAATATGGTATGACAAACACACAAGCTTTTGAGACTGTATAAGCTTCATTTATATGGAGTTTATTTCACAGCCTCACCTATCTAGAGTACTACAGACAACCAGGAAAGAAACACATGGGATCAAAAGCTGAGGGAGGTGTCATAAAGCCCAGGCACTCATCCTGTAGAAAATGCTACAGGACTCTGTAATCCCAGCACTTTGGGAGGCCAAGGCGGGTGGATCACGAGGTCAGGAGATCGAGACCATCCTGGCTAACACGGTGAAACCCCATCTCTACTAAAAACACAAAAAATTAGCTGGGCGTGGTGGCGGGCGCCTGTAGTCCCAGCTACTCGGGAGGCTGAGGCAGGAGAATGGCATGAACCCGGGAGGCGGAGCTTGCAGTGAATGAAGATTGGGCCACTGCACTACAGCCTGGGCGACAGAGTGAGACTCCGTCTCAAAAAAAAAAAAAAAAAAGAAAATGCCAAAGGACCAACTCAGTATTTTCCACATTCCTACTCTACCTGATTATTATAAACTTCATAATCCTGCTTCCCAACTCACTGCAGATTGGAAGCAGGAAATAAAAGACAGGGGCACTCCAAGCTAAAAGTACAAGGAGTAATTATTAACATATTAGCCAGGTGTGGTAGCGTGCACCTGTCATCCCAGCTATTTGGGAGGCTGAAATAAGAGAACTGCTTGAGGCCAGGAGTTTGAGACCAGCCTGATAACACAGCAAGACTCCATCTCAAAAAATATAAAATAAAAAGAAGCAATTATTGACATATTGAGATGGAGGAAAGATATTAACCATCCTCCTTCAAACAAAAATAAAGTATAATACTTCTTACACTTTACAAAGGTGTTTTTAAAACTCTATTTTTTTTAATTAATTATTTTTTTTTGAGATGGAGTCTGGCTCTGTTGCCCAGGCTGGAGTGCAGTGGCGTGTCTCGGCTCACCGCAAGCTCCGCCTCCTGGGTTCACGCCATTCTCCTGCCTCAGCCTCCCGAGTAGCTGGGACTACAGGCGCCCACCACCATGCCTGGCTAATTTTTTTTGTATTTTTAGTAGAGACAGGGTTTCACCGCGTTAGCCAGGATGGTCTCGATCTCCTGACCTCGTGATCTGCCCACCTCGGCCTCTGAAAGTGCTGGGATTACAGGCGTGAGCCACCGCGCCCAGCCTTTAAAACTCTACTAAAAACTACATAAACTATAAAAAAAGACAACATGTGCATTCAAAAACTTAATAGGCCGGGGTTGTCTGGTGTTGGGGCATGTATCCATGCTTAGTGTTGAGGCAAGGATTCATTAAGTGAATCCTGAAGCTATTACTTTTTTTTTTTTTTCAGATGGAGGCTTGCTCTTGTCACCCAGGCTGGAGTGCAGTGGCGCAATCTTGGCTCACTGCAACCTCCACCTCCCGGGTTCAAGCAATTCTCCTGCCTCAGCCTCATGAGTAGCTGGGATTACAGGCGCCCACCACCACGCCCAGCTAATTTTTGTGTTTTTAGTAGAGACGGGGTTTCACCATGTTGCCCAGGCTGGTCTCAAACTCCTGACCTCAGGTGAGCCACCCGTCACGGCCTCCCAAAGTGTTGGGATTACAGGTGTGAGCCATCGCGCCCGGCCTTGAGGGTATTACTCTTACAACACAGAAGAAAAACTAATGGGTCAGGAGATTTGAAATGATCAAGAACAATCTAGTTGTATTTAATACACTCTTGTATATGATAAAACTAAAATTTTAAATCCCCAATGGTCAAGCTTTTTTTTTTTTTTTTTTTTTTTTTGGTCTACCATTAAATGGGGCAAAAGATCCAGGTATTAAACAATTTTATGGGCTTTTGCAGTGGCTCACACCTGTAATCCCAGCACTTTGTGAGGCCAAAGCGGGCTGATTGCCTGAGCTCAGGAGTTTGAGACCAGCCTTAGCAACACGGTGAAATCCCATCTCTACTAAAAAAATTTACTCTGGGAGGCTGAGGTGGGCGGATCACAAGGTCAGGAGATCGAGACCATCCTGGCTAACGTGGTGAAACCCCGTCTCTATTAAAAATACAAAAAATTAGCCAGGCGTGGTGGCGGGCGCCTGTAGTCCCAGCTACTCGGGAGGCTGAAGCAGGAGAATGGTGTGAACCCGGGAGGCGGAGCTTGCAGTGAGCCAAGACTCCGTCTCCAAAAAAAAAAAAAATGTAGCTGGGCGTGGTGGCAGTGCCTGTAGTCCCAGCTACTCAGGAGGCTGAGGCAGGAGAATCGCTTAAACCCAGGAGGTGGAGATTGCAGTGAGTTGAGATCACGCCACTGCACTCCAGCTTGGGTGACAGAGCGAGACTCTGTCTCTGAAACAAAAAATTTTTTTTACGAACGTGGGTCATGGATAATGCTAGATGAATGACGATATTATCGTAGGTTCATTCTTTCCTAGACATTTTGTCATTTGAATCTCACAATATTCATGTGACACAGTCAAGGCAGAGACCCTACCTCAAAATTGAAAGGTGAGAGGTAGAAAAAGCATGCACCAGGACTCTGACTGGACTCATCAGAGCCCAGCAAGCCTGCCTGGCTCAGGCCCACTTCCCTCTTGGTCTGACCCCTCAGGGAAATCCCTTGCTGCTGGAAGTCAAATCCTCAACTTTCACACGAAGCCACCAGGTGTAAAGCACACACCAAGTATAAGGCAGGATCAGGAGATACATGATCAAGAAGACACATAACCTCTGCCCTCAAGGAGTTTATCAGCTACCCCATAGATTCCAGAAAGTGGAAGGGTGGAATGGGGAAAAAGAGAGGAAGGTTTATTAGTAACTACAAGATAGAAGCTGGTATGTGCCTGAGAGAGACAAAAGCTGGTAGGGGCCTCTGATAAACAAGCATGTCCTACTTGGCCAATAGGGAGGAAAAGAGGGACAGTTTTGCAACGCTTGAATTCTCTCAAATCTTCACAGACAGAGATTAAAGGTCTCCGAAATTTATTTATGATGTAGTAAATCAGCCTCATTTTAGATGAAAAGGGGCTCTATAAAAGATTAAACAGGATTATTAACTCAGAGGCTCTTCAGAGCCCAATAACGTCTACTTGGTTGAATTCCTCTTTTTCCAACAAACAGTCCGAAAATTCACACACCACATAGCAGCTGGCCCAAACCATTAGAGCAGCTTAAGTCTTGCATTGATCTTTATTTTCCTTCTTGCAAGTGTAGACACTGGGCCCTTGGATTTAAATAGCAGTAAATGCCTCATCTTTCAAAGAGATAGTTCTCTTGTGGAGGAGGCGACCGCTATTTTCCATCAATGCTCATGAATACTGATGTGGTGGAAAAGCCCCTTAGGACACAACCCAGAACCGAAATGTTGATGAACACCCCCACCGGTGGGCTAACTATGTTCAGCAACTGCAATGTTTTAAGTACCATTTTTCTCCTCCAAGGGAGCTTTACTATTGTATTTTGTTAAAAAGTAGAAATCTTCATAAATATACAATACAATTAAGTCTCACAAGGTAACAAGTTTCCAAGTTGTGCATACACTGGTTGGTACCTCTTCATTTGAATAATAATTGCTGCCATTCATTTTACAAGCATTCCTATACCTTGTATGCCTCAACGGGCAGTTTGCAGCAATGGGAAAATTACACGACTGACGAAAAATACACATGACATTTAAACTAAATTAAGAGGAAGACCAGTCAAGTCTGATATTTTTTGTCATGTGTCACCACCTCTTAGGAGAAATTTACCTCATTACTTTTCCTCTTCACATTTCATATGAATGCTTTTTTAGAAACGCAATTTGCTTTTTTTTGAAAAAGAACTTAAGCACCACACAAGAAACAAATTCAAACCACACACACAAAAAAACCCTGTAACAGGAAGTGGAATAAGGAAACTAATGTTGCATAAACTCATCTCGTGCAATCATGGAGATCAAATGCAGTTTCCACATGTGTGCAGGCACTACTGGAAATAGACCCAAGGTGGGAGAACTCAAACTAGCACTGAACAAGGTGAGTTTATGAAACAAGACAAAGGTCTATGTAACTAATACAAACTTAGTAGATTTGTCTTTACTAATATAAAGAGAAATTAATGAAAGAAGATTCAAAACACTGTGTTAATTGAAACAGCTACAGAAATATGGACTTATCAGAAGTCAATGCACAGGAAAATGCTTACAGCATTATGCAAAGAGAAATGACATAGACTAAAAAAGAGGCAGTTTCATAATGAAAGATACACTTATATTTTATTTTAAATAAAGTATTCAGGTCATTGTAACTTGAATTGTTAACTTCATATTATTATATTTAATATTCATTTATTAAATTATAATATTGTAACTTAATTTACTGCAGACAATGTAGAGAGAGGCAAAGGCTATTTTAAAAGGTAGGTTTATAAAACCTAAAGCAACTATATGAAGCTGTACTCCAAGACTGGTCCAAGGAATCCTGTTTACAGATGGAAATGAATTCAAATCACCACCACGCAAGAGAACTTCTAGCAAATCTACTCTTCACTCTAACCATGTTTCTTGGTAAATCATTACTAGGAAGTCACTATTTATCAAAGAGCCATTCTGGGTGTGTAGAGGGTAGGGGAAAGGAGCATACAGCCAAATACAGCAAGTTAACGGTGTCCTTGGTGCTATGATAAGCCTTTGATACACACAAATCTTAGTCCACCTTCATCACAGTCTTGTAAGGGAAATAGTCTTCCCATTACACTGATGAAAAATCTGAGGCTCAGAGTATTTAAGATAACGTGTTCATATGGTTAAAAAGTGGCAAGAGCTGAATAGCCAAGACAATCCTAAGCAAAAAGAACAAACCTGAAGGCATCACGCTACCCACTTCAAACTGTACTACAAAGTTACAGTAACCAAAACAGCATGGTTCTGATAGAAAAACAGACACATAGACCAACAGAACAGAATAGAAAACTCAGAAATAAGACTGCATACCTACAACCATCTGATCTTTGACAAACCTGACAAAAACAAGCAGTGGGGAAAGGATTCCCTATTTAACAAATGGTGCTGGGAGAACTGGCTAGCCATATGCAGAAAATTGGAACTGGACCCCTTCCTTACACATTATACAAAAATTAACTCAAGGTAGATTAAAGATTTAAATGTAAAACCCAAAACTATAAAAACCCTAGAAGAAAATCTAGGCAATACCATTCAGGACATAGGCATGGGCAAAGATTTCATGACAAAAATGCCAAAAGCAATTGCAACTAAAGCAAAAATTGACAAATGAGATCTAATTAAACTAAAGAGCTTCTGCATAGCAAAATAATCTATCATTAGAGTGAACAGACAACCTACAGAATAGGAGAAAATTTTTGCAATCTATCCATCTGACAAAGGTCTAATACCCAGACTTTACAACAAACTTAAACACATTTACAAGAAAAAAACAAACAACCCCATTAAAAAGTGGGCAAAGGACATGAACAGGCACTTCTCAAAAGTAGACATTCATGCAGCCAATAAACACGAAAAAAAGCTCAACATCACTGATCATTAGAGAAATACAAATCAAAACCACAATGAGATGCCACCTCATGCCAGTCAGAATGGCAATCAATAAATAGTCCAGAAACAACAGATGCTGGTGAGGTTGTGGAGAAAAAGGAACACTTTTATGCTGTTGGTGGGAGTGTAAACTAGTTCAACCATTGCGGAAGATAGTGTGGTGATTCCTCAAAGATCTAGAGGCAGAAATACCATTTGACCCAGGAATCCCATTACTAAGTATATACCCAAAGGAATATAAGTCATTATATTATGAAGATATATGCATGCATATGTTCATTGCAGCACTATTCACAATAGCAAAGACACTGAATCAACCCAAATGCCCATCAATGATAGACTGGATAAAGAAAATGTGGTACATATATACCATGGAATACTATGCAGCCACAAAAAGGAACAAAATCGGTGGGGCATGGTGGCTCAGGCCTGTAATCCCAGCACTTTGGGAGGACGAGGTGGGCGGATCTTGAGGTCAGGAGTTTGAGACCAGCCTGGCCAACATGGAGAAAGCCCATCTCTATTAAAGATACAAAAAATTAGCTGGGCGTGGTGGCATGCACCTGTAATCCCAGCTACTCGGGAGGCTGAGGCAGAATTGCTTGAACCCAGCAGGCAGAGGTTGCAGTGAGCTGAGATTGCACTATTGCACTCCAGCCTGGGGCGACAGGGCGAGACTCCATGTCAAAAAAACAAAACAAAATGAACAAAATCATGTCCTTTGCAAGACATAGATGGAGCTGGGAGCCGTTATCCTCAGCAAACTAAAGCAGGAACAGAAAACCAAACACCGCATGTTCTCACTTATAAGTGGGAGGTGAACAATGAAAACACATGGACTAATTGGCAGGAGGTAGGGGGTGGGTGGGGAACAGCACACATTGGACCTGTGAGGTGGGGGGAGGGAGAGCATCAGGAAAAATTGCTAATGGATGCCAGGCTTAATACCTAGGTGATGGGTTGATCTGTGCAGCAAACCACCATGGCACATTTACCTTTGTAACAAACCTGCACATCCTGCACATGTACCCCAGAGTTTAAAATCAAAGTTGAAGGGAAAAATAATGTGACAAGAAGTGGAACTTGAATCCAGGACTGCCTTCAAAGCCCGTGCTCTAACTGTATACTATCTCCATGTGGTGGGGGTAGTGTTTGGGGAGCAGGGTGAGGGAATGGAGATTCACTTTTGCATATTTGGAGTTTGAGGAAACTGTGCAGATATGTATTCAAATGCAGGGGCTGGGAAATCCAGGATCCCATCCTGGCACTGACTCAAATGAGTCATCTGACCTTGGAAAAGCCAAGGTTTCTCTGTCAGATGAACTCTGAGGTCTAAAATCTGAGACAGACACTGAAGAACTTTAAGTCCCCTCTGTCCAGACAGGAAGCTACTCATAAAAGTATCCGTGAAATAATGATGAAATCTAATGAGCATCCCTAATCACAGAAATAAGGCATTATAAAATCAGGTCGGTAGAAGAGAATGGCCATTTAGCATTTGTTCCTCCCTGCCTGTTCTAAGTCCAGGCCTTCCCAACAGCTCTCCCCTCTCGATCCCTGTCACACTAAATATCTCTGACAGACACAACGATGTACTGTACACAAAAACGCACTTAATTCTGCAATGAGTTTGATGAGAAAGCATTAATACAGAGTCAAAGCAAGTTGAGCAGTCTCCTAATCAGGTCTTCTTGTTTATCAATGGGGAACCACAGACCCTCAGGAGTTCAGACTTAGAGACTAGATCCAAGTCTACATATGCAAAAAACCTCCTCCTAGCTGTCTTTTCTCTCCCACAGCATAGGCCATTTCCCTTCACCAATTTAAGTCTCCCTAGCCTCCCTTCCACAAATCAGAGACAACCAGTCTGACTTTTGTATGAGTTATATTATGACAACCCCATCAGCAGCACCACTATTACAAACCAATGGCAGTTAATATTGAATGTAATTTTGCATACAGAGAACAAGTCCAAATAAGCACTACAAGAAAGTACTTCTCCATTTTTCATTTACACTTCAAATGATTAAAATGTATATAAGAAAAATAAATCTTAAAAAGCTTTTGAGTTGGAAACAAATCCACCACATGAAATTTATCAAGAAATTTAGAAAGAACCTCAAACCCTTTCAGAAATGTAAGAAAATTGATCTAAATTATATATATTTGTACAGCTATCAAATTTTAATACTAAAAATTTCAACATGTCTTTGATTACCAAAGTCTAGATTACCTACCGGACTCTAGAAACCAGTGGTGATTCTGCTGCCTGGAGGCTTATTCTCACTTTATAGTGTGCCAGGGACATAGGGTATTTCAGCATCCAAATTCATATTAAGAATATAGCAATGCAACTCCTCAGAACTTCAGGGGCTGTTTTGTCTCAAAGTTGGCATACTACGTAAGGAGTTTTTGAAACGGAATCTCGCTCTGTCGCCAGGCTGGAGTACAATGGCGTGATCTCGGCCCACTGCAACCTTTGTCTCCCGAGTTCAAGCAATTCTCCTGTCTCAGCCTCCCGAGTAGCTAGGATTACCGGCGCCCACTGCCACGCCGGCTAATTTTTTGTATTTTTAGCAGAGACAGGGTTTCACAGTGTTGCCCAGGCTGCTCTCGAATTCCTGAGCTCCGGCAATCCACCTGCCTCGGCCTCCCAAAGTGCTAGGATTACAGGCGTGAGTCACCGTGCCTGGCCAAGAATGCATTTTTAAAACTGGATATGGCCGGGCACGATGGCTCACGCCTGTAACCCCAGCACTTTGGGAGGCCGAGGTGGGCGGATCACGAGGTCAGGAGATCGAGACCATCCTGGCTAACATGGTGAAACCCTGTCTCTACTGAAAATACAAAAAATTAGCCGGGTGTGTTGGTGGGCGCCTGTAGTCCCAGCTACTCGGGAGGCTGAGGCAGGAGAAAGGCGTGAACCCGGGAGGCGGAGCTTGCAGTGAGCCGAGATTATGCCACTACACTCCAGCCTGGGCGACGGCGAGACTCTGTCAAAAAAAAAAAAAAAAAAAAACACTGGATATAACTAAATGTTTCAACAAAACCAAGGCAAATTATCTTCATGTCCTGATTTCTAATAAAGGAGATAGAGAGGTATGCAGAAACACTTCATTTAAGCATCTACAATTAGTATGATTGCTTGGATAAAACTTGGTTCATGGTTCCCCTCGATTTTTGTAGTATTTGCTCCCCGTGCTACTCATGTGCCATGTATATTACCCGACTAGATTGTAAGTTTTTCGGTGTCTTGAGAAGCCCCTTGTGATGAGGCCTCATCTAGCTGACAGGTGCTTAACTGATGACAAAGATATGATGGAACTCTTTTCATAACCTAGTGGTAAACACTTATCGGCAATATCCCTTTTCCTTCAAATCAGGGATCCACAAGCTTTACGCATTTCAAACACCTGTACAGTAACCACCTTGCTCAGGTGAATATGGTTTCAAGCTATAAAGCAAGACAAATGAATTGAAAAATAATTTGGGGGAAAATGACCTATTGGTAAAACACATAGAAATGGCAAGTTGATTTAAGTTACTTTCATTAACAACTATTAAACATTAGGCCTCAAAAAAAAAAAAAACAAGTTATTGAAGATGCGTTGTAATATTTAAAAATAAATACACAATGTTTGCATTCCTGGTTGAGCGAGACAATGCTTTCCATCTTACTTCTTTTTCAAGAAAAAAAGGATTAATTCAGCCCAAGTCCAATAGAGGTAAGGTGGATTTGTATTTGATTTAAAAATTATATTCATTAAGATAATTCAGCCTAAGTCAACATAGAGGAAGCTTAGAAGTTGTATTTGATTTAAAAATTATATTCACTAAGATTTAAAAGACAAAATTAAAGCCAGAAGCATCCAGGAAGTTGATGGATACTAATGCAGCCAAAAGCCAACTTAATGGAAAACTGTAGTTTACAGTAAATGTAAATATAAATAACTTGGACCCTGATATGGTTTGGCTGTGTCCCCACCCAAATGTCATCTTGAATTGTAGCTCCCATAATTCCCATGTGTTGTGGGAGGGACCCAGTGGGAGATAAGTGAACTGTGGGGGTAGTTTCCCCCATACTGTTCTTGGGGTAGTGAATAAATCTCACGAGATCTGATGGTTTTATAAGGGGTTTCCCCTTTTGCTCGGCTTTCATTCTGTCTTGCCTGCCACCACGTAAGGTGTGTCTCTCATCTTCTCATTCTCTCTCACCTTCCACCATGATTGTGAGGCCTCCCCAGCCACAAGGAACTGGGAGTCACTTAAACCTCTTTTTCTTTATAAATTACCCAGTCTCGGGTATGTCTTTATCAGCAGCGTGAAAACGGACTAATACAGATCCCATGCCATGAGACTACAGGAATGCCTGACAGGCAGGACACACACAATACATATTTGTTGAATTAATGAATAGATTAATATATTCAGATTTGTTATGCTACCCTTTCTTTCTTTCTTTTTTAATTAAACCAAGCTGCTAACCCTTATAAGTTTTTCTACAAATATCTTCTAAAGAGAAGAAAGATGACTGGCAGTAAAAACCACTTATAATTTTACAACTATAATCCCTACTGTATGCATCATGAAAATGATAACACTTGGATGGCTCCAGTGAATCCTATGGCATTTTTTCTTATAATTTAAAATTATGGACCATATAGAGTATCTTAATAGCATATGGCCAAGTCTGTGTGATCATCTGAGGAGAATAATTTGGTTTCATTAAAAAATGCAAATTTAACAGTAGTGCATTAACTCATGCCAACCCCCCCACTCTCAGGACTATCACCAGGGACCTCCCACATGAAATCAATATGCATCCATCTATTTAACTTTTATCACTGGCTCACTAAGTAAATATCACACTATAGACCACTTAAGTATTCATTATTCAGGCAAATAGCAAGCGTCAGAAGCAGGCTGGTAGTGTCAAGTCGTTAACAAATCAATCAATAACTGCTCCCTGTTTGAGTCTACCAAATGAGGGCAAAGATGTGCAACATCTGGAGAGCAAAGCATTGACCTGCTGCCAAGGTGCAGTCTGTTTACGGCGTGGCATTCCATATTTACGCAGACTCTAAGAAAACCACTCAAGGAAACCTTAGTTGTATCATGCCTTTTCAGACTTTAATGAGCATTAAAACAGATCAGCCCATTGATACTATCCTTTAGACACCAAAAGTACTGAGATCCCCAAGGACCATACTGGGAGATGCCAGTTTTTTTGCTACCCACAGAGTCTAAGACTGAGGCGGAACTGGAAAATATGTGAGTGCATGAGGAGCAAATGGTTCAATCTTCGAAGCTTCATTTTAAGATTATTAAAGCAAGATTTTTAGCATTTTATGGGGACCACATGTATGTAGAGACAGCTAACCCTCCCCCCGCCACAAGAGGCCAAGAATGGCTCCAGTTTTTGCAAAGAAGTCACATATTTTTTTCAAGTGTGAGTCCCATTTAACATCACACTCATGTGCCAAGTGCCTGAGAATATCATCTTTTGCACATGAATTTCAGGATGATGGCTACTCCTGTCTGTCTCAGGTTACAGAAAGCCAATACATGGTACTATATCTGAAGTCACTTACCTCTCTTGTCAGCTAAAAGACAGTGAAAATGAAATGAAGAAAAGGAAGCTCAGTCACTAGAATAAAGTTAAGCCTCACAACTGCTTCCTCAATTTATACGTGATAAAAACCAGAATGAAGCAACAGACTGCAAAAAGTGTTGTCCATCTTTTTCTCTCATCATTCCAAAATCCAACAGCAAGAGACTTGACTCAAAGCCATATAAACCTATTGATTATAAATAGCTATTAATTATAAATAAGGCAAATAATAAAAGCTATTAATTATAATGAGGAGAATTGAAGGCAATCTCAGGTCATGGCAGATCAAATATCCACCATTGGCAAGAGGAAAAAAAGACCCTCTCTCACTTCTTACTCACATCTGTGACTTGATCTATGGTAATAACATGACTATTTGTCATCAAACACAGAGGTTAACATTGGCGTGCACACACACATCCCTGCTGGAAGCAAGCCGTGCTGGGTTTTAAATGAACCTGCACTGTATTTATTTACCCTGCTGTCTTATTTCCTGGGTAGAAAGTTTAATTAATACTTCACCCAGAAATAATCCACACAAGAAATAGCTTCACTGGGAGTAAAAGTCATAACAATAGCTTTCTTACTGCATTTTCTTTCTCTTCAATGGAAATCTCACCCTCCTCCTTTCTGTCCCAGTGATGAATGTGGAGTCAATAAAATAAACCACAAAGAACAAGAAAAAAGTTGGAAAACATCCTTTCATTGCCTCTTTATCTAAGATGCTCACTGTACACCATAATTCCAGAGCACAAATTAAAGCAGGCTCTTGTCACCCTAGCAAACTGGACTGTGATGTCACACCCATTACATTCTTCTTTTTATCATGTAACAGCCAGGATGCTAGAAACAAGTTGCAACATGTGTGGTCCGCCCCACCCCCAGCACCCCGGCAGAAACCGCACCCCACTTCCCATAGCCACGTTCTTCCCCAGACCTTACCCTGCCCAAGAGGTTGTCCTGAAGTAATGTCTGCTGCAGCACTGGGGCCACCTCCTCCAAGCTCAACATGTGGCAAAGGTCGGTGAGTTCCTCCTGCCCCAGGGACCCTGTGCCCGTCGTGTCAAAACTGTCAAACAGCTCCTTGAGTCGGGCCTCATGCTGGTCCTGCTCCACCTCATCCATCCCATAGCCCACAGTGCTCACCTGTGTGTAAGACAGAGACAAGGACAGGTTGTGGCAGCCTCTCCAGTCCTACCGTGGTCACCACCTGGCACATTCCCGTTCTCTGTACCCCACCAGTCTCTAGGGAATGCTCGGGAACACCCAGTTTCTGATGCACCCCACAGCAAGACCCCCAGTCTCTGTAGGACCAGCCCTGGCCAGTGACACTCCTGCATGCACTCACATCAGGGGCATATACATAAGCTCAGATCACACTGGGAGCAAAATTACCAGAATGAGAGGGTCACGTACAGTAGAAGACACCCTCCTCTCTTGCCTGGTTCTCAGGCGGACAGCCAGACTGCCAAACTCAAGGCTGAAGGTGGTTCTCTCCCAGCTCTTCTAGCCCAGGATTTTAAGAAGGTGAAAAGCCACTTTGACAGCAAGACTATTCAAGTGAACTAATTGTTAGCGCCAGCAGACTGCATGGTCAGAGCTTCCATGCTAGCTGGCAAGCTTTAGACAACCTGCCCCGATGGTGCAATCGGTCAGCGTGGCCAAGCTGATTCGTTCTACTTCATTCAGCTTAGATGGCCCCCATCATAGCTAGACTGGAGGGCTGCAGCAAGAGGCACTAAATGAACACGACGTCTGCTACAAAACCACCTCCCTGTTTTACATGAAACTAAATGCCTTTTACACGAGTTCCTCAAAAAGCAACTCAATTAACTTCACTGGTGCAATTACATGAGGTGTGACGGGAAGAATATTCCCAGAAGCTTGCTTTAGTCCCAGCGAGTTTTAGGTAATGCTTAGTTGCCTAGAGAAAGGGGAAGACACTATTTCAACCTTTCAGACAGTGAGGTTTAAAGGAGCCACTGACTGGTTTATATGAATCATACAGCATCTCAGGGAACCTCCACTCACTAAAGCATCTCATCTCTTTATGCCTGGTTAACCTGTGTTCCGTCTCTCTCACCTACCCATACTCCAGGCTTTCCATTTTGCCACTGTCCTTAGGATCAGTAAAAACTTGGAGACGTCAATAACTGAGTCATTTTTGTTAAAAATATACATCATAAAATTCCAGGTAGCTCGTATTTTACTAATGAAATCTGTGGTTTTTTTTTTTTCCTTGCATGACAGTTCATTTTTAACGTGCTGGATTTTCCGATGAAAGCCTGAAACCTGCACATCTGAAGATGCCTTCGCCATGATGCAATGGATGCCAAACACGACATACACCCTTGGGACGGTGACCTCAGCCATCTGCAACAAGGCTCTCAGAACCAGTCCTTTGACTATAAAAAAAGCAGCAGCTTTCACTAACCAAGCATCTTTAATCCAAGCCAAATTACAGAACTCTCTAACTTAGAGGTGATCGTCCATACGGCAGATCATTACAACATGAAAAACGTAAGCTAAGATGTTGAACACAGCCAGAACTGAAAATAAAAGAGCTTTCTAAAACAAATCAATGTTGCTCTAGGTTGTGTTTGCTTTCTTTCCATAGACAGCTGTTCAAAACATGACAAGCTACAACAGGGCCACGATCTTGCCAGGGGTTTCAGCAGAACTGGGTGGACACAGAAGATAAATGTGAACAGCTCTGCCATACAGCTCAGTTTTTACTGGGGCCACTCATTAAAGTAAAGCAACATGGCACAATTTTGGTCCAGGTTCCTGGTCTTGGACAGGTCTCTTCTCCTAATTATCAGTTTTTCTGTTACTAAGGTGCTGCAGGCTCTGGCTGTCTTCCCAGGATTGGTCTGTTGGGTTAACTAATCACTATGTAAATG